>NC_000002.12:205671436-205974466 GCF_000001405.40 Homo sapiens | reverse complement strand
TTTTTAGTAGAGACGGGGTTTCACCGTGTTAGCCAGGATGGTCTCGATCTCCTGATCTCCTGATCTGCCCGCCTCGGCCTCCCAAAGTGCTGGGATTACAGGCGTGAGCCACCGCGCCCGGCTATAAACTTTTCTTTAACCAAAATCACATTCAATTTTTTTTTTTTGAAATGTGATCTCGCTCCTTCGCCCAGGCTGGTCTGGAACTCCTGGGCTCAAGGTGCTCCTCCCAACTCAGCCTCCTGAGTAGCTAGGACTACAGGTGTGTGCTACCATCCCAGCTACTTAAAAAAAAAAAAAAAAAAAAAAATATATATATATATATATATATATATATATATTACAGTCAAGGTTTCCCTGTGTTACCCAGTCCGGTCTCAAACTCCTGGGCTCAAGCAATTCTCCCACCTCAGTCTCCCAAAGTGCTTGGATTATAGGTGTGAGCCACTGTGCCTGGCCTTCTTACACATTCTGTATGCAGGAATTGTGCGTTTTATATCTAGTAGTTTTAATTTCATATATTAATTACAATTTTAACTCTTAGTAACCTTAATTTTCAATGAAAAACATAGAAATAAGCAATTTTGGTGGGGCACAGTGGCTCACACCTGTAATTCCAGCACTTCCGGGAGGCCGAGGTGGGAGGATTGCTTGAGCTTTGGAGTTTGAGACCAGCTTGGGCAATATAGTGAGACCTTGTCTCTACAAAATATTTAAAAATTAGCCAAGCGTGGTGGCATGCACCAGCAGTCCCAGCTACTCAGGGAGCAGAGGCAGGAGGATTGCTTGAGCCTGGGAGGTGGAGGTTGTGGTGAGCCAAGATTGTTCCACTGCACTCCAGCCTAGGTGGCAGAGCGAGACCCTGTCTCAAAAAAAAAAAAAAAAAAAAAAGCTGTTTTATTTTATTTTTGAGACGGAGTCTCACTCTGTTGCCCAGGCTGGAGTGTAGTGGCATGATCTCGGCTCACTGCAACCTCCCTCTCCTGAATTCAAGTGATTCTCCTGCCTCAGTCTCCCAAGCAGCTAGACCTACAGGCATGTGCCACCACACCCAGCTGATTTTTTTGTATTTTTAGTAGAGACGGGGTTTCACCATGTTAGCCAGGCTGGCCTCAAACTCCTGGCCTCAGGTGATCCGCCCACCTCAGCCTCCCAAACTGCTGGGATTACAGGTGTGAGTCACTGTGCCCAGCCTATCTTGTTTTATTTTATTTTGAGATAGGGTCTCACTCTGCTGCCCAGCCTGGGGAGCAGTGATGTGATCGTGGCTCACTGCAGCCTTGACTGCCTGGGCTAAAGGCAGAGTAGCTGGGACCACAGGTGCATGACACAACATTTGACTAATTTTTTTAAAGTTATTATTTGTAGGGCCAGGCGCAGTGGCTCACGCCTGTAATCTCAGAACTTTGGGAGGCTGAGGTGGGCAGATCACTTGAGGCCAGGAGTTTGAGACCAGCCTGGCCAACATGGTGAAACCCCGTCTCTACTAAAAATACACAAATTAGCTGGGCATGGTGGTGGGTGCTTCTAGTCCAGGCTGCTAGGGAGGCTGAGGCAGGAGACTTACTTGAACTGCTGGCAGGCAGAGGTTGTAGTGAGCCGAGATTGCGCCATTGTACTCCAGCCTGGGCAACAGAGCGAGATTCCATTCCAAAAAAAAAAAAAAAATTATTTGTAGAGACAGGGTTTCACTATGTTGCTCAGGCTGGTCTTGAACTCCTGGGCTCAAGCAATCCTCCTACCTTGGCCTCCCAAATTGCTAGGATTTACAGGCATGAGCCACCATACCTGGCTGAAATAAGCAATTTTATTTTATTTTTTCTTTTAATTTTAAAATATATATATATTTTTAAACACAGAGATGGGGTCTTGCTGTGTTGACCAGGCTCCTCTGAAACTCCTGGCCTCAAGTGAGCCACCCACCTCGGCCTCACAAAGTGCTGGGATTACAGGCATAAGCAATTTTCATTGTTATGTACCAGGTGCAGAGCCCAGGACAAGGAGAGAGCTGTAAAGACCGTATCTGGAGGATCTGATCCTTCATAGCATGGCTAGGAGGCAAGCTGGGCCAGAGAGAATGGAGCCATATTGGGCTTGGTTCTTCCCTGCAGCTGGTGGCCCAGGTACTGTGGACATACATATGTCTCCAGGCCTCACCATGGCCAACTGTCTAGACTACAGAATCCAAAGCTTAAAACCAAAGTCATAAACCCCACAGCAGGATGTTTGCAAGGCTTTGGTGGAACACAGCCAGCCTGCAGTGTTAGCTCAAAGACAAGTTAAGCAAGTATCAAAAGTATCACAGAAGCAAGTTTTTTGACCTTAAAACACCTAGCAGAGACAGCATAAATTTGTTTAATCAGTAGACTCAGGCAAAAATGTCTACATTAAATTTTGAAGACATTTTTATTTTACTCAAAAATTTAAAGCTAGCTTTACTTACCAAAAATTACATGTGAACTTGAAAAGCATTTTGGCTAGTTATTTATGAGTACTCATTTATTTATACGTCAGTTTGGTATCCTGTAGACAACATACAAATACATGTATAGACACATACATACATGTAGATACAACACACAACACACATGTACACATGTATGTATCCAAAAGTCATAGAGATTAGGGAGTTTAATACAAAAGAGAGCAGAGCTTTAGACCTGAAAGGAACCCATTCACAACTCTTGGGGTTCCATGAGGAATACAGGGGACCTCAAAAGAGGGGGGTCAGTGGTGCCTTAACTGTGTTCTTCAAGGGGTCTCGCAGTTGATAGAAATTTCTTTTAGATCCCTTTATGTGATAACTAGAACTCTGATGTTTTTTCTCTGTAATTTTTCATCCACTGACCACCAAATAGAGGAGAAGGGGCTTGAGATAAACCATATCAGACAACTGGAGGGAATATCAAAGGGGGCAAAAGGCGGGGCAGAAGCTGAAGGAAGAATGAGTCCCAGAGGAGCCAGTCTGGAGAGGTCTGCAGCTCCCCAAAAAGACCAACACAATTTTACTTTTTTTTTTTTTTAAGCAAAAATTTTGGCTGAGTGCAGTGGCTCATGCCTGCAATCCCAACACTTTGTGAGGGCAAGGCAGGAGGATTGCTTGAAGTTTGAGACCCTGTCTCTGTTAAAAAATAGAAAAAATTAAAAAAATAGCTGAATATGGTGGCATGGCATGTGCCTGTAATCCCAGCTACCCAGGAGGCTGGGGCAGGAGGGGCGCTTGAGCCTGGGAATTCGAGGTTACAGGGAGCTATGATGGTGCCATTATACTGTAGCCTGGACAACTTTGTCTCTAAAAAAATGACTAAAATAAAATAAAATGTTGCCAACTAAATAGCGTTTTATTTCAAAAGCTATTTAAACCAACACAAAACTAATTTACGTACACATTTTTTCCTGTTAATCCAAATTTAGAAATGGAAGAAGACCAAGAAAGACTCTTCCTCATTCAACTGGGCACCACAGAGACCCAGGAGAACTGACTTGGTAAAAATTTCTTAGCTTTCTTCACTGGCTTTTCATCAATTGACCCAAGATCCCATCCTGAAGTTCTGGAGCCAACAGAGCAATTTGTTGTCCTGCTCACAATACCGAACTGAAAGGAAAGCTTAAATTTTTCCCCAGAAGGTTTGATAAGCTGAGTCAAAAACCAAACTGATAACAGACAAATTAACAGGGAAAAAAAGCATACAAACTTATTAATGTGCAAATGGGCACAGGAGTCATACAAAATATGAAAACTCTCAAAGAAAGGATCTGCTGATTGATGCTTTATATCATCTTGAGGTTACAGAAAGTATAGGGGCTTGGAGTATGGTAAGACCAGTTATGAGAAAGAGAGAAGAGGACGGGCCTGGCTAGCAAACACGGTCTTGTTATGCAGATGACACCTCACAGGTAGTGGTGCTCAGAAAGAGTAAGTTTTTGTTAGACCCCCATCAGACTCTCAGTCTCTCCTGTGAGCCAGTCTCCTCGATCCCGACAAGGTCTGGGTGAGGCAGAGAAAGGGTGGCTGTTTATTTCATCAATGCAGATTTTCTTTATGAATACAAATCCCGCCCATACAAGGCAGATTTTGAGCAATTTTGTTTCCAGCCTTTGAATAGCCATCTTGAAATACCTCAAAGAAGTATATTTTGAGGTGAAATATTTTTGGTTTCCTTTATTGCACAAATCTAGATTTGATCATTCTGGTTTTCTTTCTTTCTTGTTAAGCGACAGGGTCTCACTCTATTGCCCAGGCTAGGGTGCACAATTATAGCTCACTGCAGCCTCAAATTCCTGGGCTCAAGCAATCTTACGCCAGCTTCCCAAGTAGCTAGGACTATAGGCACACGCCAGCATGCCTGGCTACTTTATTTTTTAGTAGAGATGGTGTCTTGCTATGTTGCTCAGGCTGCTCTTAAACTACTGGCCTAAAGTGATCCTCCCGCCTCAACCTTCCAAAGAGCTGGGATTACAGGCATGAGCCACTGCACCTGGCCTCATTCTATTTGTTCAAATAATTATTTTATACTATAATTCATTTTGCACTTGGAAAATGATTTTTTAATCCAATAAATGGAGAAAAGAACTTTTATCTGAGGAATGTGAGTCCTTTTAAATTATCAGGTTGAGAGAGATATTACAATGAGACAGCAGTCACATCTCACTTCCCCTCTTTTGAGCTATGTACTCATCTCTTGAAACTGCTTGCTATTGCCACAGTAACTACAAATTAACCTAATAATGCTGCACCAGACATTATAGCTCATACCCTATAGTTTAACAATGTATAGCCAGCTGGGCACGGCGGCTCATGCCTGTAATCCCAGCACTTTGGGAGGCCAACGCTGGTGGATCACCTGAGGTTAGGAGTTCGAGACCAGCCTGGCCAACATAGAAAAACCCTGTCTCTATTAAAAGTACAAAAATTAGCTGGGCTTAGTGGCAGGCACCTGTAATCCCAGCTACTTGAGAGGCTCAGGCAGGAGAATCTCTTGAACCCGGGAGGAGGAGGTTGCAGTGAGCCAAGATCGTGCCACTGCACTCCAGCCTGGGCAACAGAGCGAGGCTCTGTTTCAAAAAAAAAAAAAATTAGCCAGGTGTGTTGGTGCACGCTTGTAATCCCAGCTACTCTGGAGGTTGAGACATGAGAATTGCTTGAACCTAGGCAGCAGAGGTTGCAGTGAGCTGTGATCGTGCTGCTGTTCTCCAGCCTGGGTGACAGAGCAAGACTCTGTTAAAAGAAAAAAAAAAATCTGCTTGTAACAAAGGCCACCCAGAGCTCATACTGAAGGTTACTAGGTCTCAGTTTTCCGAGCAGCTGTCCTCACTTTGGCTCTAGTACACTCTTTAAATTATTTTTTGTGCTTCAGCCTCTTCCTTTTAGGTTGACATAAACAAATATATTCAATTTTTCCTGATAAATATATTTTTCAATATTCAGAAAAAAGAATTAAGAGACCTGAAGGAGAACTAAACATGGATATTTTGCTGTGTATAACATTTCTGATTTTCATAAGGAAAATAAATATGCATATGTCAACTAAAGAAAGAGTCAAGATTTTAAGAATTAAGATTAGTTGGCTGGGAGCGGTGGCTCACACCTGTAATCCCAGCATTTTAGGAGGCCAAGGCAGGTGGATCATGAGGTCAGGAGTTCGAGACCAGCCTGGCCAATATGGTGAAACCCTGTCTCTACTGCAAATGCAAAATTTAGCTGGGCGTGGTGGCGCACATCTGTAGTCCCAGCTGCTCGGGAGGCTGACGCAGGAGAATCGCTTGAACCCGGGAGGCAGAGGCTGCAGTGAGCTGAGATCATGCAACTCCATCTCAAAAAAAAAAAAAAAGAAGGTTTATTTAAAGTTTTACTGAAGACTATAGATCACGGCCTATATTCTGGGAACAATTCTGAGGACTGCTCCAACACAGAATTTCAGTTCACTGTATATATACAGGTGGTGAAAATTCAGAACATGCAAAATCACATGTAAGTTTGGGTACAAGAGCACATCTGGTTATAGTTTCCAGAAGCATAACACTAATCCCGCCAGACATGATCTTCTCTGTAGCAAAAGGACTAGGGTCATTTATCTTTCAAGGAATATAGCGATTCAGGCAAGAGACATGGGGTGCCCAGTGCACTATTCTTTTTTTTTTTTTGGAGATAGATTTCGCTCTTGTCACCCAGGCTGGAGTGTAGTGGCATGATTTCGGCTCACTGCAACCTCTGCCTCCTAGTTTCAAGCGATTCTCCTGCCTCAGCCTCCTGAGTAGCTGGGATTACAGGCACCCACCACCACACCCAATTAATTTTTTTTTTTTTGTATTTTTAGTAGAGATGGGGTTTTGCCATGTTGGTCAGGGTGGTCTTGAACTGCTGACCTCAAGTGATCTACCTGCCTCGGCCTCCCAAAGTGCTGGCATTACAGGCATGAGCCACTATGCCCGGCTTGCTGTTTTGTCTTCAAAGCATCTTTGGAGAGAGCTACATGTCATCACAGAGTCAGGGGCTTTGTGAAACTATGCTGGCAAGCAGACATGAACAGACATGGCTTCTTACATTGGCTACTTTGTCTCATACATGTGATAAAAACCAGAAATGTAAATGGCGAAATGAATAACGAAGTAGCAGACCCACACTCGGGCATGCCCAGCAAGCTCCTCAAACTGAAAATGCAATGTGACTATTAACACTGTTTCATCTCCTACTCTGAATTTCTTCATAACACAATCGAGAAACACATGTTTGATGGATGCAAATGATCATTTCATTTTTATTTGTGAGTGCATTCTCTTCTTTGCTAGAAAACATTTCCTGTTCTGCCCCTCTGTTGTTTCTCAACAGGACTTTTAGTCTCTTTCATAAGCCACTAGGCAAAAAGAAAAGAGGGAAGCGAGGTCAGTAAGACTGAGGCTTCTCTGACTCAGTGTGGGTCAAGTGTCTGGACTGCAGATGCTGGGAGTCCTGTGAGGTTCCACATCCCTGGCCTTGCACGTGCTGGTCCTTTTTCCTTCAGGATCCATTGCTCACCATGCCATCTTTGCTGCTCACTTTTGCTAAGTATGTTTGGGCAGGTTCACAGCCCAATGCCCAGCACCTGTGTCAGGTACTAAACAGGTGCATCACGGAGGTGTTTGGAAGATGAACTGAATGAACTTTTCGACTCAAGCACACAGTGTATAGGAAAAAAGAAAAAACAGCTGGGACTGGTGGCTCAACGTCTGTAATCCCAGCACTTTGGGAGATCAAGGTGGTAGGATCACTTCAGCTCAGGAGTTCGAGACCAGCCTGAGCAACATAGCAAGACTCTGTCTCTACAAAAAATTTTGAAAATTAGCCGGACACGGTTGTGTGTGCCTGTAGTCCCAGCAGCTACTTGGAAGGCTGAGGCGGGAGAATTGCTTGAGCACAGGAGGTTGAGGCTGCAGTGAGCCATGATTGCGCCACTGCACTTCAGCTTGGATGACAGAGCAACTCAAAAAAAAAAAAAAAAAAAAGGAAAGAAAAGAAAGAAAGAAAGAAAGAAGAAAGAAAGAGAGAAAGAAACGCTTTATAAACAGATACCAGTTTAAAAAAAGTTTCAAGAAAGTGAGACAAAAGAACACCCCCTTGAAATCTTAGAGGCGAACTAGGCATCTGTGTGCCTGCCCTCAGCTGGGAAAGCTCTGGAATAGTGGTCTTGGGGCTGCCAGGGCATGGGTTTTTCATCTGGGTCAAATATGCTCCATTCCTTCTTACCCTCCAGCCTCTCCCCTCCAGAGACCTGCTTTGAGTGAAGGATTGTTGCTTTTTACATTTCCTACAGCTCAGTGTTTGGAGCTGATCATTTGTGGAAGGGAGGGAAACCTGTGTGACTGTCGCCTGTGGAGTCTTCGCAGATTTTTCAGTCTCGACTTTCATAAATACTGAAGATGAATTTATTTTCCATATTATTTCCCATGAATTAAGCCGGGAAAGCCCCTTACTACCTGATGTTTACCAGACTGAGTCAAAGAGATTTGCTATGTGGCTTTTGTGAATCTTCCCCAAGAACCCCTCAGAGCGTCGTTTCCACTGAAATCACTAAGGGTGTGTATAATTATTATAAAGGCTTGACAAGGACAAGGTTTTCATGGGCACATTCATACCCAGTAAGGCGGATCCTGCTGCGTCTTTAGCCTTAATGGCTTTATACCAGGCATCTAAATGGCTTTCCCCTTGATTCTTAAAAAGAATATACATTTCAATTAAAAAAAAAAAGTCTTAAGATGGAACCCAAGAATAGCTGTGTCATTCAATAGCTAGATGGCTTTGGCCAAAATAAATGTAATCGAAAGGTGACGATTAAATGTAAACATCCCTCCATCTTCCTTTCTCTTAACACTCCCTTTCTTTCTCTTCTCCCCACAGTTCCCCCACCACAGCAGCGGTCACAGGCACCTGCACGCACATGTGCACTCACACGCACGCACACACATACACGCACGCACACACATGCACGCACTCACATACACGCACACACATGCACGCTCTCAGTGGAAGCGCGCATCTGTTTGCCATCTCACCTTCTGCCTTGGCACGCAAGGTCAGGGAAATCTGCCGAGACTTGCAAGGCCCCGGGGTTCTCTCTGGAGAGCAAGGGAGGCTGGTGGAAATGCCCTTTCCTTTGACATATGCAAATGTTCACCTGTGGAGCCCTGCAGGGCAGGGTGTGACTTCTGGGTTCTTTAATATGCCTGGAGGATGTTTCAATTATTGATCGAAAGAAATTGTGGCTGGTAGGAAGGGCTGGGGAGTCCAGGATTCAGCGTCTCATTTCAGATTTATTTTGGTCAGGTTGATGTTTTCCTTTAATTGGTAACAAATTTTCATTTTATTATTTGAAGCCATTCTTGAGTCCTAATCCATTAAAATTTAATATCAGCAGGAAGTTGGGGTGGTTCCAAGTATTTTTGCCTTTTTCTATTTTCTGGCTGCTTTTGGTGCCAAAGCTTTAGTGTTTTAAATCTTTTAAATCTTGCTAATTCCTCTTGCCACTCTTCAGATGTGAGTGCATGTGTGTGTTTTGACTTTCCTAATCATTAGAAAAGATTCTTCTGCTAGGATGTCTTATCCCTAGATTACTGGCCTTCCCTGTTTGTGCCTTCCTGGCTTCCGTTCCTCTTCCTTCCAGAACTTCCACCTCCATGGCCTGAATAATTTCCATGTTTCCTACCCAGCCGTTCCAGAAGCTCAACTTTGGAATCTGACAGTTCAAGATTTGAACCTAGTTTTGGTGCAGTGTCTCATCCCTATAATCCTAGCACATTGGGAGGCCTGGGTAGGAGGATCACTTGAGCCCAGGAGTTAAAGACCAGCCTGAGTGGCATAGCAAGACCCCTCTCTCTACAAAAAATATAAAAATTACCCAGGTGTTGTGGCATGCACCTGTAGTTCCAATTACTCAGGAGACTGAAGTGGGAGGATCACTTGAGCCCAGGAGGTCGAGGCTGCAGGGAGCTGAGATCATGCCACTGCACTCCTGCCTGGGTGACAGAGCAAGACCCTTTCTCAAAAAACAAAAACAAAAAAACAAGATTTAAACCCCGCCTCTCTACCAAATCTCGGCCTTGTGTAAGTTACCTATCCTTTCTCTCTCCCTCTAATACATATTATATATGTGATATGTGTGTGTGTGTGTGTATATATATATATTATATATGTATGTGTGTGCATATATATATATTTATGTATATATATATTTCTAGCTTCTCTGAAAAATCTCCAAGATCTGGCTTCTGTGACTTTCCTGGGAGGCAACAATCAAGCCAAGCTGAACAGTGCTGTCCCCTTTAGATGACGTGCTCTTTGTCACCACCCTTGACCCATGCCAATATTATTGTTTCCAATTGTTGACTTATCTGAATTGTTCTGATGGCTCTTCGAGTCCAGCTGTTTCCTGACTCCTGTCTGAGCTGCGTGTTTGGGTTCCCGCGTCTAGGATGAATGAGAATGAGCTGGGAGTGGTATGACTGGGGAGGACTATACTTTTTAAGGGTCTGGCGCTTTCATGCTCTGGACCTTTGCCCTTTGCTCACTCTGTACACTCAGACTGGACTGTTCTTCCTCGGTTCTTTACTGGAGAAGTCATTCTTCCTTCAAGGCCCAGGGTAAATGGGGCACATCACACTTTGGGGTTTCTTTCTGCTCTTGCACAGCACTCAGGGAAATCCCTCCTTTGTTTGAGGCCTGTGCCTCTGCTGAGTGCTGATCTCAGTCATTTACACGTCTGCCTTCCCTGGCTTATTGCACTTTTTCTAAGGTAGGGGGTCCCATCTCATTCACCATTAGATTCCTTTTTTGCTTTCCAGCTATCTAGCCTCAAACACACTGGCTGCCATCAAGCTAAGGGCTGGGTAGACATTGGTTGAGTTGAATGGGATTCTTCAGGGAAACTCAGTTATCTATTTTCCCATTACTGACTGAGAAATAACACATAAAGAAGAGCGCTTGTTCCAGGCCCCGGAGCTCCATGAAGAGAGGGGCATGGCAAATCTGACTTCCTGACTCATGGCTTTCCCGATACTTGTCACATCATAGGAGTCCAGTAGACAGTGAATAAAATAAAGAATAAATGAGGTATTTATAACTAAGGTCGAAATCCAAGTCTCTTTATCATCCCCTTCCTAAACAAGTATGATATCCATTACACCAAATTGAATTCTGCGTTGGATGTGAATTGGCTTTCTCAAGGATGTCCTCACTGCTCCCTCGAGCTAATTAGGACATTGCATTCTATACCCAAAGAAAGGTTCTTCTTCCCATCCCTAGGAACTTCTTACAGGATTCAGATACTGCATCTTTCTATGTCTGGCCCATCCCACGCTGAGTGATGGAGAGAAGTGGAAGAATCTGTAGTAACGAAATCAGTAGAATGTCTTTCCCAGGAACTTTGATACAGAACACTGGCTCCCTTTACTTCTTAGACCTTTGTTCAGAGAAATCTTCACATCCATCTTCTCTAATTTGACCTTGCGCTCCAAAAATGAGCACAGCTTTTATTCAAATGCTATTCAGAGGGGAGAAGTTCACACGCTGGCTAGTGTCAGGTACCAAGACCATTTCCACCCGACTTGCTGCACTTCTGTTTTATAATTGGATGGTAGATAAATCTGAAAGAGAAACATTAAAGTTGAAGTGAAGTCTTAGGGAAAAGAATTCTCATTATAACAACTTCCTTAACGTATTCCGACTTGTCCATAATTGATTCAACATCCTAGGTGATGGCGTCTAAAATCGTAAATGAAAATGGAGCTTCTTACTTAGTGTATACAATATGGTGGGTTGGCCCTGCTCAGGGAAGTATTTTTGTTTTTTATTTTATTTTTTTAGAGACGGGTCTTGCTCTGTCGTCCAGGTTGAGTGCAGTGGCGCGATGATAGCTCAGTGCAGCCTTGAACTCCTGGGCTCAAGCAATCCTTCTGCCTTAGCCTTACAAGTACCTAGGACTACAGGCATGCACCACCATACACAGGGAAGTATGTCTAATGTCTTTAGCATCTAAGCTTTTGAAGTTTGTTCCAAGAACATTTTTTTCTTCCTGTTAAGGGTTGCATTGTGTCTCCTTTGCCCCACCTCCCCACCTAATACCCACCAAATTCATATGTTGAAGTCCTAACCCCCAGTGCCTCAGAATGTGACCCTAGCTGGATATAGGGTCATTGAAGATGTAATTAGTTAAGATGAAGTCATACTGAACTAGAGTGGTCCCCTAATCCAATAGACTGATGTCCCTGTAAAAAGGGGAGACTTGGATACAGAGCAGACATACACACGAGAGATGTTAAAAAAATTTATTAGGCTGGGTGTGGTGGCTCATGCCTGGAATCCCAGCACTCTGGGAGGCCGAGGTGGGCGGATCATTTGAGGCCAAGAAGTTCAAGACCAGCCTGGCCACCATGGTGAAATCTGTCTCTACCAAAACTACAAAAATTAGCCAGGTGTGGTGGCGTGCAACTGTGGTGCTGGCTACTCAGGAGGCTGAGGCATGAGAATCGCTGGAACCATGGAGGCAGTGGTTGCAGTGAGCCGAAATCACGCCACTGCACTCCCGCCTGGGCAACAGTACAAGATTCTGTCTCAAAAACAGAAAAATATTATTCAATGACACTTGGTAAGGCATGGTAAGGAAGACTATATTCAGCACCATCGTGATAGGTACAGGGACCACTGCAACCAGGTCGTGCAGTCAGAGAGACTGGGTTCAACTCCGAAAGCAGCAGGGGCAGGTGGGAATTTATAGCCCAGGAGCAGGGTGGCCAGTCAGTGGATGGAAAATTACTAAGAGGAAACATCACGGGTGAGGAGATTCTGGTTAAACTGACCTAATAGGATTCTTGCTCAAAACAGGCCAGGGTGATGGGACACACCTGGGGGTCGGTGGAGAAGGAGGAGCCCAATCAGATATCTACGGTGATCAGATGTTGAGGGGGGTTCTTGCTAAACTAGCTTAGTCGTGTTCATTGCTGAAGCTGAATCTTACACGAAAGTGCACAGACGGGCCTAGGAGAAGGATCAGGGGCCTGTCTAAAGTTTGGCCAAGCAAACTTTGTGTTCGTCAGAGAACACCCCGTGAACAGGAAGGGAGAGATTGGGGCAATGTGTCCCCAAGCCAAGGAACACCAAAGTTAGCCAGCAAACCACCAGAAGCTTGGAGAGGCATGGAGCAGATTCTCCTTCCCAGCCGATGAATGAACCGTGCAGGAGGAATGAACCATGCAGGTACCTTGTTCTTGGACTTCTGGCCTCCAGAACTGCGAAATAATTTGTTGTGTAAGCCAATCAGTTTGTGGTACTTGATTATGCCAGCCCTAGCAAACTAACGCACTACACACTTCCCTTTCATCTCCTTCTTTCCCAAACAGACTAGCTTGCAAAATGGAGGTGCTTATCTGAAGGCCTGGCAGGAGGATTCATGAGGGGAAGAAAGTTCTCGTTTCTTTGTTTCCAGTTTGGCTTCCTCTGCCAGCAGCAGGGCACAGCAGTTAATGGTGGGCACTTGAGCTAGACTTGCATCTTGGCACCATCTAGTTACTTATCTTCCCTGTGCTGCTGTTTCCCTACTGATATGAGCTGGGGAGGCTAATAGTCCTAACTCCATAGGTGTATTGTGTGGCTTAAATGAAATCAATCATGAAGCACTTAGAGGGGGCTCTGCACATAGTAAGTGCTCAATCCATAAATGCTGGCTGCTGTTCTTCTACTACCTGTGTTTTCCTGTGGAATCTCTTTCCATGTTTCTCTCCTAGGCAGGATTCTCTGCTCGATCCTGAGCCCTTCCTTTCGGCCCTTTTTCTGTGTGTATCCTTCACGGGACCCATCTGCGCAGGTGACCTGGGAAAACAGGTGAAATAGTTTTGGTAAGCGTTCTAAAAATCTGGCTGCCTGACTGGCAGCGTCTGCATGCATATTGCCTGGGAGCTCGTTAGAACTAGGGCAGGTACCAGATTCCACCCTGACTCGCTGACTGAGTGGCACTGCTGGTGGGCCCACCAATGTGTGTTTTAAGAGGTCCCTCGGTGATTCTGCTGTGTGCTCAAGTTTGAGAACTGCTGGTATAGGATGACTTTCCTACTTTTCCATACAGCAGCTTCCCCAGACATGCCTTTCTTCTCCTATCCTGCATCCCATTTCCCCAGGGCTGCCCGATATATCTTCTCACAAAATAGGGGTGGGTGACAACATTTATGCTGTTTATGCCCTGGCCTCCCAGGCTCCTGGCTGTCTCTGAATTAACGCTGCTCAATTGAGTCTAAAAGGAGAATGTCTCTCTCGGCAGGGACCTAGAGCCTCCTGAGGATGAGCGTCTCCTGCTTTCTTTCTGATTCTGGATGTAATTATCCCCCCCATATCATTCAGGGACCAAATCTTAATTTCCTCACAAGCTCAGTGTTCAGTATAGGGCCTGTGTCAGGTCTTATTCTGTCGCCCAGGCTAGATAGAGTGCAGTGGTGTGATCTTGGCTCACTGCAGCCTCAAGCTCCCCAGGCTCAGGTGATCCTCCTACCTCAGCCTCCTGAGTAGCTGAGACTACAGACGTGTTCCACCATGACCGGCTAATTTTTGTATTTTTTGTAGAGACAGGGTTTCACCATGTTGCTTAGGCTGGTCTCAGACTTCTGAGCTCAAGTGATCTGCCCACCTTGGCCTACCAAAGTGCTGAAATTACAGGCATGAGCCACCATGTCTGGCCACTCAGTAATGTTTGTTGATACAAAGGAATGGCAATTCATGGATTGCGAACATGTGGCTTAGTGCAAACTCCATCTACTGAGGAAAGTGAGGGCTGGCCATGGTATTTACATCCTTTATGTTCAGTTTGTGTAAAACCAAGGTGAAGAGAGACTCAGCTCATCGCTTTTTTCCTGGTACCACCTCCCTGGTCCTTAGTGTCCTCTCCCTGTGGGGTGTGTGGACCACCTGGGCCCTCACTTGCCTCTTGGCCTGTGATGCATGCCTGCCAGTTTCTTTCACATCATGTCCTGCCCTATTTTCACCTTAAACTTCACGGGTCTTTTCCCGATCTGTGTGCTGGTCCTATCCTGACGCGGGTGGCTGCACTGTCACATCAGGGAGTGCAGCATGAAGAAGAGAGCCTGGGGACCTCAGGGCGAGGTGTGTAGGCTTGTCTCTGCCACTCTCTATTTTTGCCTCCAGTGCCTTGCAGATGAGCCCTATTCATTCCCTACTTTCACATCCCTCCCCTCCCTCCTGTCCTCCATCTTTCGCCAGCTCCCAGCTGGCATCTCACGTGCACACATGCACGCAAGGCTGAAGGCTGTGCTGAGTCTCACAGTGGCTTTTACAAGAACTGCACTAATATTTGAACGCATAGGGCCAGCAGCTTCTTCTCCTGCGAGATTTCCACAACCAGGAGAGATGACTATTTTATAACTCTCTCAGGAGTATTTGCGTGTTAATAGGGAACACTTGATTATTGCTATGGTTTAAGTATTTTTGTTTTTTTTAAATAACAGCTTTATTGTGATATAATTCACATACCATAAAGTTCACTCTTTTAAAGTACACAATTCAGTACATCTTTAAAAAGTATATTCAGGCCGGGCGCGGTGGCTCATGCCTGTAATTCCAGCACTTTGGGAGGCCAAGGTGGGCAGACCACTGAGGTCAGGAATTCAAGACCAGCCCGATCAATGTGGCAAAACCCTGTTTCTACTAAAAATATAAAAAATTAGCCAGGCATGGTGGTGTGTGCCTGTAATTCCAGCTACTTGGGAGGCTGAGGCAGGAGAATTGCTTGAACCTGGGAGGTAGAGGTTGTAGTGAGCTGAGATTGTGCCACTGTACTCCAGCCTGGGTGACAGAGTGAGACTCTGTCTCAAAAAAAAAAGTGTATTCATAGTTTGCAGCTACCACCACTAATTTTAGAACATTTTCATCACCCCCAAAAGAAACTCATTAGCAGTCACTCCCCAGTCCCTCTTCCCCTCATGAGGTCCCTGGCAACACGAGTCTACTTTTTGTCTCTATGGGTTTGCCTATTCTGGACATTTAACATAAATGGAATCGTACAATATGTGACGACTGTTTGGCTTCTTCCACATAGCATGATGTTTTCAAGGGTCATCCATGTTGTAGCATGCATCAGTACTCCACTCCTTTTTACTGCTGAATAATATTCCATTGTATGAGTAGACTGCATTTTATTCATTCATTCATCTGTTGAGGGACATTTGGGTGTATGTATGATTTTATTGGTCTGTTTTTTTGACCCAGCCATTTGTGTGGTTATTTTACGGGGTGGGGGGATTTGAAAATTCTTTATATTCTCTTACATTCTTTGGTGAAGAAATATTTTCTGCCCCCATGATTGACTTACCTTAGAGATTTCCGTTCTCTGAAATTGACCCGGCCATTTAAATAAAATCTAATCTGCAGGGGGAAAAAGAAGCTACCCAGTCAGGCTCCATTCACCTTGAATATATATCTCCTTTTCATGGACCTATGCGTACACAGCAAGCATCAGCTTATTATGTCACATATTTTGTTATTGACTCTGACATTCCCCTTGTGTATTAACCACATCTCTCTCTCTCTTTTTTTTTTTTTGAGATGGAGCTTTACTCTTGTTGCCCAGGCTGGAGTACAATGGCGTGATCTCATCACCGCGACCTCCGCCTCCTAGGTTCAAGCAATTCTCCTGCCTCAGCCTCCCGAGTAGCTGGGATTACAGGCATGCACTACCATGCCCGGCTAATTTTTTATTTTTAGTAGAGACGGGGTCCCTCCATGTTGGTCAGGCTGGTCTCAAACTCCTGACCTCAGGTGATCCACCCGCCTCAGCCTCCCAAAGTGCTGGGATTACAGGTGTGAGCACTGTGCCCAGTCACATCTTTTTTTTCTGTATTTTAACGCTTTGATGTCTGGGCCTTGCTGACCCTCTGGTAGGTTAGCCAGTTCCTAGAAGCAGTAGACAGCTGGCTCTCCAGTGTGCTTTTCAAATGCAAACCAACCAACCCAGAGCCCACGACTCCACCACTTCCTTTGAAGGCTCTCACTCTAGGCTGTGGTCTCACACTCTAGGCTGCGGTCTCACACTGTAGGCTACGGTCTACCTGCCCTAATCATCCTAGAGTCAGGTACCAGACGATGAGGGACAGCCCGTATGTCCCAGAACCCACCCAAATTATTCCAACTCACCAGTCCCAAGACTGTGTTCTCTCCCTTGCCCCCACTTTTCCCTCTCTCACGGCCTCTTAAACCACCCTGGGCTTCCCCGCATGGCCCTTTTATAGTGTAGCTCGCCCCCTCCTCTTGGGGCTGTGAATAACCAACTCTCTTTTCAATGACAACCCTCTCCTGATCTGGTGGCCTTACCACACCCAAACAACAAAAGTTAATAAGACACCTCGCCCTCACACACTGCCAGAGCTTTGATTGCTGGTGTGACGTCACAATTGTACATTCATTCATCCCAACAAATGTTGTGCTGATATCTTTTATTTTTGGGGTTGTGTTTTTCTTTTCCTTTTTAAAAAAGCTCCTAAATTCTATGACTTCAAGGGAGCATCAGAGAAAAGTAATTGTGATTTCTGTACACTTGGTAAAGCAAAAACTAGACTCACACAGCCACCGCCCTGGGACAGCCTCAAGCTGCTCTTCTGTGCCTGCTGCCCTTCAGGGGACCCCACTGGGATACCCACTCCATGGTCAATGGCTGTCCCCAGGCCCCCCCACTCCTCCCCACACACACACACCTGCAGGGCTGGGCTGGGGACCTTAAGGTGTTTTGTCTCCTGCTGCTTGCCAGGTGGTGGAGCACAGAGGCCAGAAGCCCAGTGCCCTGTGCTGATATCTGGAACTTGCCTTACAGTAGCTTATATTTTCCTGAATACTAGGAAACTAACACTTTATTTTTAGCATTGGATATCACTTGTCAAATTGTTTTTCTCACTAGTTTTGTATATGGATTTTATTTTTTACCATCTCCAACTTCTGGTGGGAACTAAGACTTAAAAAAAATCATATGCAAAGCATCTTTTATGAGACTACATCTGTGCCTTCTAAGGAGAGGTGGCAATGGTCTGTATTTTGATTTAACTTGGGAAGGATTGACTGGTGTTCTTGCAAATGCACCTGTCTATAAATGGTCCCAGCTTCTGTACACAGCCGGGAACTCATTCCATTGAGCCGAGTGTTTATAGATAATAGAGCTTTATTGTGGTAAAAGAAGTGAAGAGCTAATATTTTTATCTTATTTGAATAATTGTATCACAGGCTCTAGCACATGTCAAGCTTGGCACCATTAACATTTTGGGTCAGATAATTTTTTATTGGAGTTGGGCGATGGGAAAGCTGTCTTGCGTATGTGGGATTTTTAGCGCATGCCCGGCCTCTGCCTACTAGATGCCAGTGGCACCCCACTCCTCCAGTCCTCCGTTAAAACAAGAATGTCCCTAAACATTGCTAAACTCCCTGGGGGATGAGGGGGAAGTGGTGGTTGTGGTGGCAAAATCTTTCTGGGCAACCAGGATTTCTAGGGTCATAGGAACCTTGCAATCCAGCCACGTCCTGCGTGTGGAAAGCCCCCTACCTGGCAGTCCCTTGGTGGTAGGGGTGAGGCATTAATGAACGGTGTGTGGACACCTCCGCAGGAGCTCTGACTCCCTCTGCCTGGGAGAACTTGTTTCATTGTAACTTTTCTGCAGTTGAGTTGCTAGTACTAGCTGCTGCAGCCCCTAGGATCTCTCTTGCCCCTGTGGTTGGAGTGGCCCCAGAGTTGTGAGCAGGGGAAAGAACTGGATCTAGCCGGCACTGAATGGTACAGGGATTAAAGTGGGAGAGCTCTGCCCTGTGGGATGGAGTCCTGGAGCCAGGTTTCCCCTGTCACCTGGGGATGCGGTTACAAATCTCGGTCCCCCAGCTCTGACCAGGGCTGGATGAGCTGCTAGGCAGGCCTGGCACCTGCTTGAAGCATTAGTAGTGCAGAGGCACATGTGGGCATGCTTATGCACACACGCTAGAAAATGGTCCATTGCGGAAAGACAGCTATTCAAACTCCATATCCACTGTATGCGTATCATGTATTGGATAACTTAGGACATTAGAAAAATCATTTCCTGGCCAGGTGTGGTGGCTCACGCCTGTAATCCCAGCACTTTGGGAGGCTGAGGTGGACAGATCACTTGAGGTCAGGAGTTTGAGATCAGCCTGGGCAACATAGACCACAAATACAAAAAATTACCCAGGCGTGGTGACGCACACCTGTAATCCCAGCTACTCGGGAAGCTGAGGCGTGAGAATCACTTGGGAGCAGAGGTTGCAGTGAGCCGAGATCACACCACTGTACCCCAGCTTGGGCAATAGAGCGAGAGACTGTCTCAAAAATAAAAAATCAAAAATAATTTCCTGGTTTGGTATTGCTTTACATTTTGAATTATATGAGAATACTATAGCATATAGTAGGGCCTCTAGAAAGGTCCACATCTCTGAGGCGGGCCTGGGGTTCTGCATTTTCAGTAACTCCCCAGTTGATTTCTTTCTTTCTTTTTTTTTTTTTTTTGAGACCTATTCTCAACTGTTGCCCAGGCTGGAGTGCAGTGGCACAATCATAGCTCCACTGCAGGCTCACTGCAGGCTCACTGCACCCTCAACCCCCTGGGCTCAAGTCATTCTCCCACCTTAGCCTCTTAAGTAGCTAGGACTACAGGCATGCGCCACCAAGACTGACTAATTTTTTTTTTTAATTTTTAATAGAGATGAGGTTTCGCTATGTTGCCCAGGCTGGTCTTGAACTCCTGGCTTCAAGCAATCCTCCTGCCTCAGCCTCCTGTGTAGCTTGGACTACAGGCTGGTACCACCATGCCTGGCTAATTAAAAAATTTTTTTGTAGAGACAGGGGTCTCACAATGTCACCCAGTTGGTCTTGAACTCCTGGACTCAGACGATGCTTGTACCTCAGTCTCCCAAAGTCCTGGGGTTACAGGCATGAGCTACTGTGCTGGTCACCATGTGATTCCTTTCTTCCCCCCATAAACGAGCTAACAAAGGAACCGGGTGATTCTTATGCATATCAACACTTTGGGCCCATGGCTTCAACTGCAGGAAACTTACAGTGGGGCTTCCCTGAGACTCCCAGGCCCCGCCCCCTGTGTTCTGCCCCAGCTGGGTAGGGTTCTCTGCTGGTGCACACGTGGCTTCCTGGGATTTCACTTCACTGCTCATCTATGTTCCATTTTTTCTGTTCTTGTTTTCTGGAACTTGCATTAGACAGGAGACCTCCTGGACTGATCCCCTAACTCCCCCTCGCCACATTTTCCATATCACCTTCTCTTGGTTTAAGTATTTGTAAGCATGTTTGTTAAAAATGTTTATTTTGAACTTTTCTAGTACAAATATATTACATCCTTATTACAGAAAATTTGGAAAACACAAAAAAGGAAAAGTCAGGCAAAACAAAGCCCAGGACCTCACTACCCAAGACTGCCACAGTGTCTTCTCATGTGTCTCTTTCATTCTAGTCTATTTCCTTTCCTTTTTAAATTTTTTTTTTTTTTAAATCAAAGACCTACATGCACATGGCTGAAAAATCAATGAATACCAAAAGGCTTATAAAGACAAACATGATGCTGAGTGCAGTGGCTCATGCCTGTAATCTCAGCACTTTGGGAGGCTGAGGGGGTGGATCGCCTGAGGTCAGGAGTTCGAGACCAGCCTGGCCAACATGGTAAAACCCCGTCTCTACTAAAAATACAAAAATTAGCCAGTGTGGTGGTGTATGCCTGTAATCCCAGCTACTCAGGAGGCTGAGGCAGGAGAATCGCTTGAACCCGGGAGGCGGAGTTTGCAGTGAGCCAAGATCATGCCATTGCACTCTAGCCTGGGCGACAAGAGCAAGACTTCATCTCAAATAAATAAATAAAAACATTAATCCCCTTTCCCATTTCTCTCTATTCTTCATTCTGCTTCCCAGAAGGCCCCTGTCTAGTGTTGTGGGAAGTCAGGGACCCCAAACGGAGGGACCAGCTGAAGCCATGGCAGAAGAACGTGGATTGTGAAGATTTCATGGACATTTATTAGTTCCCCAAATTAATACTTTTATAATTTCTTATGCCTGTCTTTACTGCAATCTCTGAACATAAATTGTGAAGACTTCATGGACACTTATCACTTCACCAATCAATAACCTTGTGATTTCCTGTGCCTGTCTTTACTTTACTCTCTTCATCCTGTCAGTTGAGGAGGATGTATGTCGCCTCAGGACCCTGTGATAATTGCATTAACTGCACAAATTGTAGAGCATGTGTGTTTGAACAATATGAAATCTGGGCACCTTGAAAAAAGAGCAGGATAACAGCAATGTTCAGGGAACAAGAGAGATAACCTTAAACTCTGACCACAGGTGAGCCGGGCGGAACAGAGCCGTATTTCTCTTCTTTCAAAAGCAAATGGGAGAAATATTGCTGAATTCTTTTTCTCAGAAAAGAACATCCCTGGGAAAGAGAATACGTGCCTGGGGGTGGGTTTATAGACAGCCCCCTTGGGTGTGGCCGTCTTCTATGGTCGAAACTGTAGGGGTGAAATAGACCCCAGTCTCCCATAGCACTCCCAGGCTTATTAGGAAGAGGAAATTCCCTGCCTAATAAATTTTGGTCAGACTGGTTGCTCTCAAAACCCTGTCTCCTGATAAGATGTTATCAATGACAATGGTGCCAGAAACTTCATTAGCAATTTTAATTTTGCCCTGGTCCTGTGGTCCTGTGATCTCGCCCTGCCTCCATTTGCCTTGTGATATTCTATTACCCTGTGAAGCACGTGATCTCTGTGACCCACACCTATTCGTACACTCCCTCCCCTTTTGAAAGTCCCTAATAAAAACTTGCTGGTTTTGCAGCTTGTGGGGCATCACGGAACCTACCAACATGTGATGTCTCCCCTGGACGCCCAGCTTTAAAATTTCTCTCTTTTGTACTCTGTCCATTTATTTCTCAAACTGGCCGACGCTTAGGGAAAATAGAAAAGAACCTATGTGACTATCAGGGCAGGTTCCCCGATAGTCTAGGATGCTGTGGTTCTTTCTTCTGTATGTTGTCCATATTTCTAAATAATAAGCTTATATTATTATGTTCTTAGTTATCCATCTCGGGTGCAATCTTTTGGTTTCCTGTGGTACTTGAGGGCTCACCTCCCTCATACCACTCCCTTGTCCTCTCTGCCCTTCTCTCCCCACTGCATCCTTCCAACATGGTGATATCACAGCTGGGGGTTAAAGGATACTCAGGCCTCACTGTTGCCTGGCCAAATTGTACAATATTTTACTTTTCCTGCAGGCAATAATTATATCTTTTTTTTTAACTTTTGTAGTTTTCTATGGATCTACCACTACACAAGGATTTTTTGGTTCCTAAATACTTCAACAGATCTTTCCAACAAAATATCCTGTAATGGTTTTTCCAAATGCTCAGATCACACCGCCTCAGTCCCATGCTTCCCAGATGCCCAGGCCCCAACCCCTGTGTTCTGCTCCAGCTGGGCGGGGTTCTCTGCTGGTGCACATGTGGCTTCCTGGGATTTCACTTCATTGTTCATCTATGTTCCATTTTTCTCTGTTCTTGTTTTCTGGAACTTGCATTAGACAGGAGACCTCCTGGACTGATCCCCTAACTCCCCCTCCCCACATTTTCCATCTCACCTTCTCTTGGTACAACTTTCTGGAAGATTTTTTTTTTTATTAACATTTCTTCCTTGAGATATAATCCGGAAGATTTTGTCAGCCTTATCTGATAAGCATTCTATTGAATTTTTAAATTTCAGCTGCCACATTTTTACTTTGTAAGAGTTCTTTCTTTTACCCTGTTTGTTCTTATCTGAACTGCTCCCTCAGTGGCTTCCCACATCTGTCTCTCTATATAAACACACACACACATGTGTGTGTGTATATACATATATACATATA
This sequence comes from Homo sapiens, assembly GCF_000001405.40. Taxonomy (NCBI): domain Eukaryota; kingdom Metazoa; phylum Chordata; class Mammalia; order Primates; family Hominidae; genus Homo; species Homo sapiens. The sequence continues at coordinate 205,952,048 of NC_000002.12, read as the reverse complement.
TATGTGTGCATATATATGTTAATACCTTGTAGAAGTTTTAATCTGTTCCATCCATTGATTGTGTTTCTCCCTGTTCTTTTTTTTCTGATTGCTTTATTCATTTACTTATCAATCAAATATTTATTGAGTTCCTTTTATGTGCCAGGTATTGTTCTAGTTGTTGAGGATATAATAGTAAGATAAGGTTCTCTGTCTTTATGAAGGTTATAGTCTAGCTAGGGAAAATAATAAACAAATGAATTATATTATGGCTATGAATAAAAATTAGGCAGGCGAAAGTGTTTTTTTTTTTTTTTTTTTTGACCACTGTCAGGAAAGAAGGTGTTGTTTTCAATAAAGTGTTCAGAGAAGATGTCTCTGTCTGAGGCTTCTTTACTCTCATGTCTGCCACCTGGGCTGGGAGGACTCATGTGGCTTGGGCTTCCTCACAGCATGGCAGCTGGGATCTAAGAGGGAATGTTCTGAGAGCAAGGTTTCCACAGAACTAACTACAAGGCCTCTATGGGTTATAGAAGAGTCACTAAGGCTAACCCAGATTTAAGGGGAGGGGAATCAGACTGTCCTTTTTGATGGAAGAGTGGCAAAGTCACATTGCAGAAGAATGTAGGTGGGAGGAAGTATCTCAGATGTCTTTGAAAAATACAATGTGCCCCACATTGTAACACCCTCTATTCTGTTCAGCTGGTTGCTATTTCTCCACCCACTTTGTCTTCAAACATTTCTTGAAGTTCAATATCTCTGGGTGCTGCTTTTTTTGTTGTCCTTATGAGTGAATAGCCTTTTATTATCCGTTCACTGCCTAGTTGGGTTTGAAAAGAGGAAGGGGATAGATGCGTGTCACCAGTTGGCTATTTTTGAGTAGTAGTCCAGATGATCTACAGTGCAAGGTTGTTGAAAATTGGTATAAGAAAACGATGGCAGAGCTTAGGAATGGCTGAAGTAAAATATTTTCTCTTTTTACCTTTTTTCTGCTCTTGATTTATTTTGGAAGAAATAAAAGCACATGGAGGTTAGATAACTTTCCAAAACATCGCTCAGCTAGCTGCAGAGCTGAGACTGCATTTGCATTTCAACTTGTGTTTTACAAATTCTTTGGGATATACTGAAAGAAATCCAACAGAGCCCTATGTGATGGCTCAAGCCTGTAATCCCAGCTACTCGGGAGGCTGAGGGGAAATGATTGCTTGAGCCCAGGAGTTCAAGACCAGCTTGAATAACATAGGGAGACCCCATCTCTAAAAACAAAACAGAAAAGAAAACAATCCAACAAACAACAATTTAAAAAACAACTACCTAAAAAACAACAACCTATTCAGAGGTCAAAGGAATTTGGGAAGCTAAGTTAAGCAAAGTTAAACAACTTACTTTTTTTTTTTTTTGAGATGAGGTCTCACTCTGTTGCCCCGGCTAGAGTGTGGTGGCACAATCTTGGATCACTGCAATGTCTGCCTCCTGGATTCAAGCAATCCTCCCACCTCAGCCTCCTGAGTAGCTGGGACTAGAGGCACATGCCACCTCGCCTGGCTAATTTTTGTATTTTTAGTAGAGATGGGGTTTCACCATATTGCCCAGGCTAGTCTCAAACTCTGGGGCTCAAGTGATCCACCTGCCTCAGACTCCCAAAGTGCTGGGATTACAGGTGTGAGCCACCGCACCCAGCCAACAACTCTTTCTTTCCTTTTCCCTCCCTCCCTTCCTTCCTTTGTTTTTATTTCATAATTGTAAACTGAACTCTGCAATCCAGCTAGGCATGGAAGGGAATAAGGAAAACATAGACCCAAAGGGAACTGCAGCGAGAACACAAAGATTCTAGGATACTGCAAGTAAATGGGGTGGAGGGTGCTCTCCTGAGCTACAGAAGGAATGGTCTGGTAGTTTAGATAAAACAGAAGTCATACTTAGAGTTGTCCACAGTCAGCAGTGGTGATCTTCTTGCTGGTCCCGCCGTTCCTGGACCCAAAGCGCTCCATGGCCTCCACAATATCCATGTCTTCTTTCACCTTGCCAAAGACCACATGCTTGCCATCCAACCACTCATTCTTTTTTTTTTTTTTTTTTTTTTTTGAGAAAGAGCCTATCTCTGTCACCAGGCTGGAGTGCAGTGGTGTGATCTCACTTCACTGCAACCTCTGCCTCCCGGGCTCCCTCGCTGGGCTTCCCCTGCAGAGTCACGACTGCTCCCTGGGCCAGGCTTCCCTGGGGGCCCTCCGAGCTCAGCCAGCCAGGCTCTCAGGCCCGACACCTGCCTCGGCCAGGCCCCAACCCCAGGGGCAGGCGGCCCCTCCTGGCTTCTCCTGTAGGGTACCTTCTTATCCCCCATCCCCCCAGGAAATGGCGCTCCCTCAGCCATGTGGCACTTCTGGGCTCCTGACCTAGGCCATGGGGAGGTCTGGGGATTCTCCTGCCTCAGCCTCCCGAGTAGCTGGGACTACAGGCATGCGTCACCATGCCCGGCTAATTTTTCGTATTTTTAGTAGAGACGGGGTTTCGCCATGTTGGCCAGGCTGGTCTTGAACTCGTGATCTCAGGATCCTCCCGCCTTGGGCTCCCAAAGTGCTGGGATTATAGGCGTGAGCCACCGTGCCGGGCCACATACAACCATTCAGTCTTGGCAGTGTAGATGATAAATGGAACCATTTTTGTTGGGTCCAGCATTTGCCATGGACAGGATGCCAGGAACTCTATGCCTCAGGATGAAGTTTTCCTCATCAAATTTCTCCCCATAGATGGACTTGCCACCAGTGCCATTATGGCTTGTGAAGTTACCACCCTGACACATAAACCCTGGAATAATTCAGTGAGAAAAGGAACCCTTACAACCAAATCCTTTCTCTCCAGTGCTCAGGAGTGAAAGTTTTCTGCCGTCTTTGGAATCTTGTCTGCAAACAGCTCGAAGGGGATGTGGCCCAAGGGCTTGCCGTTGACAATGATGTTGAAACACACGATGGGGTTGATCATGGCTGGTAGTATGGGGCTCCTGGTGGCGGCAGCAGTGTCTGCAAAGCACAACTTTTTTTTACTCAGACTTTTTGGAGGCCTTTTTTTTTTGAGATAGGGTCTTGCTTAGTTGCTCAGGCTGGAGTGCAAGGGCAGCGTGACCATGGCTCATTGCAGCTTCAACCTCCTAGGCACAAGTGATTCTCCCACCTCAGCCTCTTGAGTCGCTGGGACTACAAGCATGTGCCAGCTAATTTTTGTATTTTTTGTAGAGACGGGCGTCTGTCTGTGTTACCCAGGCTGGTCTCAAACTCCTGGACTCAAGTGATCCACCTGCTTTGGACTCCCAAAGTGCTGGGATTACAGGTGTGCATGGCCTTCTGAGGCTTCAGTGTGCTAGGAAAGCAGGGTTTGAGTTTCCAAGCTCACGTGACTGCTTTTGCGGGGTGTCTCATTTAGACTACAAGTGGCTCTCAGAGTGTCCCGGTCACACTTCCCTTTCCCATCTTGTAATTATATCACCAACAGAGATCTGCATAGCATGGATAGATGGTCAGTGCTTTCATAGGATCAAAAGAGTCTGCATACTTAGTAACTGATGTTTTCATGTACCCCTGTTTAGTAAACAGATGGGCTCATTTAGGCAAGCAATTTAAGAGCTTTTCATTCATGCCTGGAGGGCCAAAGAAAGGAGGTTCTTCAACATTGGATTTGTTTTTTTCAGCATTCTAACATCCACTGCTTATTGGTAGCCGACTTGAGAAAGTTTCGCTATTGATGACTACAGTTTAGGAAACATCTATTTTCAATCTTTTGCGCCTTCAGGGCCATTTCACTTTTGGCCACCAGATGGCAGAGCACGGTCGTGCTTCGTGCTTGGGTTTTCTCTGTGGTGGGTTTATGTTGCGCGCTGACACAGGAGTAGCCGAAGCCTTGAGCCTCTGAGCAACAGCTGTGTTCTTGGAACACGTAGGACATTGGATTCTATCTTGTTTTAATGATTCCTGGACTTATTTCTTACTATGTCAGTTCTTAGGACAGTATAACTGAGCCAGAAACAGGACTTTTATAAAAAGTGCTTCATTTTTCCTGAATGAGTTGTCGGCTCCTGCTACTGACTTGCTGACATTTGCTGTTTGGAGGTCAGTTTTCTGATTGCATAACAAGTAAATTTTTTTTTTTTTTTAGTTGGAAAGAGTAAGTGAAGAAATTTGTCAGATTTTATGTTTGGGTACAGGGTCTCATTCTGTTGCCCAGGCAGTGGCGTGATCATAGCTCATTGTAATCTCAACCTCCTGTTCTCAAACATGATCCTCCCAAGTAGCTGGGACTGCAGACGTGCACCACCACTGCTGGCTAATTTTTGAAAAATTAAAACTCCTTCCATTCAGATTGCTCGCTTTGACACTGTGCAAAGCCCTAAAGGGCCTGACAACACCTCTATGTTTTAAATTCGGATCTCAAGAACAAGGATGTGATTAAAGATCTGTATGGATGCGGGATGATTTCTGCTTTTCTAGTCCAAGGCAAGATCCTCTTTTGCGAAGGAGGTGAGGATGAAGATACAAGTAAGATTCAGGAGAGATAGGGCCCCGAGGGAAGGAAGAGGGGCCAGGACAGCAAACAGTAATCTCCCCTGGGTGGTTTGGCTGGGGAACTTCTTATTATGGACCTACGAGGAGGCACGCAGTTCTGAAGAGGCCTGACCCCCACCCCCCCAAGCTTTTTTTTGAGGTAGGGTTGCACTCTGTCACCCAGGCTGGAGTGCAGTGGCATGAACATGGCTCAACCCAGCCTCAACCTTCTGGGCTCAGGTGATCCTCCCACCTCAGCCTCCTGAGTAGCTGGGACCACAGACGTGAACCACCACGCCCAGCTAATTTTTCTATTTTTTTGTAGAGATAGGGTTTTGCCATGTTGCCAAGGCTGGTCTGGAACTCCTGGGCTTAAGCAATCCTCCCACTCCAGCCTCCCAAAGTGCTGGGATTACAGGCGTGAGCCACTGTGCCTGGCCTCTAAAACCCTTTGAAATGAAGAAAATTTAAATAGTAGTATGTTTGCAGCTGGTTTGGCAGACATTCTCCTCAAACTGGTTCTTGAGGATTGGAAATGGGAAGACAAATGAAGGAAGAACAGATCTTCATTTCTTCTCACCATCCTTCTATCCCTGTGCCCAGCACTGAGATTTGGGTGAAGACTGTCCTCTTTTTCTCTCTACCCACATGTGGAAATTCTAGCACACTGCGGTTCATTAGGTGCTCTGTGATAGCGGCTGGAAGGTGAGATGAGTGCTTGTTCACCACCTCCTGCCATGTCCTCTCTTAACATCTAAAGAACAGCCCGTGGGGAGGAATCGGCATGTAAGAAGTCCTGGCTTGGGCTCCAGCAGGCATGCCACTGAGCATGTTATTCTAGGAAAGAACAGGGCGGCCAGGGCTGTCCATGGTGTGATGGTCTGTGTCAGTGTGGTTTGAGTCTGGGGCATGTTCCCAGCATCTGCCCCTTCCAGCTCCCAGAAGTGGCCCTTCCCTGCCAGGATGGTGCTCGGAGGGGCCGCTGCCACCTCCTGCACCAAACCTGCCCTCAGCTTGTCTTTAGCTTCCCCATCTCACTGGGAGGGCCCCGGAGTTCACTGTATTGTCTGCCCTTGAGTCTTCAAGTTTCCATCCCCCTGGGGGCAACGAAGAAGCCACATCCTGTAACTTAGGGGCTGTGCCTGTGTTCTCACTGGGAACACAGCCATCCCCACTGCAGTCAGGGGCCAAGGGCGCATGAGAGCATCTTGTTTAGTATGAGCCCTGGGGTGAGATGTTGGAAGGATGGACGAGATGCCCTTTCCCAAGGTCTTTTCCTTTCCTATCATTCTAAATTTCCGCTGTGTTTTGAGACCCTTGAATTGTAGAGGCCACAAAAGTGAAAAACATGACAATTATTTATTGTCACTATTGCCATCTGTCTGATTCTCTGCTGGCACCCAAGGCCGCTCATCAATCTCTATGAACATCAAACAGATTACCACTGTTTAAGACAAAAGAAACGCTTTCATGAAAGATTATAAAAAGATGCAACTGGTGGGAGCCACCTCACTGGGACCCCACACCCTCAAGGGGACTGGCATAAAGCAAGCTGTCCCCAAAAGCACATCGGGGTGAGTGTTGAGCTCGAACATGGCTCCCGGGAAAGATGGGGTTTTTCTTTTCCCCGGCGTTTGTCTTTGTGTAGACATACCCACTTTGCTTCCTGACACCTTGTCTGGTCCTGCAAGATACCTTGGTTATACTTCTCCCAACATCAGAGAATTTTTAAAAGCTTAGTTGAAAGAATCATAATAAAAATCTATAAGCGCTGGGCTTTTATGTATTTCACTTTTATTGAATTCCTTCTAGTATAAAAGTAGCCTATTTTGTAGTATTCAGTGTAACGCCTATCTGCAGATAGAATACACTGAGTGGGGGCTGAGAGGCAGAGGCTGGTAGGAAGAGAATGGGCCAAGCTGGTTGGGGGTGGTGGCATCATCACATTCCAAGTCAAGGCCACTCCCAAATCTCTCATTTCCTTCTTTGCTTCCTTTTTGTGTTTATGTTTGTCTTTCTTTTTTTTTTTTTTTCCTTTAGAGACAGAGTCTCGCTCTGTCACCCAGGCTGGAGTGCAGTGGCACGATCTCGGCTCACTGCAATCTCCACTTCCCAGGTTCAAGCAATTCTCCTGCCTCAGCCTCCCAAGTAGCTGGGACTATAGGCACACGCCACCACGCCCATCTAATTTTTGTGTTTTTAGTAGAGATGGGGTTTCACCATATTGGTCAGGCTGGTCTTGAACTCTTGACCTTGTGATCTGCCCGCCTTGGCCACCCAAAGTGCTGGGATTACAGGCATGAGCCACCATGCCTGGCCGCGTTTATGTTTTTCTATAGGTTGGGTGATTTTCTAATCTAGCTGAAGGATGTCTCCTACATTTCATTTTTTTTTTTTTTGGCGTCACCTTGGGTTAATGATCAAGTAAATGACAAGAAAAGAGCACAGAACTAACAGCATCAAAACAGCTTTGTTTGGTGCTTTTGGATAAAACCCTCATTTCTTCCTAGTTTTATTCAGAAATCCAGGTGTGGAATCAAATTGTGCATGCATGTCAGCTCATAGCCTATTTTCAGTGTAACTTCCTGTGCTGTCTCAACGGGAAGAGATTTCACAGTAGTTGCTTCATCTCCCAGTCCAGCTTCCTCGTGTCTCTCAAATTCCTCTTCTCCAGCACTTTATCTACTATTGGTATAGCTGTGTTACCTTGGGTGCTGGGAGGTGCTTCACCGTGTCACTCAGGGTGAGTGACAAGCGTGGCAGCCTTGGCTGTGGGTGTCTGTGAGTCACTCTGCAGGCTGGATGTAGAGTGCGACATCCACTCCCTCACATCCACTCCCGCCAGGCCAGGCATGGGCCTCATCCTGCCACAGAGGGCAGGAGCATGTGATGAGGCTGGGGATGGGCGGGTCACCCTGCCCCACCTTCAGGACCAGGACCCACAGGACACCTAAGCACCCAGCGCTGAGTCTGCTGACCATATTTTCTCTTCTTTCCCATGGCTGGGCTTCTGCCTGAGAGTTCTCCCCAGCTTGCATGTCTGCATTTGGGGAACCCGCTCTCCTAGAATGTGACGTGCAGTCACGAAAGCTGGTGGGTAGACAGGGGCTAGCCCAGCACCTGGCAGAGGGGAAGAATGCAGCACAAAAATGCCAGCCCATGATTTCTGGCCCTAACAGCCTGCCCTCTGTGGTGTTTGTGTGTGTGTGTGTGTGTGTGTGTGTGGTGTTTTTTTTGTTTGTTTTGTTTTGAGACAGAGTCTCACTCTGTCGCCCAGGTTGGAATGCAGTGGCGTGATCTCAGCTCACTGCAGCCTCCGCCTCCCAGGTTCAAGCGATTCTCCTGCCTCAGCCTCCTGAGCAGTTGGGACTACAGGCATGCATCACCATGCCTGGCTAATTTTTGTATTTTTAGTAGAGACATGGTTTCATCATGTTGGCCAGGCTGGTCTTGAACTCCTGGCCTCAAGTGATCCACCTGCCTCGGCCTCCCAAAGTGCTGGGATTACAGGTTTGAGCCACCATGCCTGGCCGACCAGAACTGTTTTACAGATGGAGAAATGGAGATAGGGTATTTCTTGAGGTCCTAGGGTTTGCCAATCGTTAACGCAGGGCCTAGGCTTGCCTTAGGCTCACACTTGTGGGGACTCGGGATGGTGCCATGAAGTACATCTTTCCCAGCAACAAAACTGCATATGCTTGGCTATTCTCGGGCAAGGGTTTGTTTGCCCTTTGCCACCCAGGGCCACTTCTGGGCTGACTCTGAGCTCCTCTTGCAGAAACGGCTGGCTGGTTTTGACAACTGGTATCTGCTGCCTGCTTTTACCTGTCACTGGTAAGGTGAGCCCAGATGTCGAGGGATGGGATTGCAAAGCTGAGCTCAAAGGCATCAATGTGCTCACCTTTGCAGGGTTGGATGCCGTTTTTCACTCCCAGAATGACGTGTGTCAAGTGTGTCAAACCGTCTCTCTGGGACCTCTCTAAATTTGTTATTTTGGTACAACCTGAAAAAGTACGTTTCTTCTGCATTACTTCATTATCATTTAGGAAATTGCCTGTTCTCAATTATCCTGACAACTCAGGAGCTCATAGTCCTAGATTTTCTGTTTAAATCTCCATCTAGGGTTTTGAAAACATTTTAAATTCTTCAGGATGTCTGTACAATTGCCCTTTGTCTTTTTCTTTCCCTGCACCTTGTAACTTTTCAGGATGTGGTGTTATCTTTCTCATGAGAACTGGAATTTACTGCAAAGAGGCTCTGTTGGTTACTTCATTTTGCCTAAGCCTAAGCCCCAGCCCTCTTCAGAGGAAAAGACTATACAGTGAATGGTGGAAAGGAAAGGGAAAACCCAGGGAGCATTACTTTCTGGCTAGCTCTTTTTATTTTTATTTTTTTGAGACAGAGTCTCACTCTGTCACCCAGGCTGGAGTGCAGTGGTGCGATCTCAGCTCCCTGCAACTTCCGCCTCCTGGGTTCAAGTGATTCTCCTGCCTCAGCCTCCTGAGTAGCTGGAATTACAGAGGTGCGCCACCACGCCCAACTAATTTTTGTGTTTTTAGTAGAGACGGGGTTTCACCATGTTGGCCAGGCTGGTCTTGAACTCCTGGCCTTAAGTGATCCACCTGCCTCGGCCTCTCAAAGTGCTGGGATTACAGGCATGAGCCACTGTGTTTGGCCCTGGGTAGCTCTTTTTTTAAAAGTCTTGATTTGACTTGATTGAACACTATAGATTTAAAATCTCCCTCCTCCCAAATGTGTCAAAAATATTGCTTAAAATACTATTTAACTAGGGTTAAAAAACTCTTTTTTTTTGGAGACGGAGTATTGCTCTTTAGCCCAGGCTGGAGTGCAGTGGCATGATCTCGGCTTGCTGCAACCTCCGCTTCCCAGGTCCTGGGTTCAAGCAATTCTCCTGCCTCAGCCTCCTGAGTAGCTGGGATTACAGGTGTGCGCCACCATGCCCAGCTAATTTTTGTATTTTTAGTAGAGACAGAGTTTCACTATTGTTGGCTAGTCTGGTCTTGAACTCCTGACCTTGTGATCCACCCACCGTGGCCTCCCAAAGTGCTGAGATTACAGGTGTGAGCCACAGTGCCCAGTCAAAACTTTGAAACTATTTCATCAGTAGGATGAAATGATACATTAAATATTATATTGAGACAGTCATCACAGAATCTGGCAAGAGTATTAGATTTTCCAGTGCTCCTCAGAGAGCTGCTACAGAGAGGTGGTGTCATCTGAGCACTATCTGGGCTGGCATGGATGAGTAGGATGGCTCCAGTTCTTCACTCATACTTGCGTCGCACGTGTGATGCGTGACTTTATAGCCCTCCCATCTGATTCTGAGCTCAGACGTATGAACTGGCTTTGGCCAATAAGATGTTAACAAATGGGACACACCCAGCTACTTGAAAAGGACTTTCTCTCTTGCTCCTCTGCCACCACCATGAGAAGAACAAGGCTAGGCCAGAGGAGAGAGGTGTGGGCCACAGAGCTAAGCTGCCCCAGCTGAGCCAGTCCAGATGAGCTCGGCCCTGGTTGGACCCCAAATGCATAAGGGAGTCCAGATGAGATCAGTGAACCTTATAGGTATGGGAGAAATGAATGTTAGCCTAGGCAATGTAGTGAGACCTTATTTCTACAAAAAATTTAAAAAATTAGCCAAGCCTGGTGGCATGAACCTGTAATTCCAGCTGCTTGGGAGGCTGAGGTGGGAGGATTCTTTGAGCCCGGGGAGGCAGGGTTTGCAGTGAGCCAAGGTTGTACCACTGTCCTCCAGCCTGGGTGACAGAGTGAGACCCTGTCTCAAAAAAAAAAAAAAAAAAAAAAGTTTGCTATTATTTGGCACTGAGGCTTTGTGACTGGTTATTTTATGGCACATGATTGTGTTATGGACTAAATGCTGTATCCCTCCCAAAATTCATATGGTGAAGTCTGTACTAGTTCATTTTCACAGTGCTGATAAGGACATACCTGACACTAGGGAATTTATAAAAGAAGTTTAATGGACTCATAGTTCCACGTGGTTGGGGAGGCCCCACAATCATGGTGGAAGGTGAAAGGCACATCTCACATGGCGGCAGACAAGAGAAGAGAGCTTGTGCAGAAAAACTCCCCATTATAAAACCATCGGATCTCGTGAGAATTATTCACTGTCATGAGAACAGCACAGGAAAGACCTGCCCCCATGATTCAATTACCTCCCATTGGGTCCCTTCCACAACATGTGGGAATTCAAGATGAGATTTGGTTGGGGATATAGCCAAACCATATGAAAGTCCTAACCCCTAATGTGATGGTATTTGGAGATGGGGCCTTTGGGGACAATTAGGGTTAGAAGAGGTCAGGAGGGGAGTGCCCCCTGGTCTGAGGGGATTAGTGTCTTTTTAAGAAGAGACACCAGAGAGCTCAGTCTCTCTTACTTGCATTCTCTAACATCAGTAGGGGCCATGTGAGGACACAGGGAGAAGGAAGCGCTGTCTGCAAGCCAGGAAGAGGGTCTGCACCAGAAACTGACCATGCTCACCTTGGATGTGCAGACTCCAGAAGTGTGAAAAATACATGTCTATTGTTTTTTGCCCCCTAGCCTGTGGTGTTTTGTGACGGCAGCTGAGCAGACCAACACAGGTGGCAACAGCAAGCTCACACGGTGGCAGAGGGAAGACTGGGTCCTGGGCAACTTCCTGGAGTCTGAAGCTCTTTCCATACTTAGTTAGGCACACCCTCGAACCTTGTTCTAAATGCATGTGTGAGTGTCAGAAACCACTCTCTTCCCTTTTCCTTCCAATTTCTGTGATATAACTTATTAATAAATTGTTTTAGGCAGATAGAGAGGAAAAGGGGTCCTTGGGAAGTTTTCTTTTTTCTCTTTTCTTTTTTTTTTTTGAGACGGAGTCTCACTCTGTCGCCCAGGCTGGAGTGCAGTGCCGCAATCTTGGCTCACTGCAAGCTCCTCCTCCCGGGTTCACGCCATTCTCCTGCCTCAGCCTCCCGAGTAGCTGGGACTACAGGCGCCCGCCGCGACGCCCGGCTAATTTTTTGTATTTTTAGTAGAGACGGGGTTTCACCGTGTTAGCCAGGATGGTCTCGATCTCCTGACCTCGTGATCTGCCCGCCTCGGCCTCCCAAAGTGCTGGGATTACAGGCGTGAGCCACCGCACCCGGCCAAAGTTTTCATTATTTAAAGCATCTCTGGAAAAGTTTCCTGTAAAGCCCCAGCTCTTAGAGCTATGCAAGCGCCGGCCATTAGAAACTGGGTCCGCCCAACATGGCGATTCCCACCCTCTTCTTTTTGCCATTGCCCCACATGTGCCTGGCAACATGGCCATATCCCCACGTGTGTAGAACATCATAGTGCCCTGCATTTGCATATTAAAAGGCTAGGGTGGGAGGGCCAGCTTTTTCATGGGCTACGTGAATGACATGCCTAGTCAAACCAATCCCCTGAGACACTGCTTCCTCCAGCCTCTGTATATATACCTGGTTGGTATAGGTGGAAGGTGGGGTTCCCTCTCTTGGCTTTGGGCCCCCACCCCTCGTCTCTGTACGGGGAGCTGCTTCCTTCTGCCTTCTCTGTTCTTTCTTGTGTATTAAACTCTCTGCTCCTTAAAGCTGTTACCAGGGGGTCCTTGCTCCCAGAGCTCCCAAGACGGCGGTGGGCGCTTCCAAGATGGTGGCAAGCCTTATGTTCTCTGATCCGGGGTTCTTGGCCTCACGGATGCCAAGGAATGGAATCTTGGTCCATGCGATGAGTGTTACAGCTCTATTAGAAGCCGTGGGTCATGGAAGAGAACCATGGAACCCAGTGACTAGTGTTCAGCTCGATTAGGATGAACCCAGGCACTTAGCCGTGCAGGAACAATGGCAAGCCTTTAGCGCGATCGGGAGCGGCAATGGGCGCCTCGCTGGATCAGGAGAACAGCGGACACCCTGCTGGATCCGGAGGGATGGAAGTCAGCGGGGTTCTGCGGTGGTGGCAAATAGCAGTGGTGGACGGTGAGCCAAAGCTCAGCTCTAGCTGTAGCAAACACGGACCAGAAGAGAGTGCAGTTGCAAGATTTAATAGAGTGAAAACAGAGCTCCCATACAAAGGGAGGGGACCCAAAGAGGGTAGCCGTTGCTGGCTCGAATGCCTGAGTTTATATCCTGATCATTCTCCCTCCCGCTGTGCTCTCAGGTGATGGATGATTGGCTATTTCTTTACCTCCTGTTTTTGCCTAATTAGCATTTTAGTGAGCTGTCTTTACTATCTGATTGGCTGGGTGTGAGCTAAGTTGCAAGCCCCGTGTTTAAAGGTGGAAGCCGTCACCTTCACAGCTAGGCTTAGGGATTCTTAGTCGGCCTAGGAAATCCAGCTAGTCCTGTCTCTCAAAACCACTCCACGTGTGTCTGTGTCATTTTATCTAATTCGACTGGAGACTAAGAACCTGGTGTTCCTCCACTCATTGGAGCTGCGTCAGTTCTTCATTTGGTGCCCTCTCCTTGCCCACGGGCTCCAGGCTGAGGCTGGGCTCTCAGACACCGACCTGCCATCTGTATGCTGGGCCCGCGCTCTCTGCACAGACGGAGGCCAGGCTTCCGACCTTCTGATCATCTCCTCATTGCCAAGCATAACAAACCCTCCCAGGCTGCCGCACTTCTCCTTTTCAACTCCGAACTGTCTTTTCTTTCCTTTGTCCATTTCAAATGACAACCTGATAGAAAAAGGAAGAGTTGGAGATGTAGTCAGGGTACTTTCTGATTTCATTCTCTAATAAGTAGATATAATTTTTTGGGTAATTCCTACTTAAATAGAACTAAAACTGATGTTGGAGAATGGAAATAATTTGATAGAAACAGGTAAAAATGGTCAGAACAAAGGCCTCCCTGAGTAGCTAATTTTAAGCTTTGGGCATCACATTATAATTAGTGTTTACTTAGGGTTCATAAAAAGGAAAGAGAGGATTTGATCCCTGTCTGAGTTCCAATAAAGAGGTCCCCTCTATAGCCAAGAAGTGTATTAACCCTAGTTAGAACCCATGTGAAAAAATTGAATTCCATATTGTACTATTAAGATTGTACATATTGTCAGGCCTCTGAGCCCAAGCTAAGCCATCATATCCCCTGTGACCTGCACGTACACATCCAGATGGCCTGAAGCAACTGAAGCTCCACAAAAGAAGTGAAAATAGCCTTAACTGATGACATTCCACCATTGTGATTTGTTTCTGCCCCACCCTAACTGATCAATGTACTTTGTGATCTCCCCCACCCTTAAGAAGGTTCTTTATAATCTCCCCCACCCTTAAGAAGGTTCTTTGCAATTCTCCCCACCCTTGAGAATGTACTTTGTGAGATCCACCCCCTGCCCACAAAACATTGCTCCTAACTCCACCGCCTATCCCAAAACCTATAAGAACTAATGATAATCCCACCACCCTTTGCTGACTCTCTTTTCGGACTCAGCCTGCCTGCACCCAGGTGAAATAAACAGCCTTGTTGCTCACACAAAGCCTGTTTGGTGGTCTCTTCACACGGATGCACGTGGCACATATAAAGGTTTACAATTAGGAAACTGTATAATCATATTTGTTTCATTATCTAATATTTATTAAATGATATATATTTTAAACATTAAAATGTAGTAAGTGGAATTAAAGAGTAAAGGAACTTAATCTTATGCCCAGGGACTTAAGGGCCACTTGAGGTTTTGCTTCTGAGGGTGCAGCTGGGAGGTGAGGATGGTCAATGTGAGATACCAGAAAAGAAAAGTGGAAGATCAAAAGCTTGTTAGTGTTATTTGTTGAAGGTATTTATCCCACTCTCTCCCCAAAAGGATTTAAGACTGCTTATTTAGTATTCTCTTTGGAGTTGGCATAAAAAATGGTGACCAAGAAGCAGCAAATTGTTGGAAATAAAGGTGAGGGTTGGAAGCCATGTTGGTGGGGCAGGGCAGATTTGGTACTTCTGGATGACCTTGAAAACCATTCTGTGCTATTCAGACTCTCAGATGAAAGAGCTTTCATCCACCCCATTCCTTTAATCCCCTTCACCGCCCATCATGAAGGGGTGGAATCTTCCCTGGGACAGGGTGAGGAGGGGTTTCCTAGAAGCATCAGAATAATGTCAACAGAAAACTCTTTCATGCATTCAGTCCACTTGAGTAAGAACTGCTGGGCCCCACCATTGATGAACCTGACCTTAGACACAGTGATAGGGCAACAGCTGTTCAAGCAGGAGTATCTAAGCCTGTCCATGAAATTTGTGTATCTCTTCAAACATGAGAAATAATACAATGATTTAGTCACACAGGGAATCCATTAGGCTTGGCAATTTGATTTCAACTTTCTTAAGATCTTTTCTTGAGGAGTTGGGGGCAGGGATGTCTTTATAGTTAGCATAATAGATCTGATTAGATTCCCCAGGCATTCCTGGCTTGTTCTTTGGGCGATTTTAAGAATATGATTTTTTTTTTTTTAACGTCAGTCTTGTCTGAAAAGAAAATAGGTTATGAGCTCCGATCACTTACCCTTTCAGATTAACATTGAAATGCTAGAGGTTGGAGTTCTGTCAAATGGGGCAGCAGAAAATATGGTTATCTCCAAACAGGGGAAGTGCAGATTAACAAATTTCATATCCAATAATATTTATTGAGTGTTTGCTTTGTTAAACTGAAAATTCTCCATTCTGAGTCAGTGAGTGTTCAAAGCTTCACAGAATAAATCTGTATTAAATGAAAAATAAATCAGTTGTCACGGTCGTATAGCCCAGAAAATTTACAGCTGAAGTAAGACAGAGAAAAGTGACCCCCGCCTTCCTCTTTCCCTCCGGCCCCCAGCATCCCTTCACACCGATCGGCAAGTGGCCTGGGCACACACAAGTCAGCTCAGGATTATTTCGGCTCTTGTGAAAAAGGCAGGAATGAGCTCACCATTAACTTTGTTTCATTGTATCAGCAGCAGTTCCGATGCAGAGCGTTAGAACTGGAAGCTCTGTGACTTCATCCAGCCATTGCCTGGGCTAGCTGTGCTGCCTTTCTTTCGAAAATCTTTTAGTAACACAAGAAAATCAGATGATTGTATTTATTTTTCAGGTGATTTAATTAATTCCATTTAAAGCTTAAAAGAAGAGGTCTTGGAGAATTTTTGGCAGCGCTACTCTCATCCACATTTCAAAGGGAAAAAAAAGATTATTTCCTATTCTAGAGTTTAGGCTTGGGGGGGGCCTTTTATTTTAACAGCCAAAACATTGTCTTACTGAAGAATGAAAGAATTTTGCTACCACCAGTCACAAGATGTGGGGAGTAAGACACCAGCTTAGGGACTGGACACTCTACCTGTGACCAGGAGTGATCCCACAGGCAAATTCACTTTTCTCCCATCTTCCCAACTAGAGCTTTTGGGGTTTGGCTCTCTGAGGTTCCTTCTAGCTTTACTGTTATATAGTGGCCCTGTGTCTGCATTCAGTAGCTGAACTAGCAATTAATTCTAGAAGGAAGTTGGAGACAGTGCAAGCTCTTTTTTTTTTTTTTTTTTTTTTTTTTTTTGAGACAGAGTCTTACTCTGTCACCCAGACTGGAGTGCAGTGGTGTGATATCTTGGCTCACTGCAACCTCTGCCTCCCGGGTTCAAGCAATTCTCCTGCTTCAGCTTCCCAAGTGGCTGGGATTATAGGTGTGTGCCACCACACCCAGCTAATTTTTGTATTTTTAGTAGAGAGGATGGGGTTTTGCCATGTTGGCTAGGCTGGTCTCGAACTCCTGGCCTCAAGCTATCCACCCGCCGTGGCCTCCCAAAGTGCTGGGATTACAGGCATGAGCCACCTCTCCCAGCCACCAGTGCAAGCTTCTGATGGGGAACTGAGTTCTGCATAAGCCTCAGTGCCCCAGGTGCTTTCCTCCCTGGGTGCAGGTGCCCTCCTAGGGGTGTATCTAGAAGAATGTTCCAACCTCATAGGACCTGAGGGCTTTGTCTAGGAGACAATGCTTCCCTTTTGAGACTCGTGAGTCCCTCAAAACTTCACTAATTTGAAGTAATGGTGTAATCTTTGGACTAGAAAAATTGGGCCTAAGAATGTTAATGCTCATCCTGTCTTCATGGCTGTGTGTTTTAAAACCAAATCAATAGTGGAACAAGAATTTTCAAGCCCAGTGGGGGGGTTTTGGGAAAAAAACAAATTTCTTTTTTTTTTTCCGCTTTATTTGCCACAGTGAGATAGCCTAACTGCTAGTAACATACTCATCCAAAGAAAGGCCTTAAGCTCTAAACCTCACCTCTGGTAGAGACAGAGCTCATCAAATTCCTGTTTGGCATTAGCATATACAGTACAGTGGAAGTGCTCTTATTTTTACTTTTTTATTTTTGGAGATTGAGTTTCGCTCTTGTCGCCCAGGCTAGAGTACAATGGCACAACTTTGGCTCACCGCAGCCTCCACCTCCTGGGTTCCAGCGATTCTCCTGCCTCAGCCTCCTGAGTAGCTGGGACTACAGGCGCCCGCCACCATGCCTGGCTAATTTTTGTATTTTTAGTGGAGACACTATTTCACCACATTGGCCAGGCTGGTCTCGAACTCCTGACCTCAGGTGATCTGCCCACCTCGGCCTCCTAAAGTGCTGGGATTACAGACGTGAACCACTGTGCCTGGCTTCTTTTTTTTTTTTTATAGATAAGAGTGACTAGCAGTTAGTTAATCAAAAAAGCTGATTGCAGTATGGAAAACATAAAAAAGATTACATACATGCCATAAACATTTGTGGTAACTTAAACTATATATCAATTTCATGGATGCTAAGACACACTTAAAAAAAAATATATATATATATATATATAAACATCTCTGAAATTGACATTGTTTTGTAATCACAGACAAATTCAAGATGTGGTTGTCATTGCCAGCCTTCGACCTGTTAGTTAGCTCTTCCTGGTGGCACAACTGGTCAACTGCAACTCCTCAATGTTTTAGCCTCCAACCATTAAAGGACTCTTTGAGGAAGGAATATGAGTCCTGACTGTTGTTGGAAAACATTCCCTTGACACCTTCCAGCAAGATCAAGAACATGACAGCATTAAAACATGCTGAATGGGTTTCCAAGGGGCTACAGAGAATTCTTAGAAACAATTGTGGAGTGCTCTTTGAAGAAATGCTGCATTGCTATCACCCTCGATGGCTCAGGGGAGGATATCAAGTTGAAAGGCCTCTGTGACTCCAGAAGGAAAATGATGTATGGTAGGGTTGGGGAGAATTTTTCCTCCCTCTATGAATTTTCCCTCCCCTGCTGAAATGAGCTGATGATAGATTAACAGGAGGAAAGGTATCCAAATTTATTCACATGTGTAGGAATGGGAATCATAAAAACTAGGAGACTCAAAGAAAGGCCAAACAGCTGAAGCCTAAATAGCACCCTCTTCATAGAGGAGTGGGAGATAGGGTAATGGAGGCGATTTTGACTGGTAATAAATGATCTTCAGCTCCCAGACAGTGGCCTGAGACAAAATTCTTCTGAGCTCTGGGGGAGGTGGTGACAAATTATGGGAAGGTGAGGGGCAACACTTCACTGTTAACAAAGGTTGTCTTGTTATGGAGAGAGTTTCACAGGTAATATCTGGGAGCTGCCCTCAGAAGAATAGAGGAAAAGTCTATCTGGGCCTGGCGATGACTTTTAGTCTTTTCTCTTCTCTGCTGTTTCCTGGTTATTTGATGAGATTCCTAGGAACAGGTTTTAAGACAATTGCATTTCTTCTGAAAGAAGTTTCCTCAGTCAGATAAGGACATTCCAGAGAGAGCCCCTCCTTATGCTAGGGAAGAGGGGTGTGGCAAGAAACAAGAGAAGTTTAGAAAGTGTGTAACATATATGTATGTATGTATATATATGTTACATACTGATTTATCACAAAAATCTATATTTTCTTTGTCTAAAACAATTCTTCCGAGAAGTATAAAATAAAAATTTTAAGTGATAAGAAATCTTTGATTATCATTTTGGCTGCAGTTATTCCTTCTTGGTGGCATGCATAAAATAATGTACATTTTAAAATCAATGGTTTCTCAGATTTGATGAAATACGGTAAGCATTTTTTTCTCCAATCTTTTGATGCAGGAGCAATTTTCTTTGAACACTGGTTGGCATTCCCCTTTGTCTTTCTTGCTTCTTCTATAATTTGCACGTGCAATTTCTTTAAAGTGAAGTAAGAACTTAAAGATGGCAAACAAGAGCAGATTTCAGAAATACTTGGGAGGTAAGATTGGCAGACTTATCTATTAATTGGATGTGTCAGGTGAAAGAGGGAAGGAAATATGGATGGCTCCCAGGCTTCCGATCACAAGGGTTGGCAAACTATAAACCCAGGGCCAACTCTGGGTAACTAACTTATCTTAGTCCATTCAGGCTGCTGTAAAAAAAGACCACAGACTGGGTGGTTTATAAACAACAGAACTTTATTTCTCATAGTTCTGGATGCTGGGAAGTCTGAGATGAAGACACCCATAGATTTGGTTCCTGGTAAAGGCCTGCTTCCTGTTTCATAGACTGTGCGTTCTTGCTGTGTCCTCATATGATAGAAGGGATGAGGGATCTCTTTTAATAGGGACACTAATCCAACCCTCATGACCCAATCACCCCCCAAAGGCCCTACCTCCTAACACCTTCACCTTGGGGGTTAGGATTTCAACATAGGAATTTTGGGAGGACATAAACATTCAGCCCATCTCACACCTGCTTTTGTAAATGAAATTTTATTGGATCACTACTACACCATTCGTTTATGTATTGTCTATCATTGCTTTCACACTACTGTTAGCAGAAAGGGGTCCCAATCCAAACCCCAAGAGAGGGTTTTTGGATCTTGCCCAAGAAAGAATTCAAGGTGAGTCCACAGAGTAAAGTGAAAGCAAGTTTATTAGAGAAGTAAAGAAACTAAAGATTTGCTCATGCCTGTAATCCCAGCACTTTGGGAAGCTGAGGCGGGTGGATCACTTGAGCTCAGGAGTTCGAGACCAGCCTAAGCAACAAGGGGAAACTCTGTCTCTACTAAGAACACAAAACTTAGCCGGGCATGGTGGCAAACACCCGTAGTCCCAGCTACTCCGGGAGGCTGAGGCAGGAGGATTGCTTGAGCCTGGGAGGTGGAGGTTGCAGCACATCACTGTCACTGCACTCTAGCCTGGGAGTCAGAGTAAGACCCTGTCTCAAAAAAAAAAACAAAAACAAAAACCCAAAATAAAAATAAAAACCCACGAAACAAAAGAATGACTACTGCATAGACAGAGCAGCTTCAAGAGCTGCTGGTTGGCTATTTTTATGGTTATTTCTTGATTATATGCTACACAAGGAATGGATTATTCATGAGTTTTCCACAAAAGGGCAAGCAATTCCCAGAACCACGGGTTCCTCCCCTTTTTAGAGTATATAGGGACATTGCCATGACATTTGTAAACTGTCATGGCGCTGGTGGGAGTATCTTTTAGCATGCTAATGTTATTATAATTAACATATAATGAGCAGTGAGGATGACCAGAGATCACTCTCATCACCATCTTAGTTTTGGTGGGATTTGGCCAGCATCTTTACTGCACCCTGTTTTATCAGTAAGGCCTTTATGACCCATACCTTGTGGAGTTGCTCTGGTTTGAACGCCTCTGACACTGAGGCAGGAGAATAGGGTCTGGAGGCAGGGAACCTAAGGCCAATTCACGCTGACTTCCTAGAAGTAAATCAAAAGGAAAACCCCAATTTTCCACACCCAAGTAACAAAAGGACCAGCGGCTACTCCCTTCGCAACCACTCCCCTACCCCCGCCCCCACCTTTTTCTGTGTGGCAGATGAGAAATTGAAGGTACCTCTGATTGGTCCCCTCCTGCAACCAGTAAGGCTGGTTGCGGGCCAAGTCTTCATTTGCATAGGAGTATAACTTTGTAACTTCACTTCAGCCTCTGATTGGTCACTTTCTGCAACCAATCATACATTTGCATAAGGGGTAACTTTATAACTTTGCTTCAGTCTCTGATTGGTTCCTTCCTGCAACCAATCAGACTGATCATAGGCCACTACTTCATTTACATACTTGTACACCAAGTAACCAATGGAAAACCTCTAGAGGGTATTTAAACCCTAGAAAATTCTGTAACTGGGCCCTTGAGCCACTTGCTTCTGCCTGCTCCCACCCTGTGGAGTGTACTTTCATTTTCAAGAAATCTCTGCTTTTGTTGCTTCATTGTTTCCTTGCTTTGTGGGTTTTGTCCAACTCTTTGTTCAAGATGCCAAGAACCTGGAGACCCTCCACCAGTAACAACACTACAACAGCACAGATGAGTAGCTGTGACAGAGGCCCCAAAGCCCAAAATATTTATTTTCTGGCCCTTTACAGGAAAAGTTGGCCAACTCGGACTAGCGGAATGCTGGCATTCCCGAATTAGTATAATGCATATGAGAGGAAGAGCAATTTACAGGGAAAGATGAGTTTGTTACATTGAGCTTCTCTTATGCATCTGTCTACAGATGAGCAATGTATTTAACGAGAAATCTCACATTCATTAAAACGAAGAACTGAACCAAAGGCAAAGATGTTTATAAGGGTTCTGGAAAGAGTGCTAACACAGAGACAGATACCTTTGACGCTGGCTCTGAACTTGTAGCATGGGAGAGAGAAAACCTCATATTCAAAGGGTTTCATTTCTAGCTCCCGATGAGGCATAAAATGTACCAAAAACATAAACAGAGTACTTCCTCCAGGAGGCCTGAAGACAGAATGGAGACATATTCCTGCACATGTGGAAACTGAGAACTCAGCTTATTACCAGCAGCTATTTAGGGCGATTCTGTGCCAATGATATGCTTAGCAGAGCTCTCCAATTAAACATTATCTTGATGAATGTGCTCTAATCAACACCCAGAAAATTACGTCTGAAAGTTGGTTTTATATATACTTTATCCTCTGAAGGTGAAGTCAGAAGCTGTTATTTTAGTTGGTTTTACTGGGAACCTGAAAGAAAGTAGAGCTGACAAAATAATGTGAAAAAATGATTTGTAAGAAGCAAGACAATCAGTTTAAAGGACTCCTTTGCCTTCCGGTCCCTCTAAGTTAGGATGTAGGAGTGGATTTTATGCATAACAAAAGGTCAGTCATTTCTGGGCTCCAGAAGGATTAGAGGATTGTCTGATGACATCAGCCTCTTTCCTTCCTGCTGACCATGGCCTTATTACTACAGAAAACGGGAAGGACTGGGGGAAGAGCAGATGGATTTGGGGGATGGGGTTGTGGGGAGTCAGAAACACTGAGGTTTAATCTCAGTTTGGAAATCGCATGGATGTCCGGGGAGGAGAGGCCAGTTGGAAAACTAAAACTGGCAATTGAAATTCATTGGGCAACTTGAGTGAGTTCTGATCAGAGTAGAATTACCTGCGTTGTGAAAAATCAAAGAATGCCAGGAAAAAAGAAAGCACAGATGAGATAAATAAATCAGCATTAGCCCTCTTCTGGGAAGACTTGCTAGGGTATTAATAACCTGCTTGAGCTTTTGATTTTTGTGACTGTCTCCAAAATGAACGATCTGTTCACTGTGGGATGAGGATGTGCCAAATCGAGTTCACCAATTCACCCCAGATAAGTGGCTCTGTCTACACCTCAAGGCTCTCAAGTCTGGGTGTACCTTTCAATTCCTTGAACTTTCTGCAGTTTTGGGATAAAGGAGGTGACTGCAGTGCCTCCTGGGAGTACAAGGAGGATCTTCCACAGCTATCAACTGCTATCAACTGTGTCAACAGGGCATTTATTTCTCAAGGCTGGGTCTCGAAGAGAGCTGTAAATATTTGAAACGGGAAGGCGATAGGAAAAAAATGAAGCATTTAAACCAGCCATCTTTGTTAGACTAACAGGCGGCTGTGATTGCCTCTTCAAGGTGACCTTTGGACACAGGTTTATGGAAGTGTGGAGAAATTCCCGGGCGCCTGGCAGTGCCAGTTCCTGTGTGTGCATGGCTTGTTGGCGGCAATTACTGAGCGCGGGAAAGGGATTGCATTATTAATATATGAATTATTAATTATTATAATTGCATTTGTCATTTATTGAGCACCAGCCATGCACTAGAAGCTGAGCAGACCTTAAGAGTCCCTGCCCAGTGGGGGGTGACTGAGGTAATTACATTTGAAATAGCTGCAGTCACAGGCTCACTGTACAACTGGTGGCATATACTAAGTGCATGGTATAGCTCCTGTTCTTTTACTCTGTCTAGAGCCATATATCCTCATATGCTTTTTCTAATTTGTTTGTGTAAAGATGGGGGACAAGCTATTTGTCAAGATGAAAAATGCTGCATCAAGTTATTTTAATTAGTATTTATTATATCTTCCTACTGGCAATAAGAGACCAAATGAGAAAATGCTTCCACGACAAAACACATGCAATCCTTTTTTTTCTGGCCAGCCACCTCTTGAATGAGGGCTGAGGGGTCAGAAGGGGAATCCACACAAGGGTGGGGGGACAAACCCTGCTCTGTCGGGAAACCACCTCTGGGCTCACCTAAGTCATGGGTATCCTATTTGCCTGGCACAGGCAGCACATCCTAAGAGTTAATGTTAATATTTAACTGTTAATGCGTAGAGTCCAAGGCTAGGCACGGTGGCTCACGCCTGTAATCCCAGCACTTTGGGAAGCCAGGGTGGGCAGATCACTTTAGTCCTGGAGTTCAAGACCAGCCTGGGCAACATAGTGAGACCCTGTCTGTGAAAATAAAAAATATATAAATTAAAAAATCAAAACAACAAAATACGTAGAGTCCTACATGTTAAGACTGAAAACAATTTTAGAAATCACCTTGCTCAACCATCTCATTTTGCAGATTTGGAAACAGGCTCAAAATGTCACACAATCTGCCTGAGGTTATGCATTCAAAGCTGAGCTCGGGCTACAACTGGAGCAGGTCAATCCATTGGTCAGGACCTCACTGCTCGACAATGGTGTTTACTCTCTTTAGAGAAGGAGCTAGTATAGAATTGGATTCATGAATTGGAGAGGAGAAGAATCAAGTTCAAGTCATGTGGGTCACTTGTAAGAGTTTTCCATGCAGACACTGTGGGTGGTTCTTTTCCCTGTTTGCTCTTTGTTCGTCTGAGAAAAAGGTGCCATCAGTCATATCATTCATTACATACAATGATTCTCCAGTCTTCAGATGCAGTAATATCATTCATTACACACAATGAATCTCTTCAGATTCTTCCTGAGGGGTTCCTACCTTCCTATCCTAGGTTCAGTCTAGGGAAGGGGTTGTGAGGGTCTGAAAGTCACTGCCCCACCCGAGTCTCATCTATCCATCAAGAAGAGCAGGTTTCCCACCCATCGTATCAGGAAGATGGTCAGGGGCCATTGTTGTCAGGGCTCCAGAGTGTGACTTCATCACCTGCCACTTTGGCAGTGTTTCCAAAAGGTTCAGAGAAGCACAGGGGGACTGAGCCGCATCTTGGTCTGAACCTCTGTACATCATTTGGGGCTTCCCAATCGCATAACACTGCCAGCTTGAGACCTCACAGGATACATCTGTCTTTTTGTCCAGGCATGGTGGAGATGGTCGTCTGTGCGCTTTACCTCCTCACCTTCCTGATGAGGCCAGGCTGTCCTTATAGTGATTTGGAAGAAGGACTGCAAAACAACCATCTCTAGCTGAGGGCTTTTCTTTTCCTGAAATTTTCGCAACATAGATGCTGTATGTTCCTATTAGTCTTAATAAGCACTCTGCTGGGGATGGTGGACAGCCTCTTGGGTGAACATTTGCTTATTGCCTCTTCCTAAAGGGCCGTAGTGGGGCATATTAATAAAACATATGCCGCCTTCAGTAAATGGGATCTTTATTTACAATGGGAATTAAAACATGGGGATATTACCTATAGCAGGCCTTCACCATTTGTTTCTATGCATTTCTGAGAACACTCCACATATGTTTCTAGATTCTTCATCTTCCAGGTGAAGAAAAGTCATGAAATCTCTGCATTAAACTGCTCATGTAACCTGGAAATGATTATGTTGGAGTTTCAGATCCAAATCCAAGCCTCCAGTTTCTTTGCACTTCAGTACTATTTTTTCTTTTCTCCTAGCTAGACTTGAAAATATTAGCTTGCTGGACCACCAGATATGTCTGCCATTTTGAATGTCTACTTCTTTATTCATATTGTAACCAATGCCAGCTAAGACTGTCCTTACACAGTTGTATAAATGACCACATTCCCATCTACTTTGTAAATGCTTTGGCATTCAGAATGCATATGCATTTTATTGTATTTCCCTGTATTACGGCTTTTCCACTGGGAGATTAAGAGGCTAATTCAGAGACATGTGATTACAGGAAGATGTGTGAGGAAGGCAACAGGGATCCTATTCTATAAGGTCCGCTGGGCCCAAACAAGGAATCCATATGTTTCCATTTCCCTAATAGGCAGAGAAAATAAAAAACAAAGAGGCCTAGAGACACGCACCTGCACAAGCAACCGAGCAGAAGTAACCTATAAACACATGAAAAGCAGCTCTCCAACAATTCCATCTGCATTTTATTGAAAGAAATCTTTGAAAAGGAGAGAGAGAAGGTACAATTTACAAGAACCATGGTATAAATCCTGCCACAGTGCCAATTGCTAAAAGCACTGGAGCCTGGGAAGGAGGGAGAAATCCATTCATTCATTGCCCCCAGAAAATAGGCATCCAGGCTGTGGCATACCTCATGCACCCCGTGGGATTTACACCTCTGACTGGCTGATTGCATGAATCACCTTGGATTGATTGCTTCTATATAGAATGTTTCTTTATAGTGTATATGCCTTCTCATCGCAGCTCAGCTCAATTCCATTCTGCTGAGCCTCTTCGGGACACTTTCCATGAGAGATGCAGGAGAAGGTAATGTTGTGTTTGTTGGTTTCTCTGGTACATTTCAGGACTGATTTACTCTTATGCCGGGTGCAGAGCGAAATTCCATCATTCCCACATCAGGTGAATCCTAAATCAAGCAGCCCCATCCCCATTTCTACAAAGGACCATGCACTTTTCTCTTTCTGTATTGTTATTACCCTTTAAAAACTCCCTCATGGACATGCATATGTCTTTTCCCTTTCCTTTCCTCTCGCTTCTCCCTTTTTTCATGGGAAAATAATTTTGTCCATCGGATATATCACTCAGCATGTCTGGTATTAATGCTTAAGGCGGCTGCTTTCAAGGTTGATGTTTGCTTCTCTTTAAGTTTTTTATTAGCTCTCCCTGAGACACTGGGTTTCTCTTCCAGGGCTGTCCATCTGTCTCAGCCTTTTAAGGGTTTTGGTCACTCTTGTAGTTGTTATTTTTCCCCGCTGTTGTCCTCATTCCCGGTGCTCAGGCCACAGAAGATCTCTTTGGAAAACCTTTCAGATCATCGGAACTGGCCACACTAGACTGAAGATTTGAGAGACGCACAACTTGAGAATGTTCCAGGGTCTCTCGGACAGAAGCACCACGGAGCAAACACCGGGAGCCCAGCTCCTGTCGCTGGCAGCGCTCCTTGGCGTGTGTTCATGTTGCTGGCGGGCACTAGGTGGCGCTCCAGGCTCGCTCACGGGAGGGAGGATGCCCGGCTGTCTCGAGAAGCGGCCCCGGACCGGGAGGGACCCTGCCCGACCCCTCCACCCACGCGGGAAGTCGCGTAGCCCACACAGCCCTCTGGGTGTCTCTCGGGCTACCGTGTTTCCACCCTTCTCTCAGACTCTCACCCCTGTAGACCTGTCAGGGATGAGCCTCCAGGATTGTGGAGGGCATGGGCTGGGGCTGGCCTGAAGGATTTAAACAAATGTTGGTCTTCCCCCAAGGCCTGAAATCTCTTCAGTTCATTTCTTAACATTAGTGTGGAATACTCTATCCCGGTTACTTATTTTTACCACGAAGAGGAGGTTTCTATGAAAGAAAGAAAGAAAGGGAAGGAAGGGAAGGAAGGAAGGGAAGGAAGGGACTTACTTAAGAGCCCGTGGGAGGCAGCTATGGGAAGATGACGTGAGCCTGTTTTCTAAAGTAAGAGAGTGTGCAGGTTGCTTAATCTCCTTGGCTCTCTGGACCTCAGCTTTTCTCTGTAAAATGGGAACGATAACGCTGCTGTGAAGATCAAATCAGACTCAATGTCCTTGAGGTCTCTCTCTCTTTTCAACAGGGTCTTACATTCTGCCGCCCAGGCTGGAGTGCAGTGGTGTGATCACGGCTCACTGCAGCCTTGACCTCCTGGGCTCCAGCGATCGTCCCACCTCAGCCTCCCAAGTGGCCTACCAACTAGCAAATTTTTGTATTTTTGGTAGAGATGGGGTTTCATCATGTTGCACAGGCTGATCTCAAACTCCTGGGCTCAAGCGATCCGTTCGCCTCGGGCTCCCAAAGTGCTAGGATTACAGGCGTGAGCCACCGCGCCCGGCCCCCTTTGTTTTCATGCCATCAGTCTCTCCTGGTTTTTATTCTCTTTCTCAGGCTTTTAAAACGTCTCCTTTGTGGATTTTTTTTCCCTTTCTACTTTTTCTTAAACGTGGGTGTTTCCTGGGTTTTAGCCATACCAATTTATTCTTTTGCTGTGGTGCTTGTTTTAAATAACCCCGTGTGCTTTCTCTGGAGAACATTGACTACCAGGTGTCAGCTTCCCCTGCTGGTTCCTAGATCCCGGCCCACTTCCCGCCTCTGTCCAGGGCTCTGGATCCAGAGGTCAGCCGCCCACGGCGCCATTCCACAGAGTCCTCCCGGGAGTATTTCAAGCTCAGCATGCTCTGACCTGAGTTGGTGCAGTTTTCTTCTCCATTGCCCTGCTCCTGAATTTCCTACCTCACCCATGATACCATTTGCTACCAGGCTTCCAAGGCAGACCCAGGGCGCCACCCTTGCCTCCTTCTCCTCCTTTATTCCTCACAGCCAGTAGGGAATACAGTCAATACAGAGCTTTCCATCTGTACCCCTTCCCCACCTCCCCACAGCCCCCCAGGTGGGCACCCCCCACCTGCTTTCCTTGCCTCCAGGCTCCTCCCTCTGCCATCCTTCCATCCCGTCCCCAAATGCAGTCAGAAAGAACTTGCTAAATCAGCTGGGTGTGGTGGCATGCACCTGTAATCCCAGCTACTCGGGAGGCTGGGGCAGGAGAATCACTTGAGCTGGGAGGCAGAAGTTGCAGTGAGAAGAGATCACACCACTGCACTCCAGTCTGGGTGACAGAGCAAGACTCAATCTAAAAAAAAAAAAAAAGAACTTGCTAAATGTGGATGTGATGGTGTCACTCCTCTGCTTCTCATCCTGTTGTGATTTTTGTGAAGAAAACCAATCACAAGTCTTATAAGCTCTAACCCCTGTGGCTGTCATCCCGCTCCCCCAGGCCCAGGAGCTCGCTCTCTTCTCCTAGAATCACAACTGGGCCCCCAAGAATCTTCCTCAGCTGACCTCTCTCCCTGCCTGGGTGTGGAGTGGGGCTCTTCTGTCGTTGTGTCCATCACGCTGCATTGTAACTTTCCTAGCCGTGGCCTCGCTGTGTTTTCCCTGTTCTTCCTCCCAGCATGGGGGCTCCATAGGGCAGAGCTCCGAGGTCTTCCTGGCACACAGTACATGCTCAGGGGTGTCAGCTGGAGGCACACTGAGTGACTGAGGGCACTGGACTCTGCCCACTAGCTTCACTGGGTTCAGTGAGAATGGAAGCGTGTTGTCGGGTGGAATATCTGATGTGGGGAAGAGAAAGGTGAGTTAGACGCAGAACCTGCCCTCAGTGAAGACACATCCTGAAAACTGCATTGATGCAGCTTCATTCAGGTTTTCAGATCCCACCGAAGAGCCATGCCACATTATCCACCTCCCTATCCACTTCTGCACAAGTCTTTCCCATGGCTGGAAGCTATTGAGGGGCCCTTCCGTTTCTTCGGGCTCAGCCTTGGGTCTGGAAGGACTCAAGCACTGCCCGTAGGCACACAGACTCAGGGTTTGCAGGCCGAGTGAATGGGCCTTCCAGACTCTGGAAGGCATCTCTGGCTGTGAAGAACTTCCTCTCACCCCGCTCCCTAGATGCTTAAAGTCTCGATCACATTCCATTAGAGCTGTTTGGAGTTGATTTTCTGGCAATGTCTCCCAAGTGGCAGGGTATCATCTATAGCTCATGACTTTTTTTATGCTCAGGTTCATTTAATCATAGCCAAGGGTCTCCTAGTTCATCAGGATCAATATCCTGACAGGATGCAATCCATCAGCTTGGGCAGCATGCCAAGGGGTGGGCTCTGAGCATCCTGGTGCCTAGGGTGGTCCTGGCTGTGCCAGGCAGAAGCCCGTGTGGCCTCCCTATGCCTCAGTCAGCAGGGCCCGCCATGCTGGTGAGGAGCCAGACATGCCTTAAAGTGGTGCCCGGTCCCCAAGGCCCATGGGACCTTGGATGCCTTCCATGGTGTACCTGCTGGGTGAGATGTGTCCCTTCCAGGATGCTGTGTATGGAATCAGAGATGTGAGGCTTGAAGAGCTCAGCACCCTTGGGTCATCTCGCCTTCCCTCCCACCAGGCAGAGCATTCCCCAGAGTGTCTTTCCATCTTTCCTCAGCTCTGTCCAGCACAGTTATAGGAGTCTCATGTGACTGAGTTTCAGCCACTTTCCTTGAGGGAAAAATTCCACACTCATACACAGTTGGTGGTCTCAGAAAACGTGCAGCATCATATGATGGATGATGTGGGGGCAGAGAGCATTCCCTGGTTGAGTACTTTGCTGTTCAAAAGAAAAAAAAAGACCTTAACTGTCTCTCTCTCTTTTCATTTTTTTTTTCTGTTTAAAAATTAAACAGGTTATGGCCAGGTGCAGTGGCTCATGCCCGTAATCCCAGCACTTTGGGAGGCTGAGGTGGGCAGATCACCTGAGGTCAGGAGTTCAAGATCAGCCTGGCCAACATGGTGAAACCCTCTCTCTACCAAAAAATAGAAAAATTAGCAGAGCATGGTGGCACACACCTGTAGTCCCAGCTACTAGGGAGGTTGAGGTGGGAGAATTGCTTGAACCTGGGAGGTAGAGGTTGCAGTGAGCCAAGATCACACCACTGCACTCCAGCCTCACTCAACAGAGTGAGGCCCTGTCTCAAAAACCTCACAAGTTAAATTGCCTGAACAAGTGCTGGTTCATGTCTAAATATCATAGCCTTTAGAGTCCCTCTCTGGCCTTGATTCTCCTCCACACTTAGGTCTTCTGCAATTTCAAGTCCTTTTCTTAGAGTGCCTTCCTGAATCCTTTACATGCTGGATTTTTGTGAGTGTAGCAAAAGCAAACTCTTAGGGGTGTTCCTTTTTATCTTCAGCCCAGTTGATCTAAATGTATGGTTACTTGAAATTGGGCTGACCTGGGTTGGAATCCTAGGACTCTTCTTTTTACTGGCTGTGTGATCTTGAGCCACTTGCTTAACTTCACAGATGAATAACTTCCCGGGGCATCAAGTTCTTCATCTGTGATGTGCAGTTGACATTTCATTGGGTGTTTGGGAGTATTTCATGTGACATTGCAGGTACTGTGCTTAGCAGAGCACTTTGCACGTTTCAAAGATCCTTCTCACTAACATTTACTTGATATAAAAATGGCAATGCTGGGGAGGCCCAGAGAGGCGTCTGATTTCTGTTCTGGGAGGGGACTGATGTTCTTCAAGGAGAAAGAAACTCAGAAGTTAGAGTCAAGAGCCCTAGCTCTGCCCCTGACTTCCTTTGCAGCCTCGGCAAGTTACAGAACGTCCCCTGGCCTTGTTCCTGGTCCGTGAAAATGGTGGTTGGAAAGGTTCAATGAGATGATGTCCATAAGAGTGGGTATTTAGTGCACACTCCACTTAAAAGACTAAGGAAAAGCTGTAGAAATAGCTGCTTGTTTCTTCTCTCAGCTCTGTCACATCCTCCTTTTCTCCTGGATGGTGGCTGGACAACAGCAGCAGTGGCAACAGGTGTGGACTCTGTGCTGAGCTGTTTCATGCAACATCACATTTCATCTCCACCATCACCAGGGCAGGGCTGCTGTTTCCAGTTTACTGATGAGGAAAATGCCCTTAGTCTCAACAAAATAATGTCTTTGCGAACATCTCCACCATGAATTGCATTCCCAAGATGCCTGGTGGCTGGGTTTTGGCAGCGGGGCTGTGAGAGTTTCAAGCACTTTGAAGGCATGTCTTAAGAAGGGGCTTTAGATGCCACCACCCTTTCCTGTGGAAGATTCATGTCTTAGGTAAACTGGTATCTGTAGCAGACCCAGGTCTGGATGAAAGTGGACTATTTGACTTGAATGGATTATCCTGTAGCCGGTTGAGTCCAGCCCAAAGCTATTATTGGTATTGGTAAAAATAATATCAGTTTAGATAACATGTCTGGGGACCCATGATTTGTGAAAAGGATTATTGAGAGCTGACTTGTCCACCAACATTCACCTATCACTATCACTATCAAAGATGCTACATATTTCTTGCCAGAGAAGCAAGAGTGTGCCTTAGGGAAGCGTGGAGGTGAATTGATCTAGGGACAGTGGTTCTCGTTGGGATTTTTGGCACAGCTCTGAGCTTGGAGACCACTCGTGGGTAGTGAGTTAGGGGCCACTGGGGTTTGTGAGTGATTTCTAAGTGTGTCCCCTTCTAGCTATTCTCAGAACACGGCAGGTGACTTTTCATGCCTTCTAAGTCTATGAATCTAGAAGTTGCTGTTAAGGTTATCTCACCTTACCTCTAGCCAACCTGTGTTGCTGTGATTAAAAGTAACCATGAGTCCTTCAAATGCCCTGGAATGATAATATTGAAAGAACTGACATCTCTCCAGTCCTTGCTATGAGCCACTGTGCTAGGATTTTTATACCAACAATATCATTTAAGCCTTACAATGTACTATGAAGAGGGTATGATTTTTATCACCATTTTTCAGTTGAGGAAATAGGTACTGAGGGGTTAAATAACATACTCAGTGTTAGAGCTGGGGTTTAGACCCAGATAGGTCTGACTGCCAAAGCTCTTAACCACTGTGCCTGGTTGTCATGCGTGAGGGTGTCTACTGTTGTGTTGGAGGGAGCTAAAGGTAGTGACAATTTGCAAAATGGTAGCCCCTGTCCATCACCCTGGTAAGGTTATTCTGGGTGTCTGCCTTGTCTATTTTATGAGGTGCTAGTGATTCTCATTTGGGTAGCACAGATTTATAACGTGATGGTTACATACAGTGCTCCTGACGCCTCCTCCGTCATCCTCTTTCTGTCTTTAGTGGAGATTCCATTTACCACATGTTTGCCTTTTCATTCTACCATCCATTTTATCAGCTGAACTTTCTTTCTTTCTCCTTTCTTTCTTTCTTTCTTTCTTTCTTTCTTTCTTTCTTTCTTTCTTTCTCTTTAGGAGTTTAGGTGTTGAGGTTTAATAGGTAGAAGAAAGAGAAATGAGAACATCCATCTCTCTCTAGTGAGAGAGAAGGGACTTTCAAGAGGAAAAGCCCGGCTGACGGCAGATGTGCTGATTTTATAGTCAGGCTTGAGGAGGCGATGTCTGATTTACCTAGGAATTACTTTCCTGAACGGTAAAACTTCCCATGCATTACATACACAGAGAGGATAGGAGACATGGCTGTCGCAGATAGGAAAGGAGGAAATTACGATAGGAAAGTTGAAGATCCTGTTGCCGACACCCCATTGGGTGTCAGTCCGGAAGCCTTTGGATAACCCAGAGGGTTGGAGGCTGGGGTCAGTCCAGAAGCCTTTGGATAACACCAGGGGTAGCCCCAGCCAAAATTCCTCAGTTGCTTCAGGACCTCTTCCAGCCCCATGAGGTGGCTAAGTCCTCCGTGAAAGGAAGCTGGTTCAAACATGGCCAATATGCCCAGCAACCCGTGGGTACTGGGGGATTCTCCATGTTCTCCCCAGCAAGCCTCACATCCAAGTTTTTAAGAACGGCAGCCACACTAATCATATTCTTAATGGCTGAAGGATACCCGTTATTGATTTGATTTGGTTCTAAAATGGAGGCTGAGGGCCCCGAAATGGAAGGACAGAGTTGGCGTCCACTCCTCTACTCACCATTTTGATGAATGTTGTACCTTGGTATCCTGGACGAGGTTCTCAATATGAAGCAGCTAGGTTGTCTAGGGTAAATACCTGGGGTTCGTTGTCTCGTACCAAGAAAATTTAGGACACGGACACACATGAGGAGTTTAGGAGCAGAGGTTTAATATGCAGAAGAAAGAGAAAGGAGTAGAGCCCTCTCTCTAGTGAGAGAGAGGGGACTTCCGAGAGGAAAAGCCCCTCAGCTTAACTGTTTTTTAGACCGTTTTTTGCTCCTAACTTTTTGACTTCTTTCATGGTGTATTATTCTGTTTTCGCACGGCTATAAAGAACTTCCCTGAGACTGGGTAATTTATAAAGGAAAGAAGTTTAACTCACAGTTCTGCATGGCTGGGGAGGCCTCAGAAAACTTACAATCAAGGCGAAAAGGGAAGCAGGCACCTTCTTCACAAGGTGGCAGGAGAGAGAAGAGAAAGCAAAGTGGGAAGAGCCTCTTATAAAACCATCAGATCTCATGAGAACTCACTCACTATCAGAAGAACAGCATGGGCGAAACCACCCCCATGATCCAATCACCTCCCTCCCTCAACACGTGGAGATTATGTCAAAATGAGATTTGGGTGGGGACACAAAGCCAAATCATATCACATGGAATCCATGGAGCACTAAACTGTGTACTCAGAAAGGACCTTCCAAAGAGAGGTCCCCTGGCCCCTGGAGCTGTGTTCCTCAATGGAGTGGATGAGGGCACACTGTCTGAAATGATGGCTGGATTTCAGTCTAGGTCACTGACTGTGTCAGATCTACAGAGTGAATCCTTGCATTCCCAGCACACATTCACTCCTTCTCCTAATTCAGATCTGTCTTCGGTTGACTTTCCCCAAAAAGCCTGTCCTGAATTCACGAAATACCAATATTTATTATTGCCAAGAATTTTTATTGAAGCTTTAATAAGAAAATGCATTGTATGTCTCTAAGTTTGTCCTTTAGAATTGCTGGTGTGATTTTAGGGTTGTTTAAGGGGGTGACATAGTACCTCCTTCACTGAACAATGCCTAAAATTTACATATTAGGGAGTCATTCCTATAACTTGAGGCTTCCTTTAGGAGTTAAAATGAAAATTCCCATGGAAGGGTTTACACTTTACACTTTGTTGATTGTTTGTATCTTTGTATGAATGAGTCCTGGTCTTTCCCCAGCCAAGTTTTACGAGGTTACCGGTAGAGGGAAAGGGTATGAATATGGAATAGAGGCTGTCTTTCCTGGCTTCTCCCTAACAGAATCCATTTCCTTGGTGAGCTGTATCTACTATGTCCATAGCACATGGTGAGGATTCTGCTCTCTGGTTTCCTCCCTCACTGGTTCCAACTGTGTTGCCTCTTCACCAAGGGCCTCTTATGTCTGTTGCAAATCTTCTACCACTTGGACTTGTTATTGTAATGACATGGTTTAAATAAATATTACTTATATAGGCATGCAAAAAAGTGAACCATTTTGTTATGTAAAAACCAAGTTTAATGTTTTTGAAAAATTTCTATTGATTTAAGTGTGGGTGATATACCTGTAAGAGATTTATATTAGAAAAAATAATCAAACTCTAGGCAGGCTCTGAGCTCAGATTGCTTCATGGGTGGCTTTCAGTTTCAGATCTATTTTAGAAAAAAGCAGGAAATCATGGAAGATGTATTTTGGGCATGGCTTATGAAAAAATATATCACAGGCTCACCCCAGTGGATCCATAGAAGGCTCTACAAAAAAATGGCAAATGAATGTATGCTAGGTCTTTGTTTAAGTTCTTGCTCCCCAAAATGTGGTACCTGTGGCATTGGCCTCACCTGGATGCTTTTTTGGAAAACACAGAATCTCTGGCTATAGCCTAGACCTACTGAATCCAAATCTGCATTTTAACTAGTTCCCTACATGACTCATATGTACAATAAAGTTTGAGAAGATCTAGCATAAGCTATTTAGGTATCTTTTTTTTAAACATTTTTTTGGCCAGGTGCAGTGGGTCACACCTGTAATTCCAGCACTTTGGGAGGCTGGAGCAGGCAGATCACTTTAGGTCAGGAGTTTGAGACCAGCTTGGGCAACATGGTGAAACCTCGTCTCTGCAAAAAATACAAAAATTAGCAGAGCAGGGTGGTGCACGCCTGTAGTCCCAGCTACTTGGGAGGCTGGGGTGGGAGGTTCGCTTGAGCCCAGGAGGTGGAGGTTGCAGTGAGCCGAGATCATACAACTGCACTCTAGCCTGGGTGACAGAGTGAGACCCTGTCTAAAAATATATATGTATGTGTGTATGTGTGTGTGTATATATATATGTGTGTGTGTGTGTATGTGTGTGTATATTTTAAAGAGTAGTTTTAGGTTCACAGCAAAATTAAGAAGAAGTACAGGAGAGTTCCCATATATCCCCCATTTCCCCACACATCTAATCTCTCCCTTATCCACATCCCCCATGAGAGTGGTACATTTGTTACAACTGATGACCCTACATTGACACATCATCATCACCCAAAGTCCCTAGTTTCCATTAGGGCCCTCTCTCGGTGGTGTACATTCTCTGGGTTTGGACAAACATGCAATGGACATGAATCCACCATGTAGTATCACACAGAGTAGCCTAACTGCTCTAAAAACCCTCTGTCCTCTGCCTACTCATCCTCTTTCCCCCAGGTTTTATTTTATTTAATTTTATTTTCTGTTTTTGAGACAGAGTCTCAGGCTGAGGTAGAGTGGCATGATCACAGCTCACTGCAGCCTTGACCTCCCAGGCTCAAGGGATCCTCCTGCCTCAGCCGCCTGTCTCAGCCTCCCAAGTAGCTGGGACCCAGGCATGCACCACCATGCCCAGCTAATTTATTTTATTACTTTTTGCAGAGATGGCGTCTCACTATGTTGCTCAGGCTCGTCTCGAATCCTGGGCTCATGTTATCCTCCTGCCTCAGCCTCCTAAAGTGCTGGGATTACAGATGTGAGCTGTTATGCCTGGTCTAGGTTTTATTTTATTTATTTATTTATGTATTTGCTTATTGAGACAGTCTCACTTTGTCACCCAGGCTGGAGTGCAGTGGTGTGATCATGGCTCACTGCAGCTTTGAGCCCCTGATCTCAAGTGATCCTCCCACCTCAGCCCCTTGAGTAGCTGGGAACACAGACACATACCACCACGCTGAGATAATTTTTGAATTCATTTGTAGTGATGGGGTTTTGCCATGTTGCCCAGGCTGGTCTTGAACTTCTGGGCTCAAGCGATCCTCCTGCCTCAGCCTCCCAAAGTGCTGGGATTATAGGTGTAAGTCACTGCGCCCAGCCTACGTTTTATTTTTTAACTTGGCAACTTTAACCTGCATTTTCAATTCATCAGCCATCCTGATCATGTCAGATAAAAGGACTTCTGCTGCTTAGATGGCCGAGTGCAGGAGGAAATGCTATTGAGTGGGGGATAAGGGGAAGAAAGGGGCCATCAAAGACACACTGTGGTTGGCAGAATAATGGCCCCTGAAGATGTCAGCATCCTAGTCCCTGGAACCTGTGTAAATATTATGTTACATGGCAAGGGGAAATTAAGGTTACAGATGGAATTGAGGTTGCTGATGAGTTGACTGTAAAATAGGGGGAGTATCCTGGATTATCAGATGAGCACAGGGTAATAATCACAGAGGTCCTTACACGTGGAAGAAGGAGGCTGCATGTAGAGTAAGAAAGATTTCCAGATGCAACACTACTGGCTTTGAAGATGGAGGAAGGGGCAGGAGCCAGGGAATGTGGGCAGCCTCTAAAAGCTAGAAAAGATGAGAAAATGGGTTCTCCCCTAGAGCCTCCAGAAAGGAATGCAGCCCTGCTGACACCTTAGTGTTGTAGCCCAGTGAGACCCGTTGCAGACTTCTGATCTCCAGAAGTGCAAGAGAATAGATTTTTATTGTTTTAAAGCACTATGTTTGTGGTAATTTGTTATAGTTGTAAAAGAAAACTAATACACATACTTTGACTGTTTTGCTCAGGGCCATCCCAGAGAATGTTGACATCAGTTATTTACATACCTGCTCACAGTAAAGTCTTTGAAGAATGAGTGGGTTCTCAGATGTTTTAAGCTTTAATACAATACACAACACTAAAGCAACCCCATAGGTGATATTTCTTTGCTAATTTAGAAGGCATTGGCAGATCCTAGGTGTCCCTGGATCCCCATTAAGAACATTGATAGCCACTAGGCAAGCCTGCCAGCTCACAGAGGTTTCTGTTTGAAGAGTTGCCAGATGAATCAACATGCATGCTACAGATTCAACCTCCCATGCCATAGAGATGAACACAGAGAGAAGGTGGACATTGTGCCCCTTTCCTTGGACTAGAAGCTGTGGGAAGGCAAGACCATCATCTTCTGTGTCTCTCGGACTCTGCTACCAAGCATCAGATATGCTTATTAAACTGCTCATCAAACTGTCAAACAAACTGCATTTGTTTCCAAATGCAGGCCTCTGAAGGTCTCACTTTAATATATAACCCATGATTCATGGAGGAGAAAGGGAGACATTAATTGGGGCTGGAACTGAGGTCACCCCCGTTCCCTACCCCACACTTGTGCTCTTCCACGGGGCCAAAAGAGCAGCTGCAAACCAGCAGCAGCCTGCCGTGCACACTCAGCCCTGCTTCTTAAATACACATTTCCTCCTGTGTTCATGCATTATCTGGCTGACCTGTTAATTAGTCCTCTGGTCCTGGTAAGTCTTCTTTACTTGCAGGCTAGAATTGCTATTAGCACTCTCATAATAGTGGTCCCTTGTTTTGCCCATTATGTTTTGCTATGGAGGAAAAAGCATAGGTTTTTGCCATTTCTTTTTAAAGGAAAGAGCACAAATACAAAGAGTGGAGCTCTGGGTGTCAGCTATGGGCCACGTCTTGGAAGACTTGATTAGGTCCAGTGGATGAATGACTTTCTCTTATGAAGTGACTGTAAAAACTTCTTTCTTCTGCTAGTGCTTCCCTCTGGGGACTTGCTGGCAGAGAGAATGGAGTCTCTCAGCAATAATACATTTCCAAGTTTTTATGCCAGTGGAGGAGAAATACTGGGATTTGAGAGAATGTTTTTATGACAGGCCAAAGTGCTAAAAAATAACTAAACTTGTGCAATCTCCAGATGCAATCAACATTTCAAAGTCTGCTGAAAGTTGATTGACTCCAAAATGACTTGCTTACTTAGGTTGTATCCCAAGATAAAGGTAATAAATGATGCAGTTTCACATTCAGGGACAGAAGTAGAATATACAAAACTTTCTTCTCTATAAGAGAGTTGTGGTTCCCAGTGATTTATGGAAAGTTTTGCCATGTTTATTTCTCATTGGTGTCTGGGTAGTGCTTTTTCTTTTTAGGGAAGTAATTAATTGTCAAAATCAGTGAATCAGAGTATTGTTTGGAGGCCAGAGTATGGGGACATTGGGTGTTTCTTCAAGCAGAGGGAGGGAAACTAGCAGAGTGGAAGGACCCTCAGTGAAGGCTCAATTGATCAAACTGATTAGGGATCACATGAAGCATTTGGTTTGGAAAACAGATATGCATGTCTATCCACAAGGCAGGAATGCAAGAAACCCAAGTTTCAGACCCAAGATGAGTCTGAAGCCCAGAGGAGGTGTGTGGCATAGCCATCGTGTCAAAACTCTCAGGACTTTGCTACCTGGCTGTGGAGTTAGTCATTGAATCATTTGACCTTTGCTGAGGTCAGGATATAAGGTTGGTTAGTTTCATTCAACAGTTCATTAGCTCCTGCTGACTTAATTAGTGTCAACCAAATCATGGCTGCACTCAACAAAAGGGAAAGTTTGAGGAGTATTTTCATTTTGAATTCTGACCTTTTCTGGGACCAGAGACTCAAACCCTTTTTGACCCTATGTTCTTATTCATTTATTTATTTGTTCATTCATCCATCCATTCATTCATGCACACCTATATTCATGCATTCAATAAATGTTTAATTTTCCACTGTGGCATACAATGGCTGAGTAGTCCAAACCCTTCAGAAAACAGAATTTCTGGTGCCTGAGGTACAAGACTGCAGGACAGGAGCAGAAGAAGACATTATGAGAGGCATGAGATGATGTGGCACATCTCCATTATGTAGGTGCAATGCTTCAAATGGGATTTCTTTCCTTCTTTCTTTCTTCTTTTTTTTTTTTTTTTTTGAGACAGTCACACTCTGTTGCCCAGGCTGGAATGCAGTGGTGTGATCCCAGCTCACTGCAACTTCTGCCTCCTGGGTTCAAGTGATCCTCCCACTTCACCCTCCCAAGCAGCTGGGATTACAGGTGCATGCCACCATGTCCGGCTAATTTTTGTATTTTTAGTAGAGATGGGGTTTCACCATGTTGGCTAGGCTGGTCTCAAACTCCTGACCTCAAGTGATCCTCCTGCCTCGGGCTCCTGAAGTGCTGGGATTATAGGCGTGAGCCACCGCGCCTGGCCCAGATAGAATTTCAATTTGCAGTGCTGTCAGTGACCTTATGCACTGAACCTTGTCCCAAGCACTTTGGGTGAACAAAAAAATTATTTTGACCAAATGAATGGGAACACGACATTTTTCCCATCACCTGGGGATGTGATTAAGTGGTCATCATCATTAATAGGACATGCAAGGAGCAGGGAATGGGCACTTCCCTGGCCTAGGAGGTTCAAATACATTTATTTCCTCTAGTTCAGTGTATTTTAATTTTTCATTGCACCTGTTACCTGATCATGGGCCAGTCTTTTTACTTACTGGTTTTTTTTTGGTGGGGGGGGGCGCAGAGGAAGTGGGCAGAGGACGTGGGTGTGTATATAGTAATGTGCTTCTCAGAGACTGGATTGAAATCTAACATTTGTGGAATTTGTAAAGGTCCCAGGGATTGTGTGACACGATAAGCTGTCTTAAAATTGTGATATGTATGCCTCTGAGAGTACAGGAAAAAACTTTACAGGGACGTGAGTAGATATAAGGAAACAGATTTTAGGAGCTTCAACTTCCACGTGTACCTTGTGTTAAACTGTCTATTGTCTGCCAGGTTCTCCTTGACTTTCCTTTCCTAATCACCCTTTTCCCACACTACAAAAGAAAACAATTCCTCTCATCAATCTTGGATTCCACTCTGGCACTTTTCCTCAGAGAGAGAATACTCTGAGGGCACCCTTAAAAGGGACAATTTAATAATGCATTGTTGTTGGGGGCAGGATCCCATGAGACCAATGCAAAAAAGAGCCTCTTTAAGAAATATTGAAGGAGATGACATCTTATTTCATCCAAATGACAAACTTATAGGCTCTGATCCATCCATCCATCCATCCATCCATCCATCCATCCATCTATCCATCTATCCATCCATCCACCCACCAATCCATCTGTTTTAGAATTAGAACTCAGAATAAAGGAAATTGTCATGGGTACTTGTATTAACACATGTGCTTGAATTAATGAAGTGAAATTAGGCTTTTTCTGACTTAAGTAAGTTTGATTTTGTTGGTTTGAAAAAATAAGGTTTGATTTTTTCCATGGGAAAAACATTCATGGGAGACATTTTCCATAAATTGGAGCTGAATATTCAGCTCAAAGATATAAAAATATATATCATATATACACATCAAAATGTATACATATGATAAAAAGTATCACCTAATCTGGAAAATATATCCTTTATTTAAACTAAGGAGAAGAATTTGGGGTATTCATTTAATGATGTAGAAGAGGAAAATCAAATATGAGACCATGACTTGGAGGTGAATTATATTGGTCATTCTAATGTTCTTTCTCTTTATTTAAAAAGTTTGCTGAGACTTGGGAGAAACTTCTTTAAACCTATAAGAATTTTCCAAGCATTTCTTATCCATGAACAATATTTCCAAGCATAACAACAGTGACTTGAGGCTTACTTTAT
This sequence comes from Homo sapiens, assembly GCF_000001405.40. NCBI lineage: Eukaryota > Metazoa > Chordata > Mammalia > Primates > Hominidae > Homo > Homo sapiens. The sequence continues at coordinate 205,911,669 of NC_000002.12, read as the reverse complement.
ATTGCTTTGATCAACTGAAAATACTTACTAGGTAGCCCCTACGGACAATGGAGAAAGTATACGACATTCCTTGTCCCTTCTCCCAGTCTGTAGTTATCATGCTTAGCAAGGCAACCCAGTAAGCTGCTTAAATGTGTCCTCCTTATCCTGAGAGCTTATCCTTTTGGCCATGAAGTGTGAAGCCAGTCCTGCAGGAGCCTCTGGCCAACTCAGTTGCCTGTAGTTAAGCCTATTTGTTCAGTAACATTTGGTCTTGGTTGAATGGCAGTGGCTACTCTTACTGTACCCAGGATCTTACTACTTTGACCCTCCATGGTTGCTCATTGGCATGATCTACACTTGGAAGATAGGTTACTGGGGTGTACGGCTCTGAAGTGACTTTCTCAGAGTCAAGAAATCAGAGGCCAAATCGGCAAGGCAAAATCTAAACCTGGAGGAGAATTCCCCTGACCCTGTAGCTCCACCACATTCTCATTGGAAGGTGGTACTGGCATCGGGGTCACGAACACTGGGAATCTGGAGTCAAATTCCCAGTTCTACCACTTCCTACTTGTGTATTCCCCTGGCATATCTGATTTTGCCCTCGCTGAGTGGAAGTAGATGTAGAGATTTATATGTGAAATAGACTCTGGGACTGCCAGAGTTTTGAAGATGTAGGCAAAGAGTCTTTCTAGGTCTAGAATGGTCAGGGCTCATGAGCTGTGTCTTTGGTGATAGTCTAGCAATGTCACAAACCCATCTGCCATCTTGTTCCTCATTTATGTCAGAGGAACAGGAAAACCATTAGGAGACAGAGATGGGAAAGAATGGGAGATTCCAGGTACAGAGAAAGAAAATGCATAGAGAATATTCTGAGATAGTTATAGTGAGTGTGTACCCTAGTTTCTCAGCCATTAGAGAATAGAAGACAGCCCACGGGATACTTAGATCCAAAGTGAAGGAAACTTCCTAGGAGCATGGATTCAGCTAATAATGACAATGGGGAATGCCAAAAGGCCCAAAGGTTTTTTTCTCTTCTGTCTCTTTGTATACTGTGTGCACCTGTGCACCCCACAAAGGAGCTTGGCTAAGGAGGAAAGTGGGAGCTGATCACCAAGTTGGGTTGCCCTGCTGTGGGGCTGAGTGTGCCAGGAGAAAGGGGTACCTCTACCCACTGCCATAGAAGTGCCTCCTATGCTCCCAGCCTCGCTCCCTGGATTCTAGCCACAGCACATGTCCAAAATGGGGTAGAGCCTCCAGATTGGTGACGCTGGATCATCAGGCTTCGGTGGGGGAGCTGTGTGCGCTTTTTTTTGGAGGGGCAGATCTGCCTTTTCGGCATTCCCTTTATACCTCTAGATGTTTCTGTCTCTTGCACTTAGAATGGTGTGTCCTCCGAATAAATGGGCAAAAACTTAGGGTGAGAAGAATTTTCTAGCAGAGACTAACGTGTTTAGCCAGTAGCTTCCTGGAGACTCCAGGTCTTTTCTTCTTCCGCTTGCTTCTGCTGCTCTTCTGTGTCTCTCTTTTCTCTTTTTTCCTGCCAGTCCCTGCAGGAGTCCTGCCAGCAGGATAAGCACTGACATCTCCCACGCTTGGCGAAATGGATCCTTTTTTTCCACGATGAATAGATGTGAATAAGAAGGAATTACATAGCTTTATGTTCTCCAAGAGGTGGATGAAACCCTTTCTTTCCTCCAGTTTCAGCGAGTGAAGAAATTAGTGAATAGAATTCTGAATTCCAGATTATATTTTTAAACTGCTGAGACCACCACCCTTTTTGTATGATGGGTTCAGTTAATAAAGATTTGCTCCATGAATCAAAAGGTCAAAATCTGGCATCCCGGAGTTTGCATGTTTCAATAGAGTGGGCTGTCTAAATCTCCTAGTCTCTCTGCTTTCTCCCTAGTTCATGCAAAGACTGAATTTTGTTACTGTATTAACTCCAGGTCCTTATGTACTATTATTCTAAATCACATGTTACAGAAGAAGAGAATTTCCAATATGCTGCATGGCATAAAATATAGCTCTAGCCCAACCGAGACCTTCTTGAGATGCATAGATAAAGAATTTGGGAGAAATGCCATGTGCTGTTTCAGGCTTGTCAGGCAAAACCATGTTCTTTGTAACGGTTGGATGACAGTGTCTCAGGAGAGATTTTATGGCTGCTGAACCTCCCCCAAGGGTGACATTAGCAGAGAACCGGGGCCTGGCCCCTGATCAAAATGGCCATCCAGGAGGCAACTACTGAAATATGCTCCCGGAAGAGACTTCCTGTCCGAACCAGAGGGTCCCAAGACAGCAGGCACTGAGGGCTTGGGGTGCCTTCTCGGGGCTGTGTTTACTCACACTCCCTGGACTGTGAGTAATAAACTTGGTTAACAACCTGGCTGGCAAGTTATTGCCAACCCAGCAGAAATAAAACAGAATAGGTTGAGCTATCACCGGGAAAAGAAAGCTTTCTAATTCTATCAATGTTATTGAGCTGTTTGAAATAAAGAATGGATCCAAAAAGGATTCCCCACCCCCAACGTTGGCCACATGTCAGTGCAGACAGAGGTCCTGTGGCTCATTTAAGTGACCGAGCCTGTAACGGGAGGCCTGAGAGCTCATGTTCGTGGTTGGGACTGAATCCTTAGCATTCAACAGAGGTGGAAAAATCACGATGTTGCTTCCCCATAACGGAGCACTCAAACCACAGAGAGTGTGTGTGTTTATGTGTCTGAGAGTTTTAGAGGGAGGGAGAAAATGCATGCATGACTTATATGAAGGCAGGGACACAGGCCAGAAAGAGAAGCTTAATAGCTGTTTAACCATTTTTAAACAAACCATAAAATCATGTTGACCAAAGGCCTATTGGGATTCCCCATGTCTGAACATCTTCTAGCAAAATTGTCTCCCAAATGAGAATTGATTAGCCAAGACCCACGCATTGATGTTATCAGAGAGTTGGGCGGGCTCCGCATAAGCGTGCGATTTCAGGTTAGCCCCCATTAGTGTGCTTATGCAATGCCCTCTGACAACAGCTGTCTGGGGTTTCTACCACAGAACCTTGGCGTGTTTCATGCTCTGTGCTCTGAGATTCCCTGGCCCCTAACAGAGGGGTAGCTGGCTCGTCACCGGAGAATGATATACTATTCCTCTTGTCAGCACAGGCAGCCCCGAGATACGTGGGAAAGAATTTTCAGAGACACCAGGGTAAGAGAATGAGCCATGTCTACCTCTCATCTTGGCAGCAGGAGTGTGTCTGAAACAGTCTGTGCTGCACAAAATTGTAGTTTATAGAGAGCATTTTGTTGATTCAGCCATAAAAATGTGACCTACAATATGTTTGTTGAAGAGAATGTGCTGCTGCTTTTTTATATGGAAGAATATGCTTTTCATGTTTCCAGCCAGCTTCTCCTAAAGAGAGTCCTTTGTGGGATTCTGGTTGTTTTTAAAGTTTCTTTGTATTTTGGGGACTGAGGAAGTGGTTCCTACAAAGTTAATTTGTAGGATCAGCTGTTCATGGACACCTGTAACTTAGGAAAAAGAACCAAGGTTGGGTGTTGTAGTTGGCTGAACAATGCCACCCCTGTCCCCAGGATAGCAGGTTCTAATCCTTGGAGTCTGTAAATGTTACCTTATTTGGAAAAAGGATTTTTGCAATTGTGATTAAGTGAAGGATCTCGAGATGGTGACATTATCCTAGATTATCTAGGTGGGCCCTAAATGCAATCACAAGTGTCCTTATTTGAGAAAGGCAAACAGAAAAGAAGAAGGCAATGTGACAACAGAGGCAGAGACTGGAATGATGCAGCCACAATCCAAGGAATGCCAGCATCCACCAGAAGATGGAAGAGGCAAAGAATGAATTCTACCCCAGAGCCTTTGGAGGGAGTATGGGCCTCCTGACACCTTCATCTCGGCCCAGTGATGGTGATTTCAGACTTCTGCCCTCCAGAACTGTGAGAGGATAAATTTCTATTGTTTTAAGCCACCAAGTTTGTGGTGATTTTTTAATAGTAGCCACAAGAAGATAATATAGGTGTTCTCTTCATTCATTATATTGATGTGAGATATATCCGTGTCTATATGGGTATATATGTACATATACACATACATATGTGACTATGACTTAGAGGAAGGCACGTGTTAAGCACTGTAGAGATGTTCTTAAGAGCTTGTAGTTCAGTACCTTGGTTAAGTGGAAGGGTCAGATTGCCTTAGGTTCAAATCTGTGACTTATTAGCTCTGTGATCTTAGACAAGTTAAATAACTTCTTTGGGACTTAGACAGGTCTTTGAAGATTAAGTGCAGTAATCCATGTGAAATCAGAGTGTCTGCCTGGGAGAAGTATGCTAGCCATACAGAAGTGGCTCTCGAGGCAGCCCCAGCTCCAGCAAAGCAGAATTGGACAATTTCCACATCTAAGGAATAAACTGTTTTAAGGAGACAAATGGGAAAGGAGTGACTTTTGGCTAAGGGATTTATGAAAGCATTAAGGATGAGGTAGCATTCAGGCCTAGGCTTTGAGAAGAGACAGGGCTTGGCCGGCAGAGATGGTGAGGTGGGGACAGGATGACAATCAGGTAAAGGAGATGGTCTGGAACAGGGGCAGAGTGAAGAAAGCCCTCAGTGTTTTCATGGTTTGGAAGGAGGGTTTGAGGGACACGGGAAAAAGCAGGTGAGACAGGTCAGGGCTTGGTAGAGAAGGGTCCTTGGGCTCCTCAGAATATTTGCTGCTCTACACAGCCACAGCATCTCCAGTGAAGTCATTGGTCATTAAACCCCCTGCTAGAAGCATGAGAAAATTCTCGGCATGGGTTGCTTACTGGAGTGAAAGGGAAAAGGAGTCCTCCATTTGCAAAGTGTCAGGAAGCCAGGAGTAGCCAGACACTCCCCACCAGGCTGGACTAAGCATTACTTTGGGCCTGGCAATTTGTGGCCAGGTTTTACAGTAATTGGAGTGATGCCTTTTTTCATCTACTAAGGAATCATTTTGCCCTGCCTTAACCACAGCTCTGGAATCTACACTATTTAGTGCATTCAAGTGTGCCCATTACATAGGTAAGTTATGCCAGGAGGCCTGGAACAAACGCGGAGGATAAGTGGGCTTTTTACAAAGCAAATAGCAAACCTGGCATCTCTCATGCAGCCTGTTGCAAGTTGGAATTCTCACGCAGTCTTCTGAGATTGAGGTGCCTACGTGTGCAGAAATGAAGGAAACGGGACTTCACACTTCACACGTTGAAATGTTTTGAAAGGGTGACTAGGGCACGAGAGCAGGCTATTCTAAAATAGAAGAGAATTGAGAGCTGAGGCCAGAAAGGCAGTGGACTACAAGTGGACATGATTCCTATGCTCAGAACTAAGTTTTTTGTTTTTTTTTCTTTTGGAGACAGAGTCTCGCTCTGTTGCCCAGGCTGGAGTACAGTGGCGCCATCTCGGCTCACTGTAAGCTCCGCCTCCTGGGTTCATGCCATTCTCCAGCCTCAGCTGCCCAATTAGCTGGGACTACAGTCACCCACCACCACGCCCCACTAATTTTTTTGTATTTTTAGTAGAGACGGGGTTTCACTGTGTTAGCCAGGATGGTCTCGATCTCCTGACCTCGTGACCCACCCGCCTCGGCCTCCCAAAGTGCTGGGATTACAGGCGTGAGCCACCACGCCCGGCCAGAACTAAGTTGTTTTAACAAAGTGAAGTATACGTACTTGTGTAGAATTTTCACTGTACAGAGTAAGACTGAAAAGAAGCCCCCGACCTGAAAAGACATTAATCCTTTTTTATCTGGCTAACACTGAAATTAACTTGCTTTATAACCAATGGGTGATAGTCCCTAGTGAGGCTGAGGTCTCAGAGATGTGGGGGAAGGCAGATGAAGCCAAGCTCTGCACCTTTACTTGGGAATTTGAGAAGGAAAGATTTGTCTCAAGTTACTGTGGATTCAAAATTCTCAACACAGAAGGTGGGGTTTCCAGTGAGATGTTTTGAGTGGGAGGTATGTCACTCTATTCCCTTGCTCAGCTAAAGGTAGGTGATTTTAAAAATGGCTTTATTTGTGGGGGAGGTGGGATATTTGAAAGAAGAGGGAAGAAGATACTTTTAGTGAAAGATTAGGCTGAATTGGTGGCAGTGGATCTTGGGGAAGCACGGTTGGGGAGAGAAGCACAGATGGAAGGAAACTCGGGAGATATTTTTGGCTCCTTCTGTCTGTCTTCTTAGCTGTTTATCTCCTTTTGTTATTTGCCCCTTTCCTGTTCTGAGTCTCTTCTTATTGGTGGGTTTCCTGCTGATAGCAGGCTTGCTAATTCTAGAACAAATCTAGACAATCTATGTTATAATATAGCCCAAGACCCAATTCTTTCCAATTTTTAGGATGTCTCCAAGCTTTCAGGAGAGGTTTATAAAAACCTTAGCTTTAAATAAACTATTAATACATGCAACAACATGAATGGAGATCGAATAATTATGCTGAGTGAAAGAAGTCAACCCCAAATAGTACATACTGTATCATTCCATTTATACAAAACTCTAGAAAATGCAAACTCACCTGTAGTAATAGAAAGCAGATGGGTGGTTGCCTGAGAAGTGAAGAGGCTGGGAGGAGGAGGGGCTGAGAAAGGGAGGGGCTCACACAGAGGTGATAAACATGTTCACTATCTTGATTGCAGTGATGGTCTCATGGGTATATACATAACCAAACTCACCAAATTGTACACTTCAAATATGGGCAATATTCTATGTCGATTATACCTCTATAAAGCTATTAAAATAACATTAGCTTCAGAGCATCAGCTATTTACACATGGGTCAAGGCAAGGAGAAGAGAATAGCCAAGTGGTCGTAAGGCCGTGTGGTAAGATCGGTGATGGAGCAACTGTGCAGAGACAGGACCTGTGTAGCTTTGTGGGGATGGAGGGTCAAGTTATACCTGCCCCATGCCTGTGATTAGAGAGTGACCTCCCGCCCTCTTGCTGACCACATAGCTGTTCCCCTTGTTCAGTTCCACACTTTGCAAGGAACAAGGGGGAGAAATTCATAAGCAAGAAAGCAGTATTCGTTCGACTGGAACCAGTGACTTTTCTGGCCTGTTTCCTTTTATTTGGCTAGTCCACACTCACACTCCACATACATCTGAGACAGAGAAGGGGCCAGAGGTGCTGGACCCCTAATGTGGCCCTTCACTTTTGCTGCCTCTGGTGCTCATACTTTGAGAAATGGGGAAAATGGAAGCTAATCTCTGAAATTCTTAATCTCACTGCATGGACCCTAAGTAGAAAAATATGGGCATAGATATTGTATAATCTAAAACTTTTTCAATGATTGCTAAAATACTTATTGAGTATGTATATATACTATGTGCCAAGCAAGATCCGTGCTTATAATTGGTAATAAAATGGTGAATGAGATGGAAATTGTCTCTCATAGTAGAGAGATGACAGCCAGGTGGGTACAGTAAGGACTGTCTGTATTGATAGTGGGCTATGGAAGAACAGAGAAGACACCCCAGATTTGGGGTTAGGGGAATCTTCTTAGGGTGAGATGAGAAAACATTTGAATTCCTCTTTATGAAAATATGGAGGACAACATTTTACAAGGAGGTAACTGAGTGCCCCAAAACACAAGATTCTGGAATACAGACACGGAGAAGGGTGGAACAAAAAGGATTCTGAGGCTGCAGCGAGGTCCTGGGAGAACAGTGCCCTAAGTCACAGCTGATCAGAGGCACCGGATGGAATGACATAAGGACAACATCACCACAGCACACCCTGCTGGGCTGTGGGAGCACCTGCTGGATGTGGTGACAGGCGGTACAAACATCCCCGTGGGGCCAGGCACGGTGGCTCGTGCTATAATCCCAGTACTTTGGGAGGCTGAGGTGGGAGGACTGCTAAGCCCAGGGGTTTGAGAAGCCTGGGCGGCATAGGGAGACCCATCTCTACAAATAATAATAACAACAACAACAACAATAAATTAGCCAGGTGTGAGGGTGCATGCCTGTAGTCCCTGCTACTCGGGAGGCTGAGGTGGGAGGACGACTTGAGCCTGAGAGGTCAAGGCTCAAACTGCTGCATTTCAGCCTGGACAACAGAGTGAGACTTTGTCTCAAAAAAATAAACCCTGTGCAATGGGTCTGAGGACCCAGTGACAAGGAAGTGACTACACGGAGACACGAACCACTTTCCCTTTTCACTTGTGGAACCGTGAAAAAAATCTAAGGCGGCTGGTACGGTGGCTCACGCCTGTAATCCCTGCACTTTGGGAGGGCAAGGAAGGTGGATCACTTGAAGTTAGGAGTTTGAGACCAGCCTCACCAACATGGTAAAACCCTGTTTACTAAAAATACAAAAGTTAGCTGGGCGTGGTGGCGGGTGCCTGTAATCCCAGCTACATGGAAGGCTGAGGCAAGAGAATCTCTTGAACCCGGGAAACGGAGTTTGCAGTGAACTGAGATTGCTCCACTGCACTCCAGCCTGGGTGACAGAGTGAGATTCTGTCTCAGAAAAAAAAAAAAAAATGTAAGGAAAAACAAGGGAATGTGGGCAAGATAGCCAATCAACTGCTAACACAGACCTAGACTCAAAAGGAAGAAAAAATCACAACTCAGCTGGATTTGTGATTCACAAAAAGTTGAGCCAGTAAAATGTATTCTCCAGAGTCCATGCCTGAAGTATAACTACAGTTCACAGAAATAATCATTCCGCGCACTCAGAAGGGCTTTCGTTGGGAGATGGTGGGCAAAGACGTCACTCTCGCTTTTCCAATGCTAACATGGCTTTCTGTGATGTCCAGGGCTCTCAGCCTGATCCAGGTAGGCTGCTTCGGCTGCCCGGAAGGGCGGGTGTTTTACAGTTTTCCACAAACTGCTGCTTCTCTTATCAGCATGGTCACTCTCTAGCTAATGAAAAACATCTCTCTGGTCCAAACATGACCTTGAGGTTTATCTAAATTGTTTGTTGCTCAGCAGAACAACATGTATCAGAAGTGAAATATATGCCAAAAGACACTTCTCATGCACCATTTATCTTTTCTGTAATTGATTCTCATGCAGGACAAATGCCCTGTGGGGATTCACAGAGGACTTAACACACTCTGCCATTATGATGACATCATCTCACAGAAGGCGGCCCTTCTGGAGGCCTGATAGATGACATGCTCTTTTTTCTAAGTGCTGCTCACAGCACTGAATTTAACTATGGGATTACAAGGAGCAACTGCTCCTATCACGCGTCCCCCACTTTGTTTTCTGACTGCACTGTCCAGCTAGCCCCACACTCCAATCAAAATGAAATTATTTCAAAATCCATACCCAATGGATTAGTCTTGCCAAAAGAAAGTCTGTAACAATACATATCCATCGACTTTCAGTTTGGGTCGGTGTTGAGATTTATTGTCTCTAGGCAAATATTGAGCTGGGTGAAGTTTCGGTCAGTTACATCCTTCTCAGTCAATAAATCTAAGTGTTGACTTTGGGAGGAGTCAGCGGCCATCACTCTGTGGCTTGTGAGCAGGCATTTGTGTAAACGGGTGCGTTTTAAGACTGTGAAGGTGACGCAGAGCCACAAAACCTAGTTCAAAACTTCCAGGACCCATGGGTTTCAGAGAGAGCACTTAAAGATGTACAATAAAACCTCCGAACCACGTGGCCAGAGGATGCTCCTGAATGTCACAAAGGTAGAACAGGCAACAGCCTGACTTTGAAGAATAGCCTAGGAAGAACAGGTCTCTATTGATAAAAACCATTACTGCAGTTATATATCATGATAATATTAATTACATAATCATTGAAATGGCCCTCCCGGATGTCATCCTCTGACCTGAGGGCTGAGCCACACAAGGCAGTTTAGCAGTAATTGGTAGTTTCTCTAGATGTGTTAAATGGAAGGGTGGGCAGCTAAACCCTGTCGCCAAGACTGGGTCTTAAAGCAGGCAGGCGGGCCTTGAGAGATGCTGTCAAGACTATTATACTGGCTGGGCATCACGGGTTCATTGCCAACTGCAAGAACATCACTCAGCTAAGCATATTTGTTTCTTGAAGCGGAAGCACACTGTTTTAGCCCTGAAATTGCATTAAAGATTCTTTTCAAGTTATGAAGAGGAAAAGGGAAAAGAAACATACTGCCAAAACATGCAGAGATTCTCAGCAGAGCCAATATATATTCTGTGTTAGTCAGGATGGGCTAGGCTTTTCTGCAGTAACAAATCTCCAAATCTTAGGGGCTGCATACTGCCTATTTCTCATTCATGTTACAGTCTGGCATAATTTGAGTGGCTTTCCTTGGTGGACTCCTTCACTCAGTGACTCAGGGATCAAAGCTCCTTCAATCTTACATTCCTACCATCTTAAACATATGGACTTCAAGTTGGTCACTGAAGAGAAAGAACTGGAGGATCACATAGTTTTGTTTGTTTGTGTGTGTGTTTTTAAGAAAAGTGGCTGGGTGTGGTGGCTTATGCCTGCAATCCTAGCAATTTGGGAGGCCAAGGTGGGTGAATTGCCTGAGCTCAGGAGTTTGAGACCAGCCTGGGCAACACGGTGAAACTCCGTCTCTACTAAAATACAAAAAATTAGCCAGGTATGGCAGCGGGTGCCTATAATCCCAGCTACTTGGGAGGCTGAGGCAGGAGAATCGCTTGAACCTGGGAGGCGGAGGTTGCAGTGAGTCGAGATCGTGCCACTGTACTCCGGCCTGGGTGACAGAGCAAGACTCTGTCTCAAAACAAACAAACAAACAAACAAACAAAAAACAAAAAACATACTGCCACATGCAGCACCTCATTTGGATGTGTCTGGAGCCTTGGAAGCTTCACTACCCAACATTTTCCTGCAAATGGACCTTGAGAGCTTGTTTGGAGGTTCTAGCAAGGGAATGCAGCTACTTATATACCCTTGACCAAATATTGGCCTTCTACTGGGGAAGGTTGTCTTCTTCAACCAAGCATGCAGCTTCAGGAGGGATGAACATGGAGTGGTGAGGCTCAGGAGGGCATACCCACCTAGCCAGCCAGATCAGCCGAATCAACCCTGGTGATCAGTGGGGTGACAGATGTTGCAGCCAGACCACCGTCACATCCTTGCATGGGTTGTTTTTTGTTTTTGTTTTTTTTGAGACGGAGTCTTGCTCTGTCACCCAGGCTGGAGTGCAGTGGCGTGATCTTGGCTCACTGCAAGCTCCACCTCCAGGGTTCACGCCATTCTCCTGCCTTAGCCTCCTGAGTAGCTGGGACTATAGGTGCCCGCCACCATGCCTAGCTAATTTTTTGTATTTTTAGTATAGACAGGGTTTCACCATGTTAGCCAGGATGGTCTCGATCTCCTGATCTCGTGATCCGCCCACCTCGGCCTCCCAAAGTGCTGGGATTACAGGTGTGAGCCACTGCGCCTGGCCCTCGCCTGGGTTGTTTTTAAGGGTCAGGCCTGAAAATGACTTTAGTAACTTCTGTTCATATTCTACTGGGCAGAAGTAGCACCCTGTTTCTAATTTAGCTGTGAATGAGATGGCTTAAATGACAGGGGAGCCTGGGACATGTCATCTTTCTGTGTGCCTGAGACAAGATGGTGGACACACAGCATTGTCTCTGCAACCATCTTCTAGAGGGGAAACAAGCTCTGGTAGGGCAGATGGTGTAGAAGATGCTGCTGAAGCCCTGCCCTTTTCCCTTTGGCCCACCTCTGAGTTCACTTGCAGCTGCAAAGGCCACTCTTGTGCATGCTCACAGCTGCCTACCACAGACGCCCTCATCTCTCTGCTTCTATACCTGAGGGATCTGTCAGCCAGAGCACAGGGCAGACCAGAGACGCCTAGAATATAATTCCCCCAGAGGTGGTCCCCAGCCTGTGAGGGTTAGGAATTGGTGGATAAGTATTGCAGCTTCCTTGGCCCTCCTGGGGAAAGTTCTGAGGTGTACTCTACAGTTCTTTAGTGGGGCCAGGCCAGAGTCTCCCATCGTGGCAGCCTCCTCACCAGCTTACCAACTCACCCTTCATTGTTTGCTTCTCCCTTCTGGATTTCACTTTCCCTTCTCATTCTCTTGCCTTTCCAGGATCTTTCCCAATAACCTATTGACTCTCAGGTCCTTGTCTCAGAGTCTGCTTCCAGGAGAATCCAAACCAGGAACTGATGCGGAATGCTTAGAAGCAGCTAAAAGAGTAATCCCATGGGAGGGTGTATTAGTCTGTTTTCACGCTGCTGATGAAGACATACCCGAGACTGGGTAATTTAAAAAGAAAAAGAGGCTTAATGGACTCACAGTTCCACGTGCCTGGGAAGACATCACAATCATGATGGAAGGTGAAAGGCACGTCTTACATGGCAGCAGTCAAGAGAGGAAATCAGAACCAAACAAAAGGGGTTTCCCCTTATAAAACTATCAGATCTCGTGAGACTTATTCACTACCACGAGAACAGTATGGAGGAAACCACCCCCACAATTCAATTATCTCCAACTGGGTCCCTCCCATAACACATGGGAATTATGGGAGCTACAATTCAAGATGAGATTTGGGTGGGGACACAGCAAAATGATATCAGACAGAAAGGCCGGTGAGTGGATTCATAGGCATCTCTCCTCATTTTCTTTTTCTTTGCCATGAAAGGAAGATATTCCAGGGAAGAGGGATTTGAGTGGGAAGTCTGGGAAATTTTCTCAGCAGGAATGATGCAGTATGCATGGAAACAAAGTATTAGCTGCAGATATGACATGATTAATGGCTTCTGATGCCTGGAAAGTGGTGGGGATGTGTGTGGTTTGATAAGTGCTGCTTATCTAGAATACAATTCTGTGACTTTTCCAAAATGCAAACTGCCTTAGTCATTTGGGCTACTATAACAACATACCTTAGACTAGGTAATTTATAAACAATGGAATTTATTGCTCACAGTTCTGGAGGCTGGGAAGTCTACAATCAAGGCATTCAGCAGTTTTTTTGGTGTCTGGTGAGAGCCTGTTCCTCGTAGATGGCACCTTCTTGCTTTATGCTCACGTGGTGAAAGAGGAAGGCAACTCTCTGGGGCTTCTTTCATAAGGGCACTAATCCCATTCATTAGGGCAGACTCCTCATGACCTAATCACCTCCCAAAGGCTTCACCTTCTAATACCATTACCTTGGTGATTAGGTTTCAATGTATGAATTTTGGGTGAACACAAACATTCAGAGCATAGCACAAACATTTTGCTTAAAATTCTTCACTTAACAAGATGTAAGCAAAACTCTAGATTCCTCAAGGTGGCATACAAAGTCCTTTGTGATTTGATCTGTCTTTCCATGTCCTACTCTTCCAGCATCCGGTCATGCCACCTGCTCTGTACCCAGGCTTCCAAGAAGACCTTCTTCTCCTGTGAGGATGTCTGTAACTCTTTCTTCAAGAAATGATACTTTCAAGAACAAACCCAACTAAGGCCTTTGGTGAAGCTTTCTCCTACTTCCCCAGCCAGATTTTCATTATTTATTCATTCATCGAGTATTTTTAAAATGCCTATAGCATGCCAGGCACTGTTCAATATACTGGGGATAGAGCAGGGAATTAAAAAAAAGACAAAAACACCTACCCTGACGAGTTTCGCAGTATAGTGTGGGGAATTAGAAATAAGCATCTGTCTCTTCTCTGGTCTTTAAGCACCTCACAGACACTGGCCATGTCTGTTCATCTGTTTATTCCCAGCATCTAACAGAGTGCTCAACACATCTGCTTGATGACTACGTTTTGAGCACTAGGAGACGACCACAGAAGAGCTAAGAAGTGATAACAGTTGCATTTAGTGGAGAACAGTATTCACACCTTGTTGTCTAGATTGCCTTGAAATCACGCTCCATATTTTATCTTTTATTTTTTCATTTCTTAGAAAAAACTGTTAATCTATTTAGAGTAATTTTATTGAGGAGTCTTTTTTTTTTTTTTTTTTTTTTTGAGACAGGGTCTCGTCCTGTTGCCCAGGGTGGAGTGCAGTGGTGCAACCACAGCTCACTGCAGCCTTGACCTCCTGGGCTCAAGCAATCCTCCCACATCAGCCTCCTGAGTAGCTGAGAATACAGGTATGTGCCACCCTGCCCTGCTAATTTTTTATTTTTTGTAGAGACTGGGTCCCACTGTGTTGCCCAGATGGGTGTCAAACTTCTGGGCTCAAACAATCCCCCCGCCTTGGCCTCCCAAAGAGCTGGGATTACAGGAATGAAGCATTGCACCTTTAAAAAAAAAAAAAAAGGCCAGGTGCAGTGGCTCAAGCCTGTAATCCCAGCATTTTGGGAGGCCAAGGTGGGCAGATCACGAGGTCAGGAGATTGAGACCATCCTGGCTAACACAGTAAAATCCTGTCTCTACTAAAAATACAAAAAATTAGATGGGCGTGGTGGTGCATGCCTATAGTCCCAGCTACTCAGGAGGCTGAAGCAGGAGAATCACTTGAACCCAGGAGGTGGAGGTTGCAGTGAGCCGAGATTGCGCCATTGTACTCCAGCCTGGGCAACAGAGCAAGACTCCATCTCAAAAAAAAAAAAAGAATAAAAACTATGACATTGCATAACACTGTGAATATATTCAATGCTACTGAATTGTACACTTTAAAGTGGTTAAGATGGTCAATGTTATGTGTATTTTAACTCTAATAGAAAAAAAAGTGAGGCTGCATTTCATTCAACAGAGAGGCACTCACTATGTACCTGGCACTACTCTGGGTTTGTGGGCTATAAAGATGGATAAGTCCCTGTCCTTGGAGGACTCAGACTTAGCAGGAGACAGGCACCTGAGCCACAGAGACAATCAAGAGTTGCTCCCTGTGCCCAGGGAGAACTCTGTTCAGCCCACAGCACCTTAGCCACTAGTGACAGCCACCTGACTTGCAGCATCATGAGTACCTGGATCATCACAGAGGAACCAATCAGTTTTTATATAGGGCTAACTTTGGTGTTTTCAAAAATGTCAAGTAAAACACACAACAGAACATTGATAAGAGCAGGATTCCAAGGTATCGGTTGGACAGTAAACAGAGGGGCCCAGCCAAGCATATTCCCATGCTGCAAAGCCACTTGATATTAACACACATCTTGAAGCAATCAACACTGCCCTGGCAGGCCCTGGCGGATGGCACTTGTGAATATTTAGAAATGGGGCAGCCCTGTTTGGGAAAACTGTCAGATTGACTGTAGGTTAGGAGAGAGGGGGTAGAGACAGTAATAGAATAATCACGTGACCCCTGACATGAGGCAAGGGAGAGGCTCTCACAACCCGCCCTGCATCTCAGAGACTGCCAGCTGCATCCCACTGCTTCTTAGCAACTCAGATAGCAACGAGAAGCATTGCAGTGGACACAGAATGTATGCTGTTCTCCAATAGCAAGGTGGAGACACTGGTGTAGGGGCTGATGTGAGCAGGTCGCCTGAGAGTTTATACCACCAGGGCAAGAAGAAAAAGCCCGGAGGAAATTGTGCCCTGTGGGGACCTGGCTTGCCTGGGGGTGAGGAGCTGAGACAGGGGGCATTTTTGAAACTACAGAGGGCATCTTAATAGAAGACAGATGTGTGAGTGTTTTCTGAGTTCTGTACTGGATGTTTCCGCCTCCCCCTCAAATCCAAGAGAGTCTGATAGTGTGCTTCTGGTTAGCTTGATGATGCTATTTTTCTTTCACGGCAGAGGGAGGCTATTGGTGAAGACTGTTGCAGCATAGTTTTTCCAGTGTGAAATGCTGGGAAGGATGCTGAGAGTCTGCCTGGGATGTTTAGTGCGACACTTGCTTCTGCACCTGTATTCCTTTTGGATGACACTGTGTGATGTGTCACCTCTGAGGATGATTTTTGTCTGGGCACTGATTCTTACAGTTGGAAGAGGGAAGAAGTCTCCCTGAGAATGTGTTCAACTAAGGTCAGTTTAATTTACATCTTTCGAATCCAACTTCCATTCATATAAAAAAAGACAGACTTGTTCCTTTGAAGTTTTCTGATCTCTGCCCAGATTAGGCATGTAGGTGGCTTAGGGCAGGTCCCTTATTCTCTCAGGGCCTTCCCACATCCGTAAAATGGACCAGCAGAGCCAGTTGATTCCTTGGGCGATTCTGGCTCTAACCTACCTGTCAGTGGTTTGTTCTATATAGATAGTCCCTTCCACCAAATTATACACTCAACTGGTGACTTGTGTCTATAATTACATTAATAAAGCCCCAGAGGCTCAGACAAACACGGAGAACATCAACTGTGGGATCATTTGGAACCAAGAAGATAATGATACGCTGTACCAATGTGTTTTGTACACACACACTGACTGGAAATTTGTTCAAGTCTAAAGAGGGCTTATGGAACTCTGATTTGCTGCTAATGTTGACAAAGATGAATAATGCAATAATACTGAACATTTCTCACTGTGAAACAAATACTTTTGATGATTTTTAGCACTTTCATTATTTTTTTTCTATATATATCTGTCACTTCATAAATATCTGTTGAGCATCTCACATATGTCAGGCACTGGTGCAGGCCCTGGCAATGGTGCAGTGAACACGACTGCCAAAAATTCTTTTTTTAAAAACATTTTTATTTCTAAAGGTTATTGGGGAACAGGTGGTATTTGGTTACATGAGTAGTTCTTTAGTGGTGATTTGTGAGATTCGTGTGCACCCATCTCCCGAGCAGTATACCTGGTACCCAATTTGTGGTCTTTTATCCCTCACCACCTTCCCACCCTTTCCCACCGAGTTCCCCGTGTCCATTGTGTCATTCTTATGCCTTTGCATCCTCATAGCTTAGCTCCCACTTATAAGTGAGAACATACAATGTTTGGTTTTCCATTCTTCAGTTACCTCACTTGGAATAATAGTCTCCAATCCCATCTAAGTTTCTGCAAATTTCATTAATTCATTCCTTTTTATGGCTGAGTAGTATTCCATTGCATATATATACCACAGTTTCTTTATCCACTCATTGATTGATGGGTATTTGGGTTGGTTCTACATTTTTGCAGTTGCGAATTGTGCTGCTATGAACATGCGTGTGCAAGTATTTTTTTCGTATAATGACTTCTTTTCCTCTGGGTAGATACCCAGTAGTGGGATTGCTGGATCAAATGGTAAATCTACTTTTAGTTCTTTAAGGAATCTCCATACTGTTTTTCCATAGAGGTTGTACTAGTTTACATTCCCACCGGCAGTGTAGAAGTGTCCCTTTTCACTGCATCCATGCTAACATTATTTTTTGATTTTTTGATTATGGCCATTCTTGCAGGAGTAAGGTGGTATCACATTGTGGTTTTGGTTTGCATTTCCCCGATCATTAGTGATGATGAGCATTTTTTTTTATATGTTTGTTGGCCATTTGTATATCTTCCTTTGAGAATTGTCTATTCATGGACTGAAAAAAATTCTTGACTTTATGGTGCTTCTATCGAAGTGAGGAGATAGTTGTAAAATAAATGAGGTCACTTTAAATATTTATAACTGCTATAATGAAAACAAAACAGGAATGAAATGGAACCAAATGAAAAGGAATGACTAGGGTGAGGGAGGTAAACAATGAACAAGGGGATCAGAAAAGGCCTCTCTGAGGAGGTGACATTTGAACTGAATCTTAAATGGGGGAAAATATGCTTTTCTGGTTCCTTGTCTATTAGTCTCTCTCTCTTGGTCTCTCTGTGCCTAGGCTGGAGTGCAGTGGTGTGATCTCGGCTCACTGCAACCTCTGCCTCAGGTGTTCTAGTGATTCTCCTGCCTCAGCCTCCCGAGTAGCTGGGATTAGAGGCATGCACCACCCCACCCAGCTAATTTTTGTATTTTTAGTACAGACAGGTTTTACCATGTTGGCCAGGCTGGTTTCGAATTCCTGACCTCAGGTGATCCACCTGCCTTGGTCTGCCAAAGTGCTGGGATTACAGGCGTGAGCCACCAAGCCCGGCCTTATTATTCTCTTTCTTGACCTGTGTTGAGTAGGATCCGTGCAGATGTCCAATCATCAACAAAAACTTATAGGGGATTCATTATGTGCTAGGTTCTCTTTTCTGGGATACAGCTGAGAAAAAAACAGACAAAATCCCTGTTCAGAAGGAGCGTATGTTGCTGATATTCAAGGGCAATGCACCTGTAGAAATGTTTCCACGTAAGTTTCTCATAGCACCTTGTGGTTAATGTAGATAGGGAGGGTGAACCATTTGAGCTCTGGGATCCCCTCTGCCACTGACCAGCTGTGGGGCTTGAAAGTTAATCGAGAAATGCCTCTCGGGCTCAATTTTCTCATCCAAAAATGGGGGTGTTGGATTTAGATATTATCCAAGACTCCGCTCACTTTTAACACTTTGAGATGTAGTTTGGGGTGGGGAGGAAGTTTTTAGATGACTTAGGATTTACTGAAGTTTCTCAATCTTGGGCATGGGGACTTTCAGAACTGACTTCGTTTTGTGTTCCCGTAAAGTAACCATTTCTCAGCCACTGCTGACCCTGTGCCATTCTGCTTAGGTAACTCGTGTGCTCTTTTATGGTGGGACCAAGTAAATGTTTCCCCCAACCTGTCTATCAGGATGCCTGGTTACTGCATAAAAAGGCCAGCCACAGGCATTCAGACGGTTGAGATGTGTGGAGACAAGTCTCCCCAAACAGAAGCCGCACGTTTAATGAGTGGAATTAAAAATGCAAATGATGGGCATGATTGCAGGGTAATTACACGATTAGAGCAGCTTCATCAGACTGGGGCTCCAATGGCCTGTTTGTGCTTCTGTGTCCTGTTTAAGTCTAGGCAACTAGCCCGAGGCCTCCTCTTGCCTTGGGCTTGCCGCCTCGGGGGACCCAATCGCCACTCACCTCCTTTCCAGGGGGCCACGGGGACTAATGAGGGAGCCTTTGAGATTCACTGATAAAAAGTACTGTAAAAGTACAAAGTCCTATTCCGCTATTACGAAACCACATTTCGGCATCTGTTACCCACCAATGCCGGAATGAAACTCGACAGCCTCTCAGCCCATTTGTCAAGCGCCAGCAGGTCCCCTCCTGGCACAGGTGAAACAATAATAATTAGTGGTTGAATGTGTATCCCAGTTATTTTAATAAAGTCGATAAAACACAGTTGCGCTGGCCCCTTTGGCTTTTGCCAACTCTGGCGCAGAAACAGAAACCCTCTGGGGGATATTCACTGACTGGGGTGTGTGTGTGTGCAAGGTGCAAGCTCATAGCCCAAGCTCGCTATTTCCTTTGGAGTAAAGTGCTTGGTGGATGCGCTTGGGTTACCATGGTAACCAAGGGACAATGCTCTTGGGCGTGCAGACCCCATGTTTGCAGCATTATGCTTTAGAAGGGGGACTTAGAGATGCAGAACAAAACATAATAAAGAAGCGTCAAACCTAGTAAGACTTGGGACTGAAAGAAAGCCAGGGACTTCTGTTTAGACACCACAGCGTTCTCGCGTTGTGGGTCTGGGAACCGATCCAAGACTGAAGCTTGTTCATTATACCTCCCAGGCCGCAGGCATTCAGAAGGGCTCTCTGCATTGAAATTGCAACTTTTTCTCACCTGGCTGCAAAGAGAACCCACTGAGTTTAGAACAGTACGCGAAGGAAGAGATTTTCTCATTTAAACAACATCCTTTTGTACCTGGTCGATAAGATACAAGGAAAAGAAAAAACCCAGCTTGAATATTGAGCAAGTTGCCAAAATTGGGCCCAGAAGAACCCCATGGTGTCTTTATTGGGTAACATGAATATCATTCTTGGATATAGCCTCGTTAATCAAAGCCTCAAATGCACTAAGAGTCTGATGGAAAGGATGTAGCAAAAGGTGGCTTTCATCATTTACATAATTTTAAAAAGTGCTGGGTTCTCTTCCCTCGTCTGAGGCCTCTGGTTACGGGCAGCTGGCACCTGCTCCCTGGGTGCGTGCTGTTCTTCCCTACCAGTTCCCTTTTGTTATCTGGGGTGGCCCCACATTGCCTTGTTGTTGGGAAGAAAAAGGTAACACAACACAAAACTAAGAAAGAAATTCAGCTGAAGATTACATTAACTAAGGAAGCATATGGTGTAGAGAAAAAAGAATGGTAGTTAATAAACTTGATTTTGGCCAGGGGCAGTGTCTGTAATCCTAGGACTTAGGGAGGCTGAGGTAGGAGGATTGCTGGAGCCCAGAAGTTCAAGACCAGCCTGGGCAATGTAGTGAGACCCTGTTTCTAGAAAACATTAAAAAATTTTGGGACTATAGGCTTGCTGACATGAGCCTATAGTCCCAGCTATTTGGAGGCTGAGGAGGGAGGATTGCTTGAGTCAGGGAGGTTGAGGATGCAGTGAGCCAAGACTGCACCACTGCACTCCAGCCTGGGTGACAGGATGAGGCCCTGTCTCAAAAGCAAACCAACAAAAAGACCCCTGATGTCGAGTCCCCTGTGGTCGTTGACCTGGTGTGTGAACTTTGGCCAAGTCATGGAAACTCAGAGCCTTGACTTTGCTCCTCAAGTGAGGCTGGGAGGCTCTACTGCAAGATCTGTGAGGGTGAGGACAGTTTCCTACACATCTTTGCATCTCACACTGCTTACAGTCCCCACGTTTAAGTGTTTCTTGAATAGGTGAATTCCCAGGAGTGTATGCAGTTCTATTAGACTCTTGGCCCAGAGTTGCCAGTGAAAGTCACTTCACACTGTCTTGTTGTGGAGGCCAACGAATGGCATTCCCACGGACCTCTATCATCTGAAGCCGCTTCAGAGGCTCCTCAGGGCAGATGCAAATGGGACAACTTAAGTTTGACCTTAAAACCCATATTTAAATATTGAATTCCGTCTTGGAGATGCCACCTTCCACCAATGTGAAAAATTACTGATGTTGCTCCGGCAGGGGGGTAATCAGTGTTTTAGAACTGCATTTTCTTTATTTAATTTTTTTAAAAAATTTTAGTTTCAGAGGGTACATGTGCAGGTTTGTGACACGGGTATGTTGCGTGATGCTGAGGTTTGGGCTTCTAATGATCCCACTGCCCAAGTCGCAAACATAGTACCCGATAGGTAGTTTTTCAACCCCTGTCCTCCGACCTCCCTCCACGCTTTTGGAATCCCCAGTGTCTATCATTGCCATCTTTATGTCCCTGAGTTCCTGATGTTTAACTCCCACTTATAAGTGAGAATATATGGTATTTGTTTTCCTGTGTCTACGTTAATTCACCTAGAATAATGGCCTTCAGCTGCATCCATGTTGCTGCAAAGGACATGATTTCATTCCTTTTTATGGCCATGTGGTATTCCATGGTGTAAATATATCACATTTTCTTTATCCAGTCCACGTTGATGGGTATCTAGGCTGATTCCTTGTCTGTTGTTGTGACTAGTGCTGCAATGGACATACAAGTGCAAGTGTCTTTTTTGTAGAACAATTTATTTTCCTTTGGGTATATACCCAGTAACGAGATTGCTGGGTCAAATGGTAGTTCTATTTTTAGTTCTTTGAGAAATAATCAAACTGCTTTCCACAGGGGCTGAACAAATTTGCATTCCCACCAACAGTGTCTAAGGTATAAGCGTAGAACTACATTTTCAACTTATCTCCTCTAACAGGAGTCTCCCAATATTTTTTTTAACTGTGAGGGCTTCCTCATCATAGTTCTACCTGAAGTATTTGCTCATAGAAAAAATGGATAAAGGGCAGACATGGTGGCTCACACCTGTAATCCCAGCACTTTGAGAGGCCAAGATGGGAGGACTGCTTGAGGCCAGGAGTTCAAGACCAGCCTGGTCAACATAGTGAGACCCTGTCTCATATTAAAAAAATGTATAAAGTGGTAGATTGCATTATTGTTCATGATTATTTTCTTTCTTCCTTTCTCTCGCTCCTTCCTTCCCTCCTTCCCTTCCTTCCCTTCCTTCCCTTCTTTCCTTCCTTCCTTCCTTCCTTCCTTCCTTGAGACAGGGTCTCACTTTATTGCCCAGGCTGGAGTGCAGTGGCATGATCGTAGCTCACTATAGCCTTGATTTCCCTGGCTCAAGCAATCCTCCCACCCCAGCCTCCTTAGTAGCTGGGATTATAAGTGCACACCACCACACCCAGCTAATTAATTTTTTTTTTTGTAAGTACAGGGTCTCACTCTGTTCCCCAGGTTGGTCTTGAACTCCTGGGCTCAAGTGATCTGCCCACCTTGGCCTCCCAAAGTGCTGGGATTACATGTGTGAACCACACACCCAGTCATGATGATTTGCTTTCAAAATAAATACATCCCTGCCCTTCCTGTGCCTCCAGTAGCTGAAGTGGCCATCCACCCCCACTTATCAGTCATGACAGGACATGTGATTAGATGCGACTGTGTGGCTTAGCTAGGTTTCATGCAGCATGTCACAGTCAGAGGCTGCTCCTTCAGCCTGGGTACCTGAATGAGAAGACACGTGGAGCAGAGCAGAGCCTGCTTCAACCTGCAGCCAGGATGGAATCAGGTGAGTAATAAATGCTGGGTGCTGGAAGCCACTGGAATTGTGTGGTTGCCTGTTACTGCAGTAACCAAGCAACAACAGGAAGCAGCAATACAATGAATTGTATCTTAATCATCATAACAACATCTATAGATGTTCGAAAAATGCTGGTACATAGCAGTTGGATTGATGCATGAAGGGGTGATTGGGCAAGACATACCTTTTTTTCTTTTCTTTTTTTTTAAGTTTGTGGGCCATACTTAATGTCCAATCTGAATTAGCAGCTTCCTTGACATAACTTGGCAGTATCAAGGGTTTCTTGCCCTGTAGTTTGAGAATCTCTATCCTAGAACAATTATTCTCCTGCAAATTTGTGGCAATTCAAAAAGAGAATGAATTTTGAGATAGGGAGTGTGGGTTTGGGTCCTGGCTTCTCACATCTTTCGTGTGTGAATTTGGGCATGATCTTTAGCCCATGATCTCTCAGCCCATGTGCCCATTAAAAATGGCTATGACTCTTGCACACAGGGCTGGTTAGGGCCTTAAATGACATGAGCCATGGGGATCTTCCTTCTAATGGTTGTACATGTTATTCTTAGAGTAGCTAACCCAAGGATGGAAGAGTCTTTGAAACCACCATTTCTCCCACACCCCGTCTCCCTTCTCACTGAACCCCCAAACCATCAGTGGAATGCCCCCACTCAGTTTTGAGTTTCATGGGTGGCACTGAGAAAGCACCAAGTCCCTATTAAAGGGGCGGAGGCACTGGCAGCTCTGGCTGGGGCAGGGCAGGACCTTTCATTTCAGATGAAAGTTGATTCAGACTCTGATATCCCAAGAAAATGCCTAACCTTGAATTACCTTCCTTGGAAGTCCCACCAGGTTGACTAGTGGTGGCTTTCTCTTTTCCTGCACCCCCGCCGCCAGTGTGTCTCTAATGGTTCCCCATTCCTTGGACTTGGGTATCTCAGTCCTGGATGCAATGGAACTTATGATAACTGAGTTAATTAGGACCAAGGGGAGCACCATGCCAGGCTGCTTCAGTCACAGCCTCTGCACCTTCCCCAGGTTGGGAGGAAGCATATCCTACCACCTTGGCACCTGCCAGCAAACCTGTGCCCAGGGGAGAAGCTGGAGTGAGGGTTCAGGGTCCCCATTGTGACGTTAGCCCTCTGAGGTCACAAGGTGGATCCCAGAGGGCTCAGACTGGGGAAGAAAGTTATGCCATGTAGAAGTAAATTTAATGAGGTCAGAAGGGTGAGGGGTGTGTGTGTTTGTTTGGGGGTGGAGTATCTTTAAAATGGCAAGAGGGAGGCTGACGCTGCATCAGCTTTGGCCACGCTGCATTTTGAGAGCCTCTGGCGTTCTGAGGCTTCTTCCCTCCTTCCTCCCCACAACTCCCTCCCAGGCCCTGCATGCCTTCCTGCAGCCCTGTTTTTCCCACGTTCGGCCCTGTACAGCCTGATCTGTGGAATGGGGGTGGAACCGTGCGGAGGCTGAGCAAGCGCTGACCACCTGCCAGCACCGTGCTGAGCTCCCAATGTACACGGATTGAACCAGAAATGGCCGGGGATCACCCACTTCACACCCACAAAACCACCAACTTCATATGGTGCAGCCTGACTACCACATTTAATTTCTCAGCAATCTTGAGAGGTATAAGGATTACATCTCCACTTTTCAGATGAGGAGAATAAGTCATCACTCCAAATCAAACATTAGTGAACAACAGAGTGAGAATTTAAGTTCTGAGCCCGGACTCCAAGCCCTATTCAAAACTATTACATGACACCGATAAATCCTTTTATACTAACCTGTAAACAATCAATAACAGCTTCACATGGTACCTCCTGTGTGGGACAAGGCTGGTTCTTTAGGGCATCGCTCAAATGCTGGCATTGGAAGATCCTGGATGCGAGGAGTCCTTTGTTCCTTCAGCTGAACCTCCCAAGATGTTTCTGATTCGCTTCGAGAGAGTCTGCCTGGCTCACCTGCCTAAGACATGGGTAGGAATGGCAGGCAGGTGGGCTAGGCCACAATTCTGCTTCTTGAAAAAAATGGACTGTTCTTCTGATTTAAGAAGTAAACCCTATTCAGTGTAGAAAATGAAAACAAATATAAAATATGTAAATAAAAATGACCAACCATCCTTAGCTAGAGGTAAGGATTGTCACAATGTTTCAGGATTGTACTTTTCACTTATCTTGTGCCTCTCTCTCTCTGTCCTCCTCTCTAAGTGCATAAATACATTTTGGAAGGTGGATCTAGTGTACATATAATTTTCCTTATTTATTAAATCTCCATTTTATTCTAAAGGATTCAGCATGGATTACAAAGGCACATAAAAAATGATAGAACAAACTAAAAGTGGGGTTAAGAAAGACAAATCTACACCATAATGCCATGTTCAGATTTGTATTTTTAACATTTAACATGACATTGAGCATATGTGCCCATTTGCCATTAAATAGACTGTTGCATTATTTTTTAAATGTATTAGTATTATTATTTTTAATAGAAGGAAAGCATATGACCGCAGAGCAGTGCACAGGTTGGAAGTGAATGGCTGGATGCGGTATCTTGTGGGTTTTTTTTTTTTTTTTTTTTTTTGAGACAGGGTCTCACTCTGTCCCCAGGCTGGAGAGCTGTGGCGTAATCTCGGCTCACAGCAGCCCCTACCTCCTGGGCTCGAGCGATCCTCCCACCTCAGCCTTCCAAGTCGCTGGGACTACAGGTGTGCGCCACCACACCCGGCTATATATATACATTTTATATATATATATATATATATATATATATATATATATATATATATATATATATGTATTATTTGTAGAGATGGGATTTCTCCATGGTACCTAGCCTGCCACATCATTCTTAATGTCTCCACGGCATTCCACTGATGGGAGCAGCGCTGTGTATCTGATCAGGCCCCTCCTATTTGCTGTTAGGCCGCTTCCAAAATGGCAGATTTACAAATAAAGCTGCAAACGACACCTTTGTAAAGAAATCTTTGTGCACCCCTCCATTTCCTGAATGGGCGTTTCTAGAAGTATTTCCAGCAACACCAGAGCCATGGAGGAATCCTATGTGTGAATCCCCCACTGCCCTGGGAGAGCACAGCATTTTCTGGTGCATCCAGAGGTTGCCCAGCCCCTCTCTACGTCAGTATGGACCCTTCGCATCCTAGGCCAATCACGTCGCCTTCCAGACTGTCCCCACGTATGTCCCCATGGCTCTGCCAGCTCCCTGCCCTTACGCCTCTCAGGGATGCACGGTTGGGCTACTACAGGAGCTACTGCCTGTTGGGATGAGCACCCCCGAAGTTGGGCATTGGAAAGAGAAATAGAGTCAGATACTTGCCGGAGGTGAATGATGTGGGTGAGGGAAATCGCTGCACTTGGCTTATTTCTGTTTGATCCTTACCAAGTTTTCTGCAAAGAAACTGCCTGGGATGCTGCTTATGCGGCTTTCTCATTTGCTGAAAAACAATGTGTGTCCGGAGTAGTGAAAAGGCAACGGACCCAAACTGCCTCTAGCACCAAGAACCCGGCAGTCCACACGAGGGCGCTGTTCTCCCGCCATGAAGGACTAGGCGGGCTCCTGCTTTCTGGGCGGAAAAGGGCGCCAGGAGGCAGAGCGGGAAAACCGGCAGAGGGTGTGGGAGGGAGGAGGAGACGTTTGCCTTCCCCGTCATTCTCCTTCCTTGCAGAGCCTCTCCTTTCCCTCAGGGACTCCCTCACCACCTCTTCCTTACAGCCCCCTCACTGCTTTTCCTTGCGTATCTTTCGGATGCCACAGTCAGCTCTGGGCCCATCCATGGCTCCATCTCCTATCCTAGGGTTGTCCCGCGGCGCCCTCTTTTCCAATGGATTTTCCCTCTCTTATCCTGCACTGGCTATAATTTTTTTTAAAGTGACATATATTTACTTGTGTATTTAACAAAGTTTTTGGTGCACTTAAAAAATGTTAAAGCAGAAAAATTAATCCTTTTGTATTTATTAATTTTTTTCTGGAAAATAGAAACCCACAAAAACAAGATTATTTAAGATTTTTTCCCCCTTGCATAAGGCACCTGGTTGCCTGTTATTTATATACGTATTTTTTGTGGATCAGTGGACCCGAAGAGAAAAATGATCAGAACTGTAACAAATATAACCTAATTGTCATCAGGTTCTTGGTCTTTGATTCCTTTATATTCAGGGCTGTAAACAAGTCTGCATCCGGAAGTGGAAATAAGGCAGCTAAAGAATTCATGAATAATAGTCACAATGTATTGAGCTTTCAATAATAGTGACAGTGTATTGACCCATGTCCTCCACTACCAGTGAGGGAGCTGAGGTCAGAGAGTGTGAAGAGCGAGGCCAAGGTGACCCAGATGAGGAGGGTAGCTAGGATTTGATGCCCGCTCTTAGTGGCTTCAAACCTTGGGCCATTTCAGTAGCAACCCATGAGACCATTCAAGTGGACCTGGGCAGTGAGTCCGGCTTTAGGGTCACTTCTGCGGAACAGTAAGGTCCAAGAGGTTCCTCATCCAGCTGAATGCGGGGCTTCAGTACCTTTCTGAGACCAAGGGACAGGGGGAACCCAGACTCAGGGAGCTGAGCAAGCTGACCCCACGCCTCTACTGGAGCTAAGGGAGAGCAGCGCCATGCACAGCGCTCTTTGGTTTAATTGTAAGGCACCATTCTCGCCCACACATGACCAATGGCTGGGTACTCATTTTTCTTTAGTGATAAGGAAGAGCAAAATCAACCCACATGATCTAGAGCAGTGGTCCTCAACCTTTTTGGCACCAGGGACTGGTTTTGCAGAAGACAGTTTTCCATGGGCCCACCAGGGTGTGGGGATGGTTACGGGACTATTCAAGCCCATTACATTTATTTTGCACTTTATTTCTATTATTATTACATTGTAATATATAATGAAATAATTATATAACTCACCATAATGTAGAATCAGTGGGAGCCCTGAGTTTTCCTGCAACTAGACAATCCCATCTGGGGGTGATGGGAGACAGTGACAGATCACTAAGCATTAGATTCTCATAAGGAACATGCAACCTAGATTCCTTGGGTACACAGTTCCCAATAGGGTTCATGCTCCTATGAGAATCTAATGCTGCCGCTGATCTCACAGGAGGCGGAGCTGAGGCAGTAATGGGAGCCACGGGGAGCAGCTGTAAAAACAGATGAAGCTTTGCTCATTCACCTGCTGCTTACCTCCTGCTGTGCAGCCTGGTTCCTAACAGGCCATGGACCAGTAGTGGTCCATGTACTGGTCCATGGCCTGGGGCTTGGGGACCCCTGACCTACAGAGTTGTGTTAGGGTTAGGGGCCAGGCATGGTGGCTTGTGCTGTAATCCTAGCACTTTGGGAGGCTGAGGCGAGTGAATTGCTTGAGCCCAGGAGTTCAAGACTAGCCTGGGCAACATGGCAAAACCTCATCTCTACAAAAAATACAAAAATTAGCTGGGCATGGTGGCGCACACCTGTAGTCCCAGCTACTTAGGAGGCTGAAGTGGTAGGATTGCTTGAGCCCGGGAGGTTGAGGCTGCAGTGAGCTGTGATTGTGCCAATGCAGTCTAGCCTGGATGGCAGAGCCAGACTCTGTCTCGGGGGGTGGGGGGGTAAAAAAAAAAAAAAGGAGTTAGGAGGCTGAAGCTATGAACCCCTAAATAAAGAGCCCATTCCCAAGGTACAGCCCAGCAAAGTATTATTAGTCATTTTTACCACAGTGTGCAAATAGAGATATGTCCTTTCCCATCTCTGGTCCAGAATTTTGAATTTTAAACTTTATCTCATTGAAATGAAGGTCCCTATATTCAGTGAAAAGTATTTCAGGCCACCTCGGGGGTCAAGGGAGATCTTTGCAGGGCACTTGAAATGATGCCATGAGATAGCTGTGGCGGTCACCTCACCCTTCTCTTAAAAAAATAGTAACCTAGTCACAGTGGTAATTCATATCTGTTTTAGAAAAATTGGAAAATATAGAAAAGCACAAAGAGGAAATCAATTATAACCCTTCTCAGCTTAACACCTTTAATTTATTTCTCCAAAACAAAGAGTACAGCAAAAAGCATTAAGCTAAAGGCTATTAACATAACAAAAAGGCCTCCGGTCTCTTCTCTGTAGAACTTTGAAGATCGTGCCGGCCTCAGGGCTTGGAGCCGAATCCCACTTTCATGGCACTCAAGCCTGCCCCTTGAAACAAGTCACTTATGCCCCTCCTGTGACATTTTTGGAGGTTACAAAGATTATTCCCTTACTGGCAAACGCTAGGTGGGAAGAGAGAAGTGGATGCACAAATATAGAAATGTATTTGTTTCTACCACTACATTCCACAGTTTTTTTGGATATATTCCATTTGTTTCCAAAAATAGTGTTTTCTTGCTTTGCTGTACTTGTCAAAGAACAAATCACATTTGGAAAAAAAAAAATCTGTTTTTATAGGCATTTTCAGGAGTAGTCGCATAAATATTCCCTGAAATTGATCTTCACAAGGAGAAGACCTTACTCCATGAACAACCTAGAAACCATGGAGCAGAGAAGCAAGCAGGGGGTGTGATCTCCATCCTGTGTGGTGCCTGGGCTGGGCCGACCCTCAGGAATCGGGTTGGTCATAGGTGCTGAGGGAGGACTTCTTCTTCTCTTCGTTATTCCCACTGCTTGGGATGGCTGCTTATAATATTTTAGTGTCTCTATGGCATTTTTCTTATTGAATGTTAGAAATTTCCCTGTGTTCTGAAACCAGCGTCTTAAATTTTAAAATACGTTGTAAAAATTTTCTTGAGTCCTTCACTCCTTACAATGTCATTGTCAGTGGCTTCCGAGTACTTCTTTTTTTTTTTTTTTTTTTTTTTTTTTGAGACAGAGTCTTGCTCTGTCGCTGAGGCTGGAGTGCAGTGGTGGGATCTCGGCTCACTGCAACCTCTTCCTCCTGGGTTCAAGCGATTCTCCTGCGTCAGCCTCCCAAGTAGCTGGGATTACAGGCGAGTGCCACCACACGCGGCTAATTTTTGTATTTTTCGTGGAGACAGGATTTTGCCACGTTGGCTTGGCTGGTCTCGAACTCCTGACCTCAAGTGATCTGCCCACCTCAGCCTCCCAAAGTGCTGGGATTACATGTGTGAGCCACTGTGCCAGCCCTGGCTTCTGAGTATTCTATCATCATTTCTTTAGTTCTCTTTGTTGGGTATTTGGGTCTTCCTCCCTCACCCCCCTCAACTTTTGCTAATCATTCACAATGCTGTAATGAATGTATTTGGGTATCTGTCTTGGCACACATCCATGATTCTTTCCTTAGATAAACTCTTGGAAGTAAAATTTCTGGGTCAAGGGGTATGTACACTTTTAAGACTATTGATGTGAGTTGCTGTAATTGGCTTCAGAAAGTTTGTATCAGTTTGTACTCCTATTATCATTGCATGAAAGGGCCTTTTTTCCCCATATTCTCACCAATACTAGGTATTAGATGTTTATCAATGTTGGTCAGTGGGCAGTTAGGTAAAAAATAGTATGTTATGGGTTCAATTTTGAATTCTGGATTACAACATTGCTTCTGTTTCGTAAGTAATCTCTACCACCTTTAACCCCTGGGGGACACCATCCTCATTACTAAGGTTCATTAAACATGTACTTTGTGCCAAGCACTTTGCATATATTGCCTCAATTATTTCTCATAGGGATCTTTATATAAATTGCCCTCAGTTAAAGATGGAGTAAAACACAAAGCTGAGAGTTGAACCCACACTTGTCTGATACCAAAGTCTTGACTCAAAGTTTTAAAAAATTTGTTTCAATCTTCAACCAATCTCTTTGGAAGTTTTATTCTTAACCAAACTTCCTTCCCTCCCTCCATTCCTTCCCTCCCTCCCTCCCTCCATTCCTTCCCTCCCTCCATTCCTTCCCTCTCTCCCTCCCTTCCCTCCCTTCCCTCCCTCTCTCCCTCCCTTCCCTCCCTTCCCTCCCTCCATTCCCTCCCTCCCTCCATTCCTTCCCTCCCTCCATTCCTTCCCTCCCTCCATTCCTTCCCTCCCTTTCCTCCCTCCCTCCCTCCCTCCCTCCCTCCCTTCCCTCCCTCTCTCCCTCCCTCCATTCCCTCCCTCCCTCCATTCCTTCCCTCCCTCCATTCCTTCCCTCTCTCCCTCCCTTCCCTCCCTCCCTCCCTCCCTTTCCTCCCTCCCTCCCTCCCTCCCTTCCTTCCCTCCCTCCCTCCCTTCCTTCTCTTCCTTCCCTTTCTTCCCTTTCTTTCCTTCCCTTTCTTCCCTTTCTTTCCTAGATAAAGTCTCATTCTGTCACCCAGGCTGGAGTGAGTAGTGGCATGATCTCAGCTCACTGCTGCCTTGATCTTCCCAGCTTCAGTGACCCTCCTTCCCAGGCACACCACCACACCCTGATTTATTTGTGTGTGTGTGTGTGTGTGTGTGTGTGTGTGTGTGTGTGTGTGTGTGTGTTTTGTGGAGACAGGGTGTTGCCATGTTGCCAGGCTAGTCTTGAACTCCTGGCCCCATCCCCAGATTTAGATAAGATAGAGGAGTGTTCCTGCTGTAGTCATTGATTTTATACTTTGGGGGTTTTCATATAATTTGGGGTGTGTTATTTTCATGGTTGAGGCTCATTCCATATTTTATATCCCTCCCTCTCCCTATCATAGGACTCAGGGTGTTGGACTGTGATTTTGCATTTGCACATTTGTTTCCTGCACTGGACTACAAGCGTAGTGACACTAGGAAGCCCCCTGTTACCCCTATGTCCCCAGCACCCAGCGGAGAGCTACCAGGTGACTGCATCACCCTGGGTGTCTCATTTGCATTTCAAGAAGGAAGCAGAAGAAAGAAGAAAACATGAAGAACCAATCACATGTGTCAGCTGAGTCCACTCCCATTTATCAGGAAAAAAACAGTATCTATGAGTTCTAGAAATCCACTCAGAAATCCTTACATCTCATTGTCCAGGACAGAGTGATTTAGCCACCTCTGGAGTAAAGAAATCCAGGCAAGGAAGGGGCAGATTTTTTTGGTTTGTTTTGAGACAGGGTCTTGCTCTATTGCCCAGGCTGGAGTGCAGTGGCAAGATCACAGCTCACTGCAGCCTCGGCCTCCCAGGCTCAGGCGATCTCCCCGCCTCAGCCTCCTGAGTTGCTGGGACTACAGTCAGGTGTCACCATGCCCTGCTAATTTTTAAAATTTTTTTGTAGAGGCAAGTTCTGACTATGTTTCCCAGGTTGTTCTCACACTCCTGAGCTCAAGGGATCCTCCCACCTCAGCCTCCCAAAGTGCTGGGATCATAGGAGTGAGCCACCTTTCCCGGCCTTCTTAACTTTTCGAAGATAGGTATCAAACTCATTTTACAGGGGAGAAAATAGAGAGTCAGAGAGGCTTATTAATTTTCCCAAGGACACTCAGCTATAAGTGGAAGGCTTATATTTTCAGTCCAATCCTCAGTCATTCCAAACCTTTCTCTCCTTACATTACACCACACACAATACGTGCCCTTCCAGCAGAGAGCAAGAGGCATCATCTCGGGGCTTAGAGCAGAAATGGTTGCAGGATGCAAGGTGGGTTGAGAAGCCACAGAGCTTTCAAAGCTTTTGGACCGGCGGTGGCTGCCAGATGGGTGGGAAAAGAAAAAAGGATTTGAAAATGTTCAAAGGAAAAGAGAAAAAGAGAAATGGCAAGTGAAAGAGGAAAACAAAGCCCCGTCTGCACTGCTCTCCAGGGGGATTTTCCAGGCAGCTGAAAAGCGTGCGTGCTGAGCGGCTCCAGGTGTCCGATGGCTCCGTGGCTGCGATGACTGACTGTATTTGCCACTGGGCGTTTTTGGTGTGTGGAGCCAGGCAGCTGCACGGATCGCTCTGCTCTCTCGGAAGCACTTGAACAGTTTTTGGTACTGTATTCTGAAACCACAGTAAAGACATTTATTTGAGGTAGGTTGGGGACAGGGCTATCTGAGTCAGGGATTTTCAGAGCAACACAGCAATAGATCTTATTGGTTATAGATATTGATTTCTATACACGTAATTTATAAAAGGAGGTTTATGGTGAGGAATTAGCTCTTGTGATTATGGAGGACTTCTGCCATCTGTAAGCTGGGGACCCGGGAAAGCCAGCGGTGTGATGCGGTCGGAGTCTGAAGGCCTGACAGCCAGGGGAACCGATGGTGTAAATCCCGTTCTGAGGGCAGGAGAAGGTGAGAGGAGCTGTCTCAGCTCAAGAAGAGGCAGGAAAAAACAGAGTAAATTCCTCCTTCCTCAGCCTTTTATTCTATTCAGACCTTCAAGGGACTAGACGAGGCCAATTCACGTTGGAAAGGGCAATCTATTTTAACAGAGTCCGCTGATTCAGATGCTAACCTCATCTGGAAACATCCACAGATATACTCAGAAACAGTGTTTCATCTGGGCACCCCGTGGCCCACTCCCATTGACCCCCACAAGGGCCTTGGATATTCCAGTGGGTTCCTGGCCACAAGGGAGTTTTCCATCATAGGAGACCATCAAGCAAGACAGGAAGATGCCTCCCTCAGGGAGGGTGATGTGAATGGCATTGAATGGGAGCTTGCACCAGTTCACCTCTTGGGTCCTTCCACTGCCCAAATTTTCTGATTCTACTGAGAATTGGTGGCTTTTTCTTTCTGTTTTCAGGAAAAAGATAGAGATTAGAAATAGCATGACTTAAACATTTCCCCAAAGTGAGTGTGTGTATGTGTGTGATACATGTTAACCATAAACTAATAGTGTGAGGTTTAGTGTGAGGTTGGCCCCTCCCCTTGAAGACCTTGAGACACCCCCTCCCTTTTTTTTTTTTTTTTTGAGACAGTGTCTCACTCTGTTGCCCAGGCTGGAGTACAGTGGTGTGACCACAGCTCATTGAAGCCTCGACTTCCTGGGCTCAAGTGAGCCTCCTGCCTCAGCCTCCCAAGTAGCTGGGGCCATAGGCGTGCCACCATGCCCAACTAATTTTTTGATTTTTTTGGTAGAGATGGGTCTCACTATGTCACCCAGACTAGTCTTGAATTCCTGGTCTCAATCATCATTCTGCCTTGGCCTCCCAAAATGCTAGGATTACAGGCTTGAACCACCACGCCCAGCCCCTTAAGCCCTTCTTGACCCTCTATATCAGCATAGTGAGGAGGCCTTGGCAATGAAAGGTAGA
This sequence comes from Homo sapiens, assembly GCF_000001405.40. Taxonomy (NCBI): domain Eukaryota; kingdom Metazoa; phylum Chordata; class Mammalia; order Primates; family Hominidae; genus Homo; species Homo sapiens. The sequence continues at coordinate 205,878,205 of NC_000002.12, read as the reverse complement.
ATACACATTGTCAGTACAGGCCCTGGTAGTAATTGACCACACCCATTCTGGGTGCCAAGCAGCTGTGAAAATTCGGCTGAACATATAACACAAAATGGAAAGTTGATTTGCTGCTCCACTGCAGAAGTGTCTCTTGCCAATGTCCCAGTCAGGCCAATGACAATTGCCTGTGCCTCAGCCATCAGCCCTTGCTGCCTTGCTTTACCATGGGGTAGGAAAGTTGGGGGGAAGGGTGATGAGCTGACCAGACAGAATGTCGCAACCAGAATCTATTTTCTTCCCTCTCCATTGGTGCCTATTCTCTGTAACCTGATGGTTTGACGGCAGCTGCTTGAGAACCCTACAAATCTCAAGTTTGCCAGTAAAGCAAAATAAATATATAAATAAATAAAAAATCCATCATCAGCTCCTGGCCTCCTGACCCAATCTTGAAATGTGTTGCAAATATGCTGACGCCAGGGTTGCTGTATTTAATAGCAAACAGCATCAGACTCCAGCTCACACCTGTGCTGGGCTGGCCTCCACATTAATATGCTTCAGAACCTTCTGATGGGCCCCAGCCCTCACAACACACTCAGAATAATACATCCAGGACTGGGGAAGGCTGAGCATGGGGGAGAAGGGATCTGTCTCCGACTTCTAATTCCTACTTGAAACTGGAAGTGATAATAATGACAGTGGCCCTAATGATATCTGGAACTTCCCTTCTGCTATTAAGGATCTCAAAGAACATGCTTGATGCAATTATCTAATTAATCTTTATCTGTGACTGATGGGCATTCAGTTTTAATTTAGAGAGGCAGACAGGAAGAGAGATCACTTATTCAAGACTTATGACAAAATGACCAGGTAGGAAAGGCGGCTCTCAACCCTGGCTGCATGTTAGAATCAGCTGGGGCAACTCTTGAAAAATACCTGGGTGTTACCTGAGACCAGTTGTTCTGAATGTATTTAAAAGTTTTCCAGCCAGGAGAGGTGGTGCATGCCCTGTTATCCCAGCACTTTGGGAGGCTGTAGTTGAGAGGATCACTTGAGCCCAGGATTTTAAGACCGGCCTGGGAAACATAGTGAGATTCTGTCTCTACAAAATACTACTACTACTACTACTACTAATAATAATGTTTTCCAATAACTGAATTGAGCATAAATTTTAAAATTGAAATTAAGTCAGAATCTCTGGGGTTGGGGCCTGATCATCCATTTCTTTAGGAAACTTTCTTTTTTTTTTTTCTTTTTGCGACAAAGTCTTGCTCTGTCACACAGGCTGGAGTGCAGTGGCACGATCTCGGCTCACTGCAACCTCTGCCTCCTGGGTTCAAGTGATTCTCCTGTCGCAGCCTCCCAAGTACCTAGGATTACAGGTGCATACCACCACACCCACCTAGTAGAGATAGGGGTTTCACCATGTTGGCCAGGCTAGTCTTGAACTCCTGACCTCAAATGATCCTCCCACCTTGGCCTCCCAAAGTGCTGAGATTACATACATGAGCCACTGTACCTGGGCTGTTTAAAAAACTTTGTAAAGTAATTCTATTATGCAACTGAGATTACAGAATATATTCCTGCAGATAGGCTAAGTTCCAGCCCTCCTTGCACTTACCAATATGTATCATAACAAAATAGAAGTACTATTCTATTTATCCTAGCTTAAATAGGTGTTTTACATGCCTTAGCATCCAAGATCTCTCTGGCCACTGAGGGGAAGAGAGACCTATATTTATGGATTGCTTACTTTATGATGTAGAGTTAGCTCATCTTAGCTCATGTTGGTCTTCATAGCAACCCTGTGATGTGGACATAATCTAATTTTACATATGGAGCAATGTAAGATTTGGGGAGGTTACTTCCCAAAGGCACAGTGGGGAGGAATTGGAGTTTGAACCCAGGTCAGAGTCCATTGTGGCAGAATTGTAAATGTGTACTATTGCCTATTCCATGTGAATGATAATTGTCCCTGATGCTCTTTTCTAATAAGGATGGGGAACAACACATTTGTCAAGTCAAGGGCTACACAACATGGACCTAAGACACTGTTAATCTGTTCCAGGAGGGAAAGCACATGGTGGCTGCAACTTGAGCCTCTACCTGTTGAGTTTGTGGTGGAACACAGTTATGGTGTAGTATCTGTCTGCTTTTTGCAGGGGCCAGGATGGTGAATTAAATGGAGACATGATTGGAACCACAAACTCTGCATCCTTTAGAACAATGCTTTTCATTGTATGTATAACACAAACCATATATGTAATTTAAAAATGTTTAATAGCCATATTAAAAAGGTAAAAAGGTGCAGTAAAATTAACTTTAGTAATATATTTTAACTCAATCTATGAAAATAAATCTAATATGTAATAAACATAAAATATTAATGAGATATTTTATAGTTTTTTGGGGGGTAATAAGTATTAATACTTCTAGTATATTATAAGCCATATAAAGTTTTAGCAGAAACACTGACTTATATTTAGTTTTCATGAAATTTACAATTGAAAAAGTAGATTCACATACTCAACTTGTTCCAAAAATACTTAAAAGTTTTCCAATATCTGAATCACACACACAAGTTTTTTTTTTTTTTGAGACAGAATTTCGCTCTTATTGCCCAGGCTGGAGTGCAATGGTGGGATCTTGGCTCACTGCAACCTCCACCTCCTGGGTTCAAGCAATTCTCCTGCCTCAGCCTCCCGAGTAGCTGGGATTACAGGCATGTGCCACCACGCCTGGCTAATTTTGTATTTTTAGTAGAGACGGGGTTTCTCTATGTTGGTCAGGTTGGTCTCGAACTCGACCTCAGGTGATCCACCCGCCTCAGCCTCCCAAAGTGCTGGGATTACAGGCGTGAGCCACCGTGCCGGCCACACACACAAGTTTTAACATTTTACTAATTAAAATAAAAGAAGGCCAGGTGCAGTGGCTCACACTTGTAATCCCAGCACTTTGGGAGGCCAAGGCGGGAGGATTGCTTGAGGTCAGGAGTTTGAGACTAGTCTGGCCAACATGGTGAAACCTTGTCTTTACTAAAAATACAAAAATTAGCCAGGTGTGGTGGCGGGCACCTGTAGTCCCAGCTACTCGGGAGGCTGAGGCAGGAGAGTCACTTGAACCCGGGAAGCGGAGGTTGCAGTGAGTGGAGACTACATCACTGGACTCCAACCTGGGTATCAAGTGAGACTCTGTCTCAAAAAAAAAATAAAATAAAAAATTTGTCCCTCAAGTGCACTAACAACGTTTCAAATCCTCAATAGCCCCATGTGGTTAGGGCTACATTGGGCAGTGCAGCTTTAGATCCTTGAGAGAGGGCCTATTTTTTGTCACACTCCTTGGGCATGATTTTTTTATTTTCTTGTCTAGGAGGTAGCAGGTAGAAGTTTCTCCCCAGGGATGACGTTTACCCTGCAGACCAAAGATGCAATGTGCGTGCTAACCACCAAGCATATCAGTTCTGATTACACATTCAGGAGCTGAGGAAATAACCACCAGATGGGCTGTAGCCTCAGCAGACCTGAGAGGTGAAGCCAGCTGGGCTTCTGGGTCGGGTGGGGACTTGGAGAACTCTTCTGTCTAGCTAGAGGATTATAAATGCACCAATCAGCCTTCTGTAAAAATGGACCAATCAGCATTCTGTAAAATGGACCAATCAGCACTCTGTAAAATGGACCAATCAGCAGGACATGGGCGGGGCCAAATAAGGGAATAAAAGCTGGCCGCCCCTACCAGCAGCGGCAGCCAGGTCGGGTACCATTGAAACCAGTGGAAGCTTAGTTCTTTCGGTCTTCCTGATAAATCTTACTGCTGGTCACTCTTTGGCTTTGCACCACTTTTAAGAGCTGTAACACTTACCGCGAGGGTCTGCCGCGTCATTCTTCAAGTCAGCGAGACCACGAACCCACCGGGAGGAACAAACAACTCCGGATGCACCACCTTTAAGAGCTGTAACACTGACCGTGAGGTCTGCAGCTTCATCCTTTAAGTCAGAGCCATAGACCATGAACGCACCGTGAGGAACAAACAACTCCGGATGCACCACGTCTGAGAGCTGTAATACCGCGAGGTCTGCAGCTTCATTCTTGAAGTCAGCGAGACCAAGAACCCACCAGAAGGAATAAATTCCGGACACAGACCCAGTATCTCTTAAACCTTGGCCATGGTTCCGTTTATCATCTAGCTCCCCCAGGATCCTACTCCAGAAGGTCTCTGGATATTAGTGTCAATTTGGATCTTGTGTCCAACATTTCTCAAAATGTTTGGGTTATCTTCCTTTCCCCAATTCAGTCGTCTGAGTAAATAGTCAAAGATCCTTTTGTGGAAGAACTGGGGGAATCAAAAGTGTGTGTGCCTGCTGTGGTCTTATGGAGTCCTTTCTCGTGGGTACCTGATCATTCCTTCAGAAAACGGGCTGTTGGCGCATAAAAATGGACTAGGGATGATGATATTAAAATAACTGTCCTTAGTCATCTGATTATCCATCTGTGATTTCTTTAGTTGGTATCAACTGAGTAGTAGTACCCTTGTTGTCTGCCTATTTTGCCCATAGGTATTCATGTTCTAGAAACTAGCTGCATAATCTCTTTGCAGGCCAACCACCTCCAGCCTCCCTGCTCCAGTCTTGCCACTCACGGTAATTGAATCCACTTGGCTCCTAATGGTTCTGAATTGTCAATTTGCTTCTGTTTAGGAGTCCTTTCATTCCATCAATATTAGAGAGTATAGTTTTGTAGTGGCGTTTCCTACTGTTTGCCGAGAGAGGAGAGCCACCACTGAATTTTTTAATGACACTGAGGCCCTTCTCACCAGCAGATTCTTTCGGGTCGTCTTTTGGAACATAATCAACTTTCATGATTTTCCTGGCCTTTCTTGGTATATCCGCTCCAGCCTCTCCACTTTTCCTGAGACTTTTAATCCTTTCTTCCACCATCAGCCATGGCAAATCCGGCATTTCCACCTCATTTCATGTGAGCATTGCCTTTTTTGTTCTAGGAGCCATCTAAGTGTGGTTCTTCTATCTTCTATCATTCCTGCCAGAGTATTCGATCTTTCATTCTGGGAGAGGCTCTCAAATGTACAAACACTTATTTACCCAGGCTTATATTTCAACCTCCTGATTAAGCACCATCAAAATACAATTCCATGTGTACCCTCCCAGTCCTGCTGGTACATGCTGGCTAGGTCTTGGAGCTTCTCAAGGGTATAATTCCTTTTTTTCCATTATCAGTCACAGTATGTCCTGGGCTGGGTTATGTTGTAATTTAACTAACTCTAGCTAGAGGATTAGTGGCTAAGAAGGGAGGTGAGGGCAGATGTCTTGTGTAAGACACTTGGGGCCTTATAGGGGGAAGGCTCATAATCCCCATCCAGTGGTGGAGTGTTGCTTTTTAATAGGGAAGGTGGGCCACTATTACAGGCTTGGAAAATTTGGGAGATAGGGGATTAACCCAGCTATTCAAATTGCTTGAGTCAGAGTCCCAATTTATCCTAACCACAGCCCTGACCCTGGCACAGCAGATCTTCCTAGGTTAGGAGTTTAAACTTTGGACTCAGCTATTCTGACAATTGCGTCCTGTGGCTGGTCTTCAGTTTTCTGTGCCCTCCCACTGCAGCAGACAAGAACCTCTTTCTGTCCTACTGAGAAGGTTGGGATGAATCCTCTCAGCTTTTTCTTTCCTCTTTTCCAGACTGCAGTGGTTCCCCCTTTATCCAAGTTTAGCTTTCCCTGATTTCAGTTACCTGTGGCCAACCATGGTCCAAAAATATTAACTGGAAAATTACGTAAATAAACAATGCATACAATTTAAATTGCATGCCAATCTGGGTAGCATGATGATATCTCATGCTGTCCAGCTCCATCCTACCTGGGACATCAGTCATCCCTTTGTCCATCAGATCTATGGTGTAGATGCTACCCACGTGTTAGTCAGTTAGTAGCCATCTCAGTTATCAGATCAACAAAACACGATATCGATAGGGTTTGGTACTATTCACACTTTTAGGCATCCACTGGGGGTCTTGGAATGTATCCTCCAAGGATAAGAGGGGACCACTGTATCAGCAAAGCTTAATAATAGCCATCATTGTCCATAATTACTATTACTGTCATATTACCCAGGCCATTTACTCAGGACCTGGGATACAGAATACATACAACAAAACCACTCTCCTCAAATAATTCACAGTTTAGTAGGAAACAGACACACACAATCAATTATAATTTTAGAAGCCACTTACTTTAATAGATGTGCAGGTAAGAAGACAGACAATAGCTTTTAATTTAAAACAGTTTAAGGATCTCTGGATTCGATATTGTAGTAGACATTGGGTTGTACCACAGATTCCCCTTCAGTGAAAGACTTGCTGCCTGCGCTAGCTGCTAGGAATGCTGTTGACAGGCAGCCTCCAAAGCCAGTTCTTCAGAGAGTCTTCATACAGTTCCTGGACAATGTAGGAGTATGAAGACATGGCCATCTTGTGTCAGATATCTGATACATTGCAATAGCAAATGCATCCCCCTCTGCTGGTGTATATCCCAATAATCCGCCAGCACCTGATTTTACAACTAGATCGGACCACTGAATTGTGCCAGGGGCTCAGTGTTCCACTGTCCACAAGTGAGTGCTGGAGTCTCATTGCCAGCCAGATGGGAAGTGATACAGTCCCAAATTCTATCTCTTCTCAAGTTTTCTCTTACATTGGTGGTACTGATTGCTGCAGGTTGGGCTCCTTGGGAAGCTGACTCCAGAGGGAGTTGAGCGTGGAGTTTAGCATGTAGGAGGTTTATTAATGATGGTCCCCAGAAAGGAAAAGGAAGGAAGCAGAAGGGCACAGAGGGAGAAATTGAGCTGCTGCTGCAGGCCCAAGGACAGCCTCGGCTCAAGTCAGGTCAATTCTGGGAGCTAAAATGACTTCAGAGTTATCTGAATGGGGACGAGATGGCTGGGTCTGTATACTCCTACACTGTCCAGTAACTGGATGAAGGCTCTCTGAAGGACAGGTTTGGAGGCTGCCTGCCCACAGCATTCCTAGCAACTGGGCCAGCAAGTCTTTGATTAAAGGGGAATCTGCATGGTGCAATTCAGTGTCCACCAAAATGTCCAATCCAGAGATCCTTAAACTGTATTAAATGAAGAGTTCTTATGTGGCTCCTTACCTGCATGTCTATTGAAGTAAGTGGCTACTAAAATTAGAATTAATTGTGTGTCTCTCAGTTCTACTAAACTGAGTTCTTTGAAGGGTGGGACTTTGTCTTATGTATTCTGTATCTCAGGTCCTGAGCAAATGGTCAAATGCCTGGGATTAGACACATAGAAGGTGTTTAAGACTTGTCTGTTGTTGAACGTTGAGTAGGTTTTATGGTTGACCGTCTTTGATGGGTAGATAGGCTTTCGGGAGTACCATCGTTGGTCATGAGAATCCAAGCCCATCACTAGAATGCTTCTCCTCATTTGCAATCCTGGTAAATTAATTCAGCAAATGTTAATGATCACTTGCTAAGTGCCAGGTATGACTCTAGATGTTACAAGAAATGTGATGAACAGGATACCATTTTTGCCCTCAATGGGGTGACAACTTTAAAGAACAGGACTCAAAGGAAATTAGAGCTATATCAAGTCATATTTTGAGATTCATCAGGAAATTTTGATCTCTTGGTTGGACATCTCTGAGCTGATTCTCATAATTCTAACTGTCTGGATCCAGGCCAGGTACATGTGATAGGCTGGGCCAAAGTCAGTGGAAGAGTTATGTTTAGCTGAGAAATGAGAGAGGGTAGAACACCACTCACTTCATCCAACATAGGTGTCTTTATCAACACATCAAGAAGAATCTGTGCAGTTTGAGCCTATATAGCAATGTCTTTGATGGTGTTAAGTAGCAGTACACTGAAGTATAACACAGGCTTTGAGCATAGTGGTTTATACCTGTGCTGTTCAATATAGTAGCCACTGGCCTCATGTGGCTATTTAAATATTCAATTAAAATTAATTGAGGTTGAATAAAATCACAAATGTAGTTCTTCAGTTGCACTAGTCACATTTTAAGTGCACATAGTGACATGTGGCTAATGGCTACCCTATTGGACAGAATAAATTTTAGAACATTTCCATTCCTGCAGAAGGTGCTATTGGATGGCAATGATTTAGACTATCACTGGCTCACAGAACATTAGAGCAGGAGCTGTATTACTCAGTTATTAGATTGGGACACTGGGACCTGTAAAGCAACTAAGACTGGGATCACTTGAGTCTCAGTTCAATGATTTGATTCTTTGTTTACAGACTTCTTTCGGTTCATAGGCATGTAGATCCTCTTTAATAGTCCAAGATACCTAATATTAATATAATACAAATTATCCTTCCATGCCTCTGTCCTTCCATCCATCCATCCATCCATCCATCCATCCATCCATCCATCCATCCATCCATCCTTTCCTCCTCCCATCCCCCAGCACACTCTACTTTTCATTCTACCTGTACTGGTTACATTGACTGGGACTATCCCAGTCAATAAGACACAATTCCTGGTGAGAAGGAGATTATGTAAAACCTAATAGAGGACTTAGAAATATGATGATGCAATATGATTGGTGCTGTGGTTGAGGTCAGAGCCAAGTGCAGAGAGCCCAGAGGAGGTAAGATGAATCCTGGCTTGGGACAGGCATTACAAAGGAAATGACATTGAATTTGAGTGCTGAAGGATGAACAGGAGTTTATTAGGTAAGAAAGAAGAGAAGGCATCTAGGAAAAGGGAGCAACAGGAGCCAGAGTGTGAAGGCATGCAAGTGCACTGAGCCTGGGGACAGTGACAGTTCACTGTGGCCTCGGTGTGGCTGTGGGAGGGCTGGGGGTGTGGAAGCAATGCTAGGAGACAAGGTCTGGTCCATCTGTATGAGAACTTGTATGCCAGGCTGAGAGGTATGGGCTTTATCTAGCAGGCAATGGGAGCCTTTGGAAATAAATAAGAAGGAGAAGGATGTGAGTGGATCCGTGTTTTAAGATCAGTCTTTGGAGATGTAGGGAATGGACCAGGGGTACAATCAGTTCATCTCCCTGCATTTGTCCAACATGGAATCAAACTCCTGAATCTTGCGCAATAATGATGTTGTTACTTTCTTCTTGGAGTTATATCACAGTTAATTCCCTCCAGTTAAACATTGTAAGCATTTCTGTCTTACTTTTGCTCCTCCTCTTTCTGACTCATTACCCACAGGACTTCCCCATCAGCCTCCCGCTAAACCACACTTTCTCCAGCATCAGGTCACATGGGAGGTGGAAGGGAGTATGGGGGAGAGGCCAAGAAGCAGTCGCCACCACCATCGGAGCAACCCGAAGCATGTGTAGCCCTAATGCCTGTGTCCCTGGTGTCCTCTGTACAGCTCATTGAGAAACGCCGCTCCTGCTGTTTCCCAGACACAGGTGGATCCTGGGATGATGGAGGGCCATCCTCACTCCTGCCTGGAAGAGAGCTGAAGTCATCCACAGGGAAGAATGAGTCCTTCCTCAACTTGATTTTCTCCAAGAAAACTTAAGGAATGGAGCAGCGAGGAACTTAGAGAAACCGCTTACCCAGTGGAAGAAAATTAGGCTGTGTCCCCATCCCCTTCTCCTGAGGAGAGAATGCTTTGTTGGGCTAACAGTTATGTTGGACTAACAGCTATGACAATATGCAATTAATAGTAAGTTTCTTTGTAACAGATAATAGTCAAAACATCTTGAAGCCCATTCACAGAGACAACTTTGGGGGAAGCCTCGGCTGTCCACACACACATCGAACACTGTCATTAAGCCCTCCTGGAATGACAGTAGCTATAGTTCATTATCCCGGGTGGTGGTTGTGGGGGGTACTCTATTCTTTACATTTTCTTTGAGAAAAAAAATGTCTTTTAAAACTTAATTTGCAACACAACACAGTCACATAAATGGAAAAGGATGTGGCCTGATGATTCATGAAGGAACCCAAATGATGAGGGGCTGTGCTAATTTCTGACAACTGAGTGATTTATTTCAAAAGAAAGGCCCTGCACCCCCTAATTGGATACTTCCACTGGCTAGATGAGCATGAGTTTCTCAGCAGAATTTTACATAAATAAAATTAAGTCATATCTTTGTCTGTGGATAGACATGCTGAAACACATCTCTTAAAAACCCTATTTATTTTTATGAATAAAAATAAGCCCAGTCTTTTCATTTCAATCAACATCAAACATTGCAGTTACTGATTCAACATCTATTCTGTCTTCTTCCTTATGAAGGAATCATATTTTGTTTAGAGCAAACGTGCCTACTTAAAAATCTCACAGGAGTGGTCACTCACGCTTGTAATCTCAGCAATTTGGGAGGCCAAGATGGGAGGATAGCTTCAGGCCAGAAGTTTGAGACCAGCCTGGGCAACTTAGTCAAAACTCATCTCTACAAAAATTTTTTTTTAAAAATTAGCAGGACATGGTCACTCATGCCTGTAATCTCAGCAATTTCAGAGGCCAAGTTGGGAGAATAGCTTGAGGCCAGGAGTTTGAGACCAGCCTGGGCAATATAGAATGTGTCTCTACAAAAAAATAAAAAAAAATTAGCAGGGCGTGGTGACACACAACTGTAGTCTGAGCTACTTGGGAGGCTCTTGTGGGAGGATCGCTTCAGCCTGGGAGGCCAACGCTGCAGTGAGGCATGATTGCACCACTGCACTCCTGCCTGGGTGACAGAGTGAGACCCTGTCTCAAAACAAAAACAAAAGCAAAATCTGCTCCTTCCTTGCATGGATTTCTTTACCACAGGGGAGGCTAAGTTACTCTGTCCTGGCCAATGAGATGTAAGGACTTCTGAGTGGATTTCTAGAACTGATAGATACTGTTTTTTCCTGATAAGTGGGGGTGGACTTAGCTGACAAATGTGTTTTGTTCTTCATCTTTTTTCCTTCCTTCTGCTTCCTGCCTGGAATGCAGATGAGATACCCAGGGTGATGCAGGCACCTGGTAGCTCTTTGCTGGGGGCTGGGGACATAGGGGTGAACAAGGGGCTTTCTAGTGTCACTATGCTTACAGTCCAGTGGAGGATACAAATGTGCAAATGCAAAATCACAATTCAGCATCCTGAGCCCTAATAGGGAGAGAGAGGGATGTAAAATATGGGACCAGCTTGAACCATGAAAAAAACCTAAACCCCCAATTATATGAAAACTCCCAAATTATAAAGTCAATGACTACAGCAAGAACACCTCTCTCTTATCTAAATCTGTGGATGGGGAACCTAGGAAAACATAGGCAGCCTGTCAGCTATAACTTGGAACAAGCGTCAGGAGTGGAATGGTCCAAGTGTGGAGCAGCTGGATTTGCTTCTCTGAATTCCTAATCATGGTTCCAGCCTACATCACACCAGGCTGAGCTGGACTTGGATGTGATTCTAGGGAACACGTGAGCCTTGGCCCTCAGGAAATGTCTCTTTTTTTTTTTTTTTTTTTTTTTTTTTTTTGAGACGGAGTCTCGCTCTGTCGCCCAGGCTGGAGTGCAGTGGCGCGATCTCGGCTCACTGCAAGCTCCGCCTCCCGGGTTCACGCCATTCTCCTGCCTCAGCCTCCCAAGTAGCTGGGACTACAGGCGCCCGCCACTACGCCCGGCTAATTTTTTGTATTTTTAGTAGAGACGGGGTTTCACCGTTTTAGCCGGGATGGTCTCGATCTCCTGACCTCGTGATCCGCCCGCCTCGGCCTCCCAAAGTGCTGGGATTACAGGCGTGAGCCACCGCGCCCGGCCAGGAAATGTCTCTTTTGAGGATGACTGTACTGCCACTACTAACCTAGGAAAATGAGTGGATTTGACAGCTCAAATTGGTGGAAGAAACACTTGGACCAGCCTCAGGCACTGCTTGGGCACTTAGCCAGCTGAAACAGGCATGACTAATCACGAAGCTCATTTGGTGGCATAAAAGGGACAGTTCTATTGGGGTCAAGTGAGAGGCCTGGGGAGTATTCCCAGGCGTGTGCTTCCCAGAATCAAAGGCAAAATGATTTTTTAACAATGACAGGACGGGTGGCATGACCATTTCCAGTACTGTTGGCATATTTCTCCCTCCTAATCTTTATAATCCCAGGGGTGTTGGTAAAAACATTTAACCATCAGTGTGGTAATTGAACTGACCATTCAGAAGAGATGCTGGGTGTAACGTGGGATACGGTCTCGCCTGGGTGCACCTGATGATTTCCAAGTCTGTGCTGTCCTCTGGCTTCTTTCCAAAAGGCTCATGTGAAGTGTGCACCTCCCAGAGCACACTGCTCTGTGTGTGCTTCCAGAACAACACACACACATTTGCCTACTGAATGGTCGTAAACCAAGACAGACACACTGATGCCAGCAAGTGGTTTGGATGCTCTGTTCAAGAGGTGTTGTTCTGTGAAACACTAATCCTGCAAGACGGTGTGCTGGACCAAAAAAATCTGTTTCATGGTCAAATACATTTAGGGAAGTGCTTCATCTTCTGTTTACTTCTTGGCAATTTATAATGCACATTTATATACTAAGAGCTTTGAGAAGTCTTGCAAGAATGAAACCTATTTAATTTTGATATATAAGCATTTCCCACCTTTTCCCTTTTTTTAAAAAAAACCCTGGAATTTTCCTGCCTTCCTCCCATCCCCATAGACTCCCTGTCCATAAAACAAACTTTTGTGTTTGTTCTTGGACATATAAATAACAAAATAAAAATGATAAGACAAGATGTGAATGCACAGCAAAAGTACGTAATTATCTGTGTGTCAAGAATAAGTCTATTTTCATGTTGAACCTGAGATGGATATTTAAGGTACATATGAATTGCTGCCAATTTAGGCAGCAAGCAAATCTCAAGGCACTGTTCAGCTAGGGCTAGTGTTTTTGTGATCAATTTCTGAGGAATAAACCACCACAAGACTTAGTGGCATTAAATAACATTTATTACGCTTAAGATTTTGCAGGTCAGGAATTTGGACAGAGCTCAGAGGGAACAGCTCATCTCTGTTCCCTGATGACTGGGATGGCTCACATGGCTGGAGATGGATGGAACAGTTCAACTGGGGATATATATCTGAGGCTATGTTTCCAAATATCAGTTGGGTTTCTCAGTTTTTCTCCATGTCACGTCTGCTGGGGTTGCAATGTCCAAAGTGACTTTTTCGCTTCCATGTCTGGTGCCTTGGTTGCAACAGCTGGAGCAGCTTGGGCTAGCTGGTCATTGTTCTCCTTCCACAAGGCATCTCTGCTCATCTAGCTTGGGATTCCTCACAGGATGGCAGTCTCAGAGTAGTGAGACTTACATGTTGTTGGCTTCTCTCAGATTGAGTCTTCTAAGAGGCATGGCAGAAGCTACAAGACTTCTATAACCTAGCCTTGGAAGTTCTAGAATACCACTGCTTCTGAATTCTATGGATCAAGCAAGTGATGGCCAGCTCAGGCTCCAGGGGATGGAAAATGCTCCACTTTTTTGATGAAAGGAAAAGTAAAGAATTTGTGGTTGTCTTTAATCTACCACAGGCATCTCACTGGTCAGCTCTCTTAGACATCAGTCTCTTAGCCGAAATGTCAGTTGTGTCCCACCTGGCCTCAGATTTATCTTAAGCAATGCTTGGAAAAATTCTTTTAGCTCTGGATGCCACTCAGAAAACATAAAAGATTAATGACTGAACCCATCTAGACAAAACAATAATTTAAATGTCCATAAAACCACAGACTAGAATTACTATTGCATGTGGATCTAGCATTAATGCCTATCATCCTGTATGAGGGATGAACTGTTAGAACCTTTCTCCAGACTCCAGAAAGGGTCAGAAATGCCTCTGGTCTGGTCCTCTCTGATCTTTCTCTCAATATCCTGTTCTTATGTCCTCCACATCTCTATGATGCTCATTAGTTTCAGCTAGATCAGTCATATTTGGGCCTTTATATAAACTATCAAGAATACTCAGTTTCTGACTAGGATTGCTCTAAGATTTCTTTTCAGACACATACACATATTTAATTTTGAGAAAGTAATACAGAAGTTTACAGCTACTATTTGGTATCTGTAAACTTTAATGGCCAAAACTGCAATTACTTTTGCACCAACCTAATACATAACCAACAACCATATTCTCACTTCCCTAGAGTTTACAAATATCAACATGCTAATCTGTGTTCTACAAAGTTTATTGTTATTATTATTTATTTATTTTTTGAGACAGGGTCTCACTCTGTCGCCCAGGCTGGAGTTCAGTGGCGCGATCTCGGCTCACTGCAGCCTCTGTCTCCTGGGTTCAAGTGATTCTCCTGACTCAGCCTCCCGAGTAGCTGGGATTACAGGCATCAACCACTACGCCCAGCTAATTTTTTGTATTTTTAGTAGAGATGGGAGTTTCACCATGTTGGCCAGGCTGGTCTCAAACTCCTGACCTCAGGTGATCCACCTGCCTCGGCTTCCCGAAGTGCTGGGATTACAGGCGTAAGCCACCACCACACCCGGCCTGAAGTATTTTTTTATTGCATTTTTTCCCCCTACATCCCCAGAGGTAATCACCATCATGAATTTCATGGGTAGGATGATATTTTAAGTGTAGTGTTTTCGTCAACGATTTTATAGCTCTATTCTTCCCTGTTTCTAATTTACTGCTGCACAGATCAGCAACTGAAATTTAAGGAGGCTGACCGTCTCAAAATTCTCTCTGCTCTATTATTTGTGACTAGCTTTCCTCTCTCTATATGGTGTGCTACTGAGGGGATTATTATCCAGGCTTTGTGGAAGAGAACTATTTTTTTAGGAAGAGATACCCTGAAAATATTTCTCCGTCTGAGCAGAACCATTATCCCCACCATAAATATTATCTGCAAGTTGGTACTTAACTGTTTCTAGGCCACCACACCTGTAACCTTTGGGCTATAGTTACAGAAACCACAAGGCTTTGTCAGAAAAATGTGTAAATTCTCTGGCCTTTCCAGTATGTTGGTATCAATGTCATCTTGTTCCCACAGATGCAAAGACTGGCATGCAGCTCAGCACTCTGGTTGTGATTCTCAACTCTCTCAGACTTAACTCCTCTCTTTAAAAATACTGTAATGCTCCTTTTCATCAACTACATAGATAATACAACTTACCTTCATAAATAATTTAAAAAATAATGTAATGACCTGGCTACAATATAAAAGGGAGATAATCTTATAGTAAAATAACATTTTTCAACATGTAAATGCTTGGATACAATACCATAGTCAGATGATGGTACCTGTATGTCAGTCATCAGGAATGAATCAGCCATGGCCAGATGCAGTGGCTTACACCTGTAATCCCAGCACTTTGGGACGGTGAGGCAGGCGGATCACTTGAGGCCAGGATTTGAGACCAGCCTGGCCAACATGGTGAAACCCTGTCTCTACTAAAAATACAAAAATCAGCTGCGTGTGGTGGCGTACACCTGTAATCCCAGCTACTCAGGAGGCTGAGGCAGGAGAATCACTTGAACCTAGGAGGCAGAGTTTGCAGTGAGCCAAGATTGTGCCACTGCATTCCAGCCTGGGCAATAGAATGAGACTCTGTCTCAAAAACAAACAAACCAAAACAAAACAAAAAAAGGAACTCAGCAGCCATGAATGTAGGCTGATCTAGGTATAGTCATTAGCAGGGTGATTTTCTGAAATAATGAGCAATTTTTGGTAGAGTTTCATATAAAACAAAGTACAGATTTCTTAAAAGTTAAAGAATAACCATATGACCCAGCAATTACACTCCTAGGTATATAACCCCAAAGAATTGAAAACAGGTATCCAACCCAATACCCATCCATGAATGTTCATAGAACCACTATTTATAAGAGCCAAAATGTGGACACAACCGAAATGTCCATCAGTGGGTGAACGGATGAAGCAAATGTAGACTATATGTATAATGAAATATTATTCAGCCGTAAGAAGGAGTAATGTAGTGATACATGCTATAAACGTGGATGCACCTTGAAAACAGGCAAAGTGAAAGAAAGAGGACACAAAAGGTCTCATCCTGTATATTTCCACTTATATGAAACAAATATCCAAAATAGGTGAATCCACGGAGACAGTAGATTGAGGTTGCCAGGGGCTAGGTTGAGCAGGGAGCAGAAAGTGACTGCTTCATGGATGTGGGGTTCTCTTTTGGGGTGATGGAAATGTTTTGGAACTAGATGCAGTGGCGGCTGCACAATAATGTGAATGTGTATTTATGCCACTGAATTATTCGCTTTAAGATGGTTAATTTATATTATGTGAATGTCACTTCAATAAAAAACAAAGACTGGATGCGGTGGCTTAACGCCTGTAATCCCTGCAGTTTGGGAGGCCGAGGCGGGCAGATCACCTGAAGTCAGGAGTTCGAGACCAGCCTGGCCAACGTAGTGAAACCCCATCTCTACTAAAAATACAAAATTAGCCAGGCGTGGTGGTGCACGCCTGTAATCTCAGGTATTCAGGAACCTAAGACAGGAGAATCGCTTGAACCCGGGAGGCGGAGGTTGCAGTGAGCTGAGATCGCGCCACTGCACTCCAGCCTGGGCAAGACAAAGTGAGACTCCATCTCAAATAAACAAACAAAAAAGTTAATCTTCCCTAGATTTACAGATTAAGTGCATTTTCAGAATTCTGTGACTATTAAAACCGTGTAAAAAATGCTTGGTGTTTATATGCAAATCCAAGTTAGGATCTAGGCAAAGATAAATTATAAGCAGGTTTTTCCCTGGAGGGTTGTCTGGTGTGGGACATTCAAAAATCGGGCAGTATTTTGTCATGCGGGACAGTGCCTTTCCTTACAGAATGTCTGGATTCCCCATCCTCAAAACGAGCGCACACATTTCCAGCATGTGACCTGAGGGAGGTAAATTGGTGCCACATTCTGCACCCCTAACTACCCCGTCGCTATATGCAATGGCTATCTGCTGCCTCGATGTCCTGCTCCAGAACCGGGAAAAGAATCCACCGTGAGACCTCTGGGATGGTGTTAAAAACATTTAACTCTCTCCTCCTTTTAAAAGAGAAAGCCTGGTACATTATTCCCAGGTTGACAATCTCAGAGCTGTTAGCAGACATAGGCTCGGAGACGTCGTTACATTTCGTTTTGGTTTTCTAAGACACTAACGGCCAAAGCCACAGTGCTGAAATACGCTGTTTCTTTGGCTCTGTCTGTCTTTGGCTTTTGAGAGAGATGCTACTGCTAATGCTGTTTGGCTTGAACTGGCTGCATTGTCTTTTGGAAACCACTTTCTCTTTGCTTTTGCTTCTTCACTCCCCTGAATGCACCCTTCTTGCCAGGCCTACTCTGGTGTCAGCAACAAGGCAACCTACTGACAATTTCTCTGTCTGTTGATGTTCCTGTTTAACCAACAGACCCTTGGGGAAGAATTGCCAGGTGCCTAGAGAGCTGACCTTTAGACCTTCCAGAATGGAGTGGTAAGAGAGAGAGCTGCCTGAAACGTGACAGGTGTAACAGGTTAGGTCAGGGCGCACCCTTAGGAATCCACTCCTCTTTGGATCCTTTAAGACCTGTACAGGGTCAGTAGCTGCATCTACTGTGGGGTCCTGGAAAGGGCTGGGCAGAGGAGCTGTCTCTTGAGGGTGGAGGTCTTCTTTTGTTCTTTGGGGACCAGGCTAAGGGAATCCTGTGTGACAGAGGTGGTACAGGGCAAGAAGGGGAGGATGGAGAGAGAGGACCCTGATGCATCCCCAGGAGCCTGCCAGGGGAGCACGAGGGAGGCAACCGGAGAAGAATGCACCCAGGCATCTGTGAGTGATTTCCTCTGTCTGTCAAAGCCAATGCACTCCTCAGATGTTTTTACTCTGAGCCCAACTTTCTGCCTCTTGCCATCATTTTCTTCAGATGTTTACCAGGAGCTCGAGGCCAGCCACGTGGCAACAGCCTCATTTGTTTTTATTTAGTTCCTGTGAACGTAGGCTGTTTTGCACATAAAAAGAACCAAGTGGACATTAACTGCTAGCCACTCAATCGTCCCTGCGTACGTTCAAGCTTGGATGGTGCACATGTGTGCCATGTGGGAACAGACGGTGTTGGGTCCTGCTTCATTCATTTTGCATCATTCCACGTTCACCTGGCTCAAGCTTGCATGCTGGTACCTGGTCAGAGTCTCTCATGGGAAGACATCATAAGAGACCATCCTTTGGCTGCATGTCTGTGGGATTCCAAATTTTCTCTCACAGAAATAATTTTTCCAACCACACAGTGCCATTTTTCTAACTTTTCTATTATACTTTTAATGTATATTCTTCCCCAAAGCAATTGCCAAGTTAAAGGGCCTGAACTCTGTTACTGTATTTGCAAGTTCCTAGGTTACTCCCAAAAGATGCATTCAATACTCCTTGACCCCGGGGAGCTGGGACACCTCTTTCGTCACCATCATTCAATCATTCATCCAGTACAGGGATTTACTCAGCATCTATTGTGAGCAAATGCTGTGTCAGGAGCTGGGGGGTTCTGATCCCTGGCCTCATGGCACTCCCAGCTTTTGAGGTGGTTTCTCAAAATAAGGTTCCTGGATCACTACAATGGAATCACCTGGAGCAGGTACTTACTAAAAATGCAGATTCCTGCAACTCACCCAGTCTATTGAATCAGAATCCCTAGATCCAGAGCCCAGGAATCTGCACTTCCAATACAATTTCCTGATGCACATTAGGATTTGAGCACCATTGGGCTGATGGAATGACTCAAAGCTCCCTTGTGCTCAGGAGACAAGAGGGATTCAGAATGGGGTATGGGAGACTAGCTCGATGGTTCAGCTGGAGTGGGAAGAGGAGAGCTATGCAGGTCTTTTTGCCAGAATGTCCCCTCCTACAGGACACAGAAGAAGTCACCAAGCCCAGGGCAGGCTGTGACTAATCAGCAAACTGTGTGGATAATTTTTTGCTTCAGCTGAGCGGGTCCACCCACAGGCGGAGCAACCCAGGCCGCAGAGCAGGATAAGAGCATTTTCTAGTGTCAAGATCACTGTTCCAAATTAGTTGAGTGAAGCCAAGCAGCGCTGGGGAGGGGAACATGTGGCTTCGCTCAAGAAGGGAGCCGTGTGTGAGGTGCACGTGCCCACCCATTCTCCGTGTGCGATCTGACCAGACCAGCTGGCTGGTCCTGAGAGACTTTGATGTGAGTTGGGACGGAGAGAGAGGTGGCACCGGCAGAGGAAGATTAGGCTGCTCTGCCAAGTTAGGAAAATGTGTAGATTTCATCGCATGAGCCAAGGGAAGAGGACTTGGACCAGCTGTGTGGGAGTGGCTTGGGCATGCCGTCAAGCAGAACGGGCGGGGCTAATTGCGAGTTGTGGCCCTGGAACAGAGCAGATACAAACCTGCAGGTGTCAGGTGCATGGCCCCAAGAATTCTCCCAGGCTTGTGGCAGCCAGTGGCAAAAAACTGAGCTGTGCTTAGCTTGCTACAGATAGAGCTGACCCCTCAGATGATATACAACCTCAGAGACTTGATGGCTTCAATAGTGTCCATTCTGGGTCTCCTTTTCATGGTTCCTGAATTGACCAAATACATATGTCCAAGATTCTTTAGGCATTTTGGGTGCTGCTGTTGTGAGATGGTCCTGGGCTCACTGGCAGACTCAGCTTTGGTTTATTTCCCCATATGGAACAGCCTGCTTGAGGTCAAACAGCCTTGCACACTGCACCCCAAAGCAGGGTGTTCTGTTGCACTGCTCTTGGTAGATACCAATGTCCTCTTTGTATAGATCATAGCAAGCTGAATTTCTGATTTTGCTCAGACAGGCAATCAGCCCAGTATTCGTCTTCATTAAGGCCTGAGTCACCACACGAGGAATAGTTTAAGTTCTAGTTCAAAAATGCTCCATCTGTGGCTTTATTTCTCAAGAAAAATGAACATTACTTATTTGTTTTTCTGGCCTGACCCCCATGGTGCCTGATCATTTAAGAGCAAAATAGTTGACCCTAGTTGATGAAGCATAGGCATCGTCTTTGGATGCCAAGGTGACTTAGGGTTGAGCATTGAGGTGGAAGCATTAGGCTACTGTTCCAGGAGTGCAATTCCCCAGGACTCTTGTTCTGCACCGTGTGATTCGCTCTCATCATCTAATCAAGGGCATCTAATGTTTTCCAGCTACTGAGGTTGGGGTGGTTCGGGGGATTCGTGGAGCTATAGAAAGACCATGTCGGCATACGTGGAAGTATCTGTGACCTCATTTCTATGAACTCAAACTGCTTACCATCTGTGCTGGGAAGTAGAGGAGGTGCATGTGTATGTGTGTGTGCATGTGTTCATTGCATGCAATTCCCCAAAGAGCACAATTGTAATAATTAGTTAAAAAGTAGAGAGCTAAAATGAAAACAATCAGGAAAGAATATCTATTGATCAGCAGCAAAGCTGTATTTGGTGTCTGCTGGAAAAGAATCATTCATCATAAGCAATCAGAGAAGAGAAGAGAGGGCAGACGCTCCCCACCCTCACAGCGCGCACTGCTGCCTTTCACAGGAACACAGCTTCTCACGCAGAAAAATCTGTTTTCAGTTTGACTGAAAAACTGCCCCTTGAGTCATAAACGTCTCTATATTTGTTAGCCTCTTCACAGTTGACAAAGGATTTTGGCAAAGTTTTTTTTTTTTTTTTTTTTTGATCCTATCCACAGGGGTGGAATGATGAACCCAAGACCGCACAGCTAGAAAATGGCACCCTGGAAGCTGGATCGGGCTCTGATGATTCCACATTCAGCTCAGGGGCAGCTGCCTCTCTAAAGACCAAGGGTGTTACAATGGTGGAGAGGCTGTTGAATTCAGAGGAGGGGAGGTCTGTGTTTTTACATCTTGCCCTGCCATCTGCTCTAGGGAAGGTCTTAGCTTCATTTTACCTCCAGGATTTAGGACGATGACATGGATCTCCATCTCAGCAAGTAAAAAGTATCAAGCGGCTTTTCAAATTCTGTGAATAAAAGGATTGTGCAAATATTGAAACAACAAAAAATGCAGTTCTGGAATAGTTTTTATTTATTTATTTTTGAGATGGAGCCTTGCTTTGTTGCTCAGGCTGGAGTGCAGTACTGCAATCTCAGCTCACTGCAACCTCCGCCTCCCAGGTTCAAGTGATTCTCCTGCCTCGGTCTCCAGAGTAGCTGGGATTACAGGTGCCTGCCACCATGCCTGGCTAATTTTTGTATTTTCGGTAGAGATGGGGTGTCACCATGTTGGCCAGTCTGGTCTCGAACTCCTGACCTCAGGTGATCAGCCTGCCTCAGCCTCCCGAAGTGCTGGGATTACAGGCGTGAGCCACCATGCTTGGCCACTGGAATAGTTTTTAGATACAGCTCTTCATCTGACTTGTTGATCTCAGGAGCAATTCCGTTTTATCTCGTCCAAAGGTGGGTCACATTTACAATACTGTTAGCTGCACACAAAGAGGAATGAGACCCCGTTGAACAGCCAAAGCCAAGAATCAGTAGATTTGCTTTAGTGTGGATGGTTTATGCTTTATAGGAGTTACTGCCATCCTCCGAACACATGGGTCATCCTCATAATCATGGATGTTAATATTATTAATATGAAGCAAGAGCCTTTATAAAGTAGATACAATGTTTCATTGTTTAAATGCATTTATATTAAATGAATAAGTGATGTGCGTTACATCTAAACTGAAATATGCACGTCAACATCTGTACGTCAACTTGAACTTTTTCTTAATATTGTTATTAAGGGCTACAGACATATTCTTTTTCTATACTTCCATCAGGAATGCAGTCTTAATGTGTCATTACCTGCCTACTCTTGAGCTACATTACTGGGTTTCTATTTATATGCTTGTTCAGTCCCTATCATCTCTGGACCTAGGCGAACAGCTTATATTGCTAAGAAAATTACTTTGAGTGGGGCAGGCGCGGTGGCTCACGCCTGTAATCCCAGCACTTTGGGAGGCCAAGGCGGCGGATCACCTGAGATGAGAAGTTCGAGACCAGCCTGACCAACATGGAGAAACCCCGTCTCTACTAAAAATGTAAAATTAGCCTGGCATGGTAGGACATGCCTGTAATCCCAGCTACTCGGGAGGTTGAAGCAGGAGAATCCCTTGAACCCGCGAGGTGGAGGTTGCAGTGAGCCGAGATCATGCCATTGCACTCTAGCCTGGGCAATAAGAGTGAAACTCCGTCTCCAAAAAAAAAAAAAAAAAAATTTATGCCAAGTTTACATCAGTCATTTCCCTCATATTTCCCTAAATTTTCATATGCAGAACTGAACTGATTTAATGATACAGACCAAAGATGTGGGCACTTTTTTTTTCTTGCCTGTCTGCATTTACCATAGCGTACCTCAGAGGCAACTAACCATACAGGACGTAGAATACTTGACTGTATGTACAGTGTGGGAGCTGAACTTGGTAGTGCTGACTTCCCCACTGTTGCCACTGACAGTGAACTCCTCGGCGGGAGGAGCAGCACCCCTCTTCACATACAATCAGCACCAGCTGTAGTCCAATTAAACTCAACAGTGAACAGGTGTTCACAGTAATGACTTCCACACAAAAGCACACTTCCCTGTAATACTCTTACATCCGATACACTAACAGCCCCAATGAAAGGGTAAAGTAGAAAAGAAGACGGAATTCAGTGAAGGAAAAACAGCAACCCCCAAACTCCTCCACAATCAGTATCAGAAACCCCAATTAGCCTCAACATTTCACTGGTGTCCACAGGAGGGTGTTTTATCAGAACCTACTCAAATCAATTGTTCCCTAGAACTTCTTTGAACACATTTGGCAAAGTTTTTCAAATCCAGGCAGCTCAGTCACCCCGGTGCTGTTATTACCACTGTTTAGTGGCTTTCAGGAACATAACCCTGCTAGACACACTTGGGCAGAAATATTAATGAATCTCATGGAGATCCCAGAAATGCTCTTGACCCATTGCATTTTCCCCCAAATTCTTTTACATCTGGGGCCTATGAGCCATTGGAAATAGAGGAATGTAGGGAGCACTTGTTGAAGGTTAGTTATTACTTCTTCTCTATCCTAATTAAACAGTTATTGAACATCTACCACGTACCTTGCTGATATGGTTTGGCTGTGTCCCTACCCAAATCTCATTTTGAATTGTAGCTTCCATAATTCCCATGTGTCATGAGAGGGACCCAGTGGGAGACAATTGAATCATAGGGGTGGGTCTTTCCAATGCTGTTCTCATGATAGTGAATAAGTCTCATGAGATCTGATGGTTTTGCAAAGAGGAGTTCCCGTACACAAGTGCTCTTGCCTGCTGCCATGTAAGATGTGTCTTGCTTCCCCTTCACCTTCCACCATGATTTTGAGGCCTCCCCAGCCATGTGGAAGTGTGAGTCAATTAAACCTCTTTCCTTTATAAATTACCCAGTCAGGTATGTCTTTATTAGGAGTGTGAGAACAGACTAACACACTTGCCATGACATAGGATTGATAGTGGGAACTTTTCATGCTGGTACATCAACACTCCTTTAGAATTGGCTAACAGCTCAGGACCCAATTAGAATCACTCCCAGTGGCTCTTCCCAGGCTGGATAAATGGTGACTAATATTCAGGGGACTCTGGTAAATGAGGTGATGGCACTTTTTCTCCAGCATCCCTCACCCCTCAGCTTGGTGGCCACTAACACCGGTGGTACTGCTGGAGTTGGCACCTTTTTTGACTCTGCATCTTCAGGGATTTTTCTCCTCTGAGGAGAGTAGAGAAAAGGTATGAGTAGTTCCAGGCTGGGAAATTCAGAATTCTGCCTCCCAGTTCAGTCAGGGAATAAGGCAGCTTGTGGTGCACAAAGCCATTTTTTTCTTTTGTCAGGAGCAATTTGATAACTCACACCAGAAGGAAAGCTATGGAAAAACCAATCCCAGATGTGGAGAAAATACTGGTGAGGATGTCAATTGGTATAATCACAGTGGAAAACTAGTGAATTTCCAAAACTGAATCTGGACCAGTGACCAAATAATTCCATTCCCGTTTACAATCCCAACAGAAATTGTGGCAGCCAGACTCTAAGATGACCCCCTGTGATATCCACTTCCTGGCATTCATTCTCTTGTGTAATCCTGTACCTCTGAGGGTGGATGGGATCTGTGATTGTCTTCTAACATATAGAAGCAACTGTGATGGGATATACTTCTGTGATTGTGTTACATAAAATGCTCATTTCTGTTTTGCTAGCAGACTCTATTGTTTCTTGGCTTGCATGCTTTGATGCTGGAGAAGCCTACATGGCAGGGAAATGAGGATGGTTTGTCCATCTAGGAAATGAAGCCCCTAGTCCAACAGTCTTCCAAAAACTGAATTCTGCCAACAACTATGTGAGCCTGGACACAATCCTCCCCCAGTTGAGCCTTCAGATGAGATCCCAGTCATAGTTGACACCTGATTGCAGCCTTGTAAGAGACCCTAAAACAAAAGACCCAGCTAAGTGGCATTCGAACTCCTGACCCACAGAAACTGTGAGATAATAAATATGTACTGTTTTAAGTTTGTTGCAGCAACTGGCTTCACAGCAATAGATAACTAATACATAAATGCCTACGAATATGTGCCCAAAGACATGTATAAAAATTTCCATAGCAACATTCTTCATAATGCCAAAATAGAAAACAATTCAAAAGTCTGTGGGCAATAAGATGGATAAATAAATCTGTGGCATAATGGAACACTATAAAGCAACAAGGAAATAACCAACCCCAGCTACATGCAGCAACATGGGTGAGTCTCACAGACAAATAATTGAATTTAAAAAGCTTGACACAAAAGAGTACGTACTGTGTGATTCAATTTACATAAAGTTCTAAAACAGACAAAACTAATCTGTCACCCTGTTTTAAATTAGAATGGTGGTTACTTTTGCAGGAAGGTAGTGACAGGGAAAGGAAATAGGGAAGCTATTGAGATCCTAGTAAGAGTCCTGTTTCTTAATCTGGGAGCTGGTTACCGGGCTATTTTGCCCACTTTTGTGTAAGTGTAGGTTAAAAAAACACTACTCCAAATTCTTTTCTAGAAGGTTGATCTTTTCAGTGCAGGATGTGAATAGATGTGTGGTTAGGGGAGTGCTTTATCTTTGTAGACACAGTGTTATACATCAGGAGGGCTTTGCAAAACACTGATTTCAATTGCCTCATTTAACAGAGGAGAAAACTAAGGGTCAGAGAGGTAAAGTGAGTTGAGGAAGTCAAGCTTCCCATAATTGTCAGAGCTAAAACTGCAAAGCAGGTCTCTTACTTTAATGTAACTGGTTTGGATGTGAGGGCCATCTGGCTGTGGCCTGTCCTTCATGGTTCTCTAGGCTTGAGTCCCTTTCTTCACTATCCCATGAAATAGCTGTTGATGTTGCAAACTCAATTAAAGAAGGTTACTTTCCCAGATAGCTCAGTGCCCAACTCAGTATTGTGCTTTCAACTAGTCAATAACCAACAAGAAAGAGCTTCCTGGTACCCTTGTTTTTTTCGAGCTTCCACCCTGTTCTATTTCACTTGAACCCTCTTTGCTGTTGGCTTCCAGTCCTGCTTCTTGCACCATGGCCAGTGACCTTTCCCTGATCTATGCACCGTCTACTTCTCACCCAGTACAACTGAAACTTGATACCCTTCCCTGGCATTGAACTTGGCAACCCTTCTTGGCTTTGACTGGGATTCATCCCTCAGTGTGTACTTGCTGCCAGCAGCTCTGGGTTACAACCTTGAATGAGAGAACTGCAGGCATCTTGCTGGGTCGGCTGTGGCCCTAGAAAAAGAGGAGAGAAAGAGGGGAGAGAAATATTTTTTCAGTCAAGGATCTATAAATATCCAATCTTTTCTACTGAGACCTCCAAATAAGCTCTTACATTTCATTCTACAATAACATCAATTGGTGTAGACAGAGATGAGAGTAAGTCCCCTGCCCTTTCTCTTCTGTTCTTCTTCCTAGCTTTGCGAGCTTGATTAAAAATTTAACACAGTGGATGATGCCAGCCATACACAAGTGTACCTTAGAGATAAAATGTCCACCATGTCAGAAGAAAGCAGAGTACAGATCTGGCAGTAACTCTACTGATGGATGGCATCGGTGTGTCTAAAGGATGTGTCAATCAGAGAGAAAGCTGGTGAGCACAGAATTAAGACAGGACAGACCAAAGGAAGCCCATGACATGACTGTTCCAGCACTGATGGCTTCATCAGGCCCTAGTAGCCTGGTGACATTAAGCTTCCAACTCCTCTAACTAAATAACTCATGCTCTGATTCCAGACTCACCTAGGAGCTTTTTTATTGTAATTTGACCTCCTTAGTAGATTTTCTTCAGGGAGAAAAAAATGGTGAAGACAATAATTTCAATATTTGATCTCCTTGACAGTCACACACCTTCTTGTCAAGAGGTATTGCCACTTTGGTGAGTAGTTTTGGAGTTTTGTGATTTTAGTTCGCACAAGTCAGCCCTCCTAAGTTAGGCAAATCCTGGCACACTAAGAAGATTGAATTTTTGGACCTGTAAGTCTTCTGTCCAGACCTTGGACCGTGAAAAATTCATTAAGATAATGCCACTTTTGAATGTCTCTTGGTGGACAGCCAGCCAGCCATTTCCTGGCAATATTCAACATGGCTTTGGGCCTACTTTAAAAATCCTGATGGTATCTAACTGGCTTGAGAGGAAGGGAAAGAGGGAGCAGAGAGAAGAGGAGGTAAAATGGAGTAGTCCACTAAAATTGGCTTTCACTGAGGCTACAAGTGGAAATTAGGTCTTATTGAAAATGGACTACCTATGTGGTTTCTTAAACGAGAGTAGATGCCCTTCTGGGAATATGTGGCAACGTGCTCCAGTTGAGTAAAGATGTGGGATGAAACTCAGCACATCTTCTAAAGATTAACTTGTCCCATAGATTTGGGAAGATGGAGAAGTTAAAACATTAACAGTTACCCGGAGTGTTGCTAGGTAGTCAGGGACTATATTTTCAGCTACCCTTGCGTTTAAGTGGAGCCCTGTGACAAATTCTTTCTCATGGAATGTTGGGAGAATGGCTGTCAATTCTGGGCTTAAGTAATTAAGAGACCATCTTAACTGGCCTTTCCTCATCTGCTAGTTGAATGGGAAGGACGTACAGTCCCTGAAAGAGGGTGGAGTCAGAAGACCAAGGGGCCAGGCTATCCATGGACCAGCCACACTCACCTGGACTTTATGTTGTGAAAAATAAATGTCTAAAGTATCACTATTGAGCTTTTGAGCTTGATCTATCATAGCAGACGGCGCTACTCTAGTAGGACTTATAAGTAACTTAAATATTTCTACGTGAAAGCAAATAATTAATGATAGAATGCAAACTTTACATGAATTCTCAAGTTAAAACGGAGGTTTCAAAGACACATTTTGCTCAGGGTAGGCTGCTGGCATTATCCCTCTGTTCCCATAGAGTGGTCCATTCACTCTTCTCTGCTGTTGGGGAATGTGATGGCAAAGTTTGACAAGAGCCAGACAAATTCCTGTGGTGGGAGGATGAGAGCTACGGTTACCCTCTTGACTGGAGAGTCTGTGGTTAGCGCTCACTCATGGCAAGATGGAAAAAGGTGAAGGTAGACTTCCTGTAGGCATTCCCCAGCCCCCTACCACCAAACTCACAGGGGCTTCTTGTATCCTTCTACTGCACATCAGCGCCATATTCCCTGGCCTGCTTTTCAGGCAAAATTTTCACCATCTTTATCCCTCCAGAATGTCCGTCCCAGCTTACATTTCCTTAGGGGCCTGCTCTTTGTTGGGGATAATATATTCGAATAATTCAGGCTAAGAGGCAGGGATGGCAAATACATGGCACCCCTAGCATCCAGCCCCTTTCCACATCCGTGGCAGATATCAGTATTCCCCACAGTACTGCTTTCTGCTGAGCCAGCTGTGGCCTCAGGGTCTTTAGGACAGAACTCCAGGCGGCTCCGGTGAATCTATCAGGGCTGGCCGTTGAGTTGAATTCCATTTGCAATCCTGGATGACTGAGAGATCATAGTTGCTTCATTGGTTATCCCTCCCAGAAAACATTTGCTTTTCAACAAGGTTTTCATTACCCCATTAACCCAAAAGAGGAATCTGGAAATTTCCAGCACTCTGGCAGTTACAGTAGGAGAGAGATTTGAGGCAAGGGACCAAATTTTCCATTGCTCTTCAAATTACACCGCTAACCCGCTGCCTATTTCAATTCATTTCAATCCAACAGATATTTATTTCACTTACAGTAAAGCAGGTTTTGTCTAGAAAGTCACATCTAACACCATCACCAGCAAATTTTTATTGAGCACCTGCTGTGTACATGGCAACGAACTAGGTGCTCAGGTGTTTCTTCTGTGATTACGTTGACTTATAATCACCATATAGAGAAGCACTGTTCTTTCTCTCCCTCTCCCCTCTCCTTTCCTCTCTCCCTCTCTATTGCCCCAAGGGGAGCTGACTTCCAGGGGGAACCCTCTTGTTCTGCTGTCCAGGCCACCTGGGCTGCCATTCAGACCCCTCTCACTGCTCTTTCCCAAGATTGCTGAGTGGGGTGAGCATGCCACCCTTGTGCTGGCTTTCAGGGACAGGGTTTGCCTGCACTCTCCCCCTTCTCTGTGTTCCTAAGCTGAGGCATCCCAACGGGGCCACATTTCTCTCTGCAGGGACCCAGCAGTCTCTGCCAGTGGCCAATCACACTTTCTTGTCATGAACTTCTCCAGAGCTGCTCTCTGAAGTACCGCTGGGCAAAAAAAAAAAAAAAAAAAAAAAGCTTTTCCCCAGATATCCTCCATTTGTTTTTCTTTTGAGGGGAAGGGGCTTCAATGGCAGGATTTCTCTCCCACCCATCCATTCCAGTCGTGTTCTAGGCTGGCAAGGGCAGATCCATCCCTTACCCCCGGCAAAACGTGTCTAACTGGATGACTGTGGCTGCTCAGCAGAGCTGCAGCTATTCTGGCAGCTGCAGGAAAGCTGGGGGAGGGAAGCTGCCAGAACTCAGGCCTGGAGATGTACCCCCAAGCGATGGTCATGTGCATGGACCAGTTTTGAATACTTCCCACTTAAGCCTTGGAAGGAGCTAGGAAGGCGTGGCTAGGTGGGCAGAGGACAAAACACAGCTTCTCTTGTCTTGGGCTACCTGTTGGGTGTTTTCATATGGTTGGGCTATGAGGGAAACAGGGCTTTGGTGCCCATCATGCTAGCTGTGGGCACAGTGGGAAGGGTTGCAAATGTATGATTAGTTAATGTAAACTTGGATTTTGCAGAAAGCAGCCAAATCTGTGGAAGGGTGGCAGCTGCTGCATTGAACACATGCCCCAGGAAAGCCCTAAACTTGTGGAATCTGCATATTTTCCTCACCCCTGCCTAGAAGGGCAGCGCAGAGCAGTCATTACAGGACTTTCCTGGAGGCATCAGGAAGCCAGGGATGGTGATTTGTTTAGATTTGTCTGAGTAGTTGTGGGTTGCCAAATCACACAGACAGCTGCAGTCAGTTGCTTTCTTCTTGCTGTTCAATCCACGCCATGCATTTTATCAACCACATTTCTGCTCCACCCTGGATGTCTTGGGAAATCATCATAACTTAATGGAAAGGCAGAGCCTTGAATCTGCTCCCTTTCTGCAACATCGCTGCGTTTATTCAACTGTATCATTAGCTGGAAGATAATAACCAACCACAGCATCATCTTTTTCCAACTTTGGCATTTGTTTATTGAATCTTTGTAAAAGCACAATAGACTCTATGTGCCATTCTCTCCACTCTTCCTTCCAGAAGTAATGGTGATGACAGTGAGGAAGAGAAATCCAATTATGTAGAAACTGCGAATTTGGTGTGATGGAAATTCTGTGGGCAGCCTGGTTTTATCTGTGCAGAATTCCTTTAGATAAAAGCAAACCACTTTTTCCCCTGAATCAGGTTGGTTTTGGGGTGAGTTTCCAGGTAGGCTGGGGGGAAATCTGAGCACTCACCTTTGTTGCCATCTTTATGTTTTTCGTACAGAGTCAACCCACAATGATCATCTTACTAATTTTTTTTTTTTTTTTTTTGAGATGGAATCTCCCGCTGTCACCCAGGCTGGAGTACAGTGGCACAATCTGGGCTCACTGCAAGCTCCGCCTTCCAGGTTCAAGTGATTCTCATGGCTCAGCCTCCTGAGTAGCTGGGATTACAGATGCCTGCCACCACGCACAGCTAATTTTTGTATTTTTAGTAGAGGCGGGGTTTCACCATGTTGGCGAGGCTGGTCTTGAACTCCTGACCTCAGGTAATCCTCCCGCCTCGGCCTCCCAAAGTGCTGGGGTTGTAGGCATGAGCCACTGAGCCCGGCCTCTTACTATTTACAGAAGGCTGCAAAACTGGCACAGACTGGTACTTGGAAGTTAGGTTGTAGGAATGAATTTTATGGGCTTTCTCTTGTTTGACCACCAGTTTGGCTTAAATTGAATCATAGAATCTTATCATGAAGTGAAAACTTGGAAATAATCTTTTACTATCTTTCATTGTATAGATGAAGAAACTGAAGTAAAAAGAGAGCTTTACATTCTTAAAGATCCAGATCAATGGCAGCAATCTCCAGGTGTACCAGGTATAACCAGGTATCCAGGTGTATGGAATCTCCAGGTATACTGGGTCTCCAATAGTAAGAAATTAACAGCAATCACTAATAATAAAATAGAACACTTATAACAACATGCCAGCATTGCTTCTCTTGCACTTTGGGGCCATTACTAAGTAAAATAAGGGTTACTGGAACACAAACACTGCTGTACCATGACAGTCTATCCAATAACCAAGATGAGTCCTGAGTGACTGGCAGGTGGGGAGCATAGACAGCGTGGACCCGCTGGACAAATGAAGAATTCACATCCCAGGAAGGACAGAGTAGGACAGCAGATTTCATCACATTACTGAGAACAGCATGCAATTTAAACATTATGAATAGTTTATTTCTGGAATTTTCTGTGTAATATATTCGAATTGCAGTTGACCACAGTACTGTAGTAAGTAAAACCGTGAAGGAGGTAGGGATATTGTATTCGGCATTCCTTTACTTCCTTTGTAGATTGTTTCATCTTGTATCAGTCAGAGTGTGATCATAGAACCCTAGGAATGAGATAGAATAATAGGAAAATTAGATACAGAGGCTGGGTGCGGTGGCTCATGCCTGTAATCCCAGCACTTTGGGAGGTCGAGGTGGGTAGATCATGAGGTCAGGAGTTTGAGACCAGCCTGGCCAACATGGTGAAACCTCATCTCTACTAAAAATACAAAAATTAACTGGACGTGGGCGCACATACCTGTAGTCCCAGCTACTCAGGAGGCTGAGGCAGGAGAATTGCCTGAACCCAGGAGGTGGAAGTTCCAGTGAGTCGAGATCGTGCCACTGCACTCCAGCCTGGGTGACAGAGCAAGACTCCTGTCTCAGAAAAAATAAAAATAAAAAAATAAAAAAATAAAAAAATTAGATATAGAAAATGTCTTCTGTGGCCCCTGCTAATAAGAACTATGCAGGGAAGGGAATTCCGGGAAGTGTAGTTCCGGCTTAGGTAGTTGGCATAGCCTAAGTCCATCCATGCTCATTCAATGGTATTCCTACAAAGCTAGTTTTTTTTTCTTTTTTTTTTTTTTTGAGATGGAGTCTCACTCTGTTGCCCAGGCTGGAGTTCAGTGGCGCGATCTCGGCTCACTGCAAGCTCCTTCTCCTAGGTTCACACCATTCTCCTGCCTCAGTCTCCCGAGTAGCTGGGACTACAGGCGCCCGCCACCACGCCTGGCTACTTTTTTTTGTATTTTTAGTGGAGACGGGGTTTCACTGTGTTAGCCAGGATGGTCTCGATCTCCTGACCTCGTGATCTGCCCGCCTCGACCTCCCAACGTGCTGGGATTACAGGCGTGAGCCATCGCGCCCGGCCCAAAGCTAGTTTTTTAAAAAAAGTTATTTAATTTTATAAAAAGCATGTTATGCTGTATGGGTTCATTCAGGACTTACTTTTTAAAAACATTATATTTTTAGAATTTCTATATACTGTGGTGTACAGCTATAGCTCATTCCTGTTGACTGCTCTATTATGTTCCATTGTGTGAATATACCACAATTTATTCATCCACTCTCTTGTTGAAGGGAATCTGGGTTGTTTCCAGGCCTTGCTATTGTGAACAGTGTTCATATGAACACACTTTTCTTGTAGATGGCTCCAGGTGTTCATGGGCAAAAGTCTCTCATAAAGTTACACCAGGAGTAGAACTGCTGGCCAGAGGGTGGGTAGGACAGTCCTAGTTATGCCTGTTGTCTGAGAATAATGATATATTTTGCCTTTATCTTCTTGTCATCTGTAGCTTGTTTTTCACTTTCTTTTGACAAATAGGGGTTCTTAATTTTAGTATGGTCAAATTTATCAATTTTTTAAAATAGTTAACACTTTTTGAGTATTGTTTATGAAATTCTACTCTATCTCAAAGTCTAAAAGAGTTTTACTAAGAGTTTTAAAGTTGTTTTTTTTTTATAGTTAAGCACTCAATCCATCTGGAATGAATTTTGGTATATGGTATGATGTAGGGATCTAATTTCATGTTTTTCTGTAGGCATAACCTTTTTTATCCAGCTCAATTTATTTTCCCACCGGTCTGGCAGGCCTCTGTTATATATACTAGAGTTTCATGCATGTGGTTGTCTATTTCTGAGTGCTTTATTCTATTCTGTGGTCTGTTTGTCTGTCCCTGTGCCAATACCATCGTGTCTTAATTACTGTAGTTTCAGAAATAAAAAAGCATGTTATTAGGTGGGGCAAGTCTTTCCTCCACGCTCATCTTTTTGACAAAAGTTCTGCCTGTTTTTTTTTTTTCTTTTTATTATTTCATGTAAATTTAGAATCAGCTTATCAAGTTCCTCAAAAACACATGTTAGCATTTTGATTGGAGCTTTATTGAATTGCGGAGATGAACAGTACTATGTGATCATCTTATTCACAATGTGGTATACTCTTCAATGTATTTGGGTCATCTAACTGGCTATTAATAAAGTGTTATAATTCTCCCTATAGAGGGCTCCAGTGTATTTTTATATTTATTTCTAGATTCTTGGTATCCTTTGAAACTACTGTAAGTGTTGTCTTCTCTTTAGTTACATTTTCTGGTTGTTTATTCCAAGAGTACAGAAATGCAATTGCCTTTTGCTAAGCTTTCTTATTATTTCTAACAATTTGCTCATACATTCTTTTTGTTTTTTGGTGAAAACAGTTATTTTGTTTGAAAATAATGACTTTTATTTCTTTCTTTTCATCCCTTCTTTCTTTTTCTTCTGCTTTTGTGCTGGCTGGGGCTGTCAATATCGCACTGAATAGAAATGATAAGACTAGGCCATCTTACCTTATTTTTGACTTTTAAGGAAAGTATCCTAATGTTTTCCCATTTAGAATGGTGTTCTAAATTTACTTTTTATTTTTTGAGACATATTCTCACTCTGTCACAAGGCTAGATAGAGTTCAGTGGTGCCATCTTGGCTCACTGCAACCTCTGCCTCCCTGGTGCAAGCAATTCTCGTGCCTCAGCCTCCTGAGTAGCTGGGACTGTAGGCATGTGCCACCACGCCCGACTGATACTGGTATTTTTAGCAGAGATGGGGTTTTGCCATGTTGGCCATGTTGGTCTTGAACTCCTGGCCTCAAGTGATCCGCCTGCCTTGGCCTCCCAAAATGCTGGGATTACAGGCATGAGTCACTACACCTGGCCTTAAAGTTATTATTTTGTAGGTACTCTTTCTCAGACTAAGGAAGTTTCCTCTATTCTTAATTTGGAAAGAATTTTTTCTTCTGAAAAATTTTTATTGTGGTAAAAAATATATAACACAAATTTGCTATATTAACCACTTTGAAGTGTACAATTCAGTGGCATTAATCAATTGCCTTCACAATGTATGCAACCATAATCACTATCTCCAAAGCTTTTTTATCACCCCAAAAAGAAACTCTGTAACCATTAAGCAAGAACATCCTGTTCCCCTTTTCTCCGAGGCCCTGGTACCTCTATTCTACTTTCTGTCTTTATAAACTTGTCTACTCTAGATCTACCTTCCTTCTTTCTTTCTCTTTCTTTCTTCCTTCCTTCCTTCCTTCCTTCCTTCCTTCCTTCCTTCCTTCCTTCCTTTCTCTTTCTTTCTTTCTTTCTTTCTTTCTTTCTTTCTTTCTTTCTTTCTTCTTTTCTTTCCTTCTTTTTCTTTTCTTTCTTTCTCTCTTTCTTTCTCTCTCTCTCCTTCCTTCCTTTCTTCCTGTCTTTCCTTTTCTTTTTTTCCTCTCTCTCCCCCTCCCTCCCTCCCTTCCCCTCCCTCCCTCCCTCCCTCCCTCCCTTCCTTCCTTCCCTCCCTCCCTCCCTCCAACGGGGTCTCACTGTGTTGTCCAGACTGATCTCAAAGCCCTGCATGCATACGATTCTCCTCCCTTGGCCTCTGAAAGTTCTGGGATTATAGGTGTCAGCCACTGTGCCCAGCCTAGATATTTCATATAAGTGAAATCACATATTTGTCCTTTTGTGTCTGACTTCTTTCACCTAACATAATGTTTTCAAGGTTCATCCATGTTGTAGCATGTATCCAGATTTCACTCATTTTTATTGCTGAATAATATTCCATTATATGTATATACCACATTTTATTTATTCATTCATCTTCACCCATTCAACTTGGGTTGTTTCTACCTTTTGACTATTGTGAATAATTCTGCAGTAAGAAATTCTTTTTAAATTTTGAATTTGTATTGAATTTTATAAATGCTTTGTTTGCAGCTACTGGAATCATTATGTGTCTATATATTCTTTTAACCTGGGAGTGGGTGAATGACATTTTAAATCATGCAGAGTTTCAATCATTTTACTTCTCATGCACTTTTTCTCAGGAAGCTACTGGAAGATGTGCTCCACCAGACTGAGGTTGCAAACCAAGGACATGGGAGATAGTTAACAGAAGACCCAATAAAGGAGGGAAGAGAAGGGACTAGCCAGGACCATGGTGACAGCCATGCACCCAGAACCAAGGAGTTGAGGGCAACCTGGAGGAGTTAGGAGGACCTATGGGAGTTTTTCACTCAATAAGGTAACCTCGAAAGTCTCTCTATTGCATCCAAACATATTGAGAGATGGGGAGCCTGGGATTGGATTAATGGCAACAATATTGATAACAAGAAAGCAAAATAAGATAACTCCAGGCAAAACAAAATGTGTGCAGGCAAGGAAAACTAATCATAGGATAGTACGTGGCTTATCTGTAAATAGCATTTAGTCATAGATATAAATACAGAATATTAATCTATCTGAAAAATGTGATGTCATGTCTTAGGGACCTGTGGGGCAGGGGGAGTCCATGTGTGTGTGTTAGGGGTAAAGGGAGTTGGCAGGAGTGCTAAATCCTCATCTTCCCCAGCGGGAAGTTCGTAGATAGTACCTAAAACAGACCAATCAGGAATTAGACATACACGCATGTTATGTACTGATATGGACACAAATACTAACAAAAATTAATGGTAAGAATTAAAATTAGTTGCCTCTGGGGAAGGAAAATGGGGGCAGGGACTGCTATTTGTGGCAACAAGTCTTGTAGAACTATTTGACTTTTTAAAGTATGTGCTCATGTAACCTTGTTAAAAACTAAATTAAAGGGCTGGGTGTGGTGGCTCACGCCTGTTATCCCAGCACTTTGGGAGGCCGAGGTGGGCGGATCACGAGGTCAAGAGATTGAGACCATCCTGGCTGACAAGGTGAAACCCTGTCTCTACTAAAAATACAAAAATTAGCCGGGCGTGGTGGCGGGCGCCTGTAGTCCTAGCTACTTGGGAGACTGAGGCAGGAGAATGGCGTGAACCCGGGAGGCGGAGCTTGCAGTGAGCCAAGATCGCGCCACTGCACTCCGGCCTGGGCGATAGAGTGAGACTCCATCTCAAAAAAAAAAAAAAAAAAAAAAAAAGAGGAATTGAGTTGTGTTTCCCCCTTTGCTATTTTCTGGGCACAAGTCTTTTATCATGTGCATAATTTGAAAATATTTCTCCCATTCTGCAGATTGTCTTCTTACTTTCTTGATGATACCATTTATAGCACAAATATTTTTAATTTGGATGAATTCCAGTGTGTATATTTTTTCTTTTGTTGCTGTGCTTTTGAGGTGATATCTGAAAAACTATTGC
The DNA here is from genome assembly GCF_000001405.40 of Homo sapiens. NCBI lineage: Eukaryota > Metazoa > Chordata > Mammalia > Primates > Hominidae > Homo > Homo sapiens. The sequence goes on along the minus strand of NC_000002.12, from coordinate 205,842,139 downwards.
TCAATCCAAGGGTATGAATATTTACTCCTGTGTTTTCTTGCAAGAGTTTTATAGTTTTAAGTCTTACATTTAGATCTATGATCCACTTTCGAGTTAGTTTTTATGTGTGGTGTGTGCTATGGTTTGGATATTTGACTTCTCCAAATCTCATGTTGAAATCTGATTCTGATTCTCAAGGTTGGAGGTGGGGCTTAATTGGAGGTGTTTGGGTCGTGGGGGCAAATCTTTCATGAATGGCTTGGAGTCATCTTCAAGTAATGAGTTATTGCTTCATTATTTCCTGTGAGAGCTCGTTGTTTAAAAAACTCTGTCACCTCTCTCCTCTCTCCCTTGCCTCTGCTCTTGCCATGCAATTTCTACACGCTGTCTCCCCTTTGCCTACTGCTGTCAGTGGAAGCAGAGGCTCTCACCAGAAGCAGATGTTGGTGCCATGTTTCTTGTATAGTCTGTAGAACTGTGAGCCAAATAAGCCTTTTCTCTTTATAAATTCCCCAGCCTGAGGTATTCCTTTAGAGCAACACAAATGGACCAAGGCAGTCTGAGAAAGGGGGCCAAATTCATTCTTTTGTATGTGGATGTCCTTAGTACCGTTTGTTGTTGAAAAGACTGTTCTATCCCCATTTTATTGTCTTGGTACCCTTGTTGAAAATTAATTGACCATCAAGTAAGGTTTATTTCTCAACTTTCAATTCTATTCCATTGATTTCTATGTCCTTGTGCCAGTACTGTATTCTTGATTGCTATAGCTTTACAGTAAGTTTGAAATTTGAAGTGTGAGTCCTCCAAATTTATTCTTCTTTTTCAAGATTGTTTTGGCTATTATGTCTCTTGTACTTCCATATGAATTTTACAGTCAGCTTGTCAGTTCCCCTCAATCCCCCAAAAAAGCCAGCTGAAATTTTGCTAGGGATTGCATTGTGCCTATAGGTTAATTAGGGAGTATTGCCATTTTAAACTATTAAGTCTTTCAATCTATAAACATGAGCTGTCTTTCCATTTGTTTACATCTTTACTTTCTTTCAACAATGTTTTGTAGTTTTCAGTGTATAAGTCTTGTCCTTTTTATTCCTAAGTATTTCAATTTTTTGATGCTAATGTAAATGAAATTGTTTTCTTAATTTTATTTTTGGATTGTTCATTGTTACTGTATAGAACTACAACTGATATTTATATATTGACCTTATGTCCTACAACTTTGCTGAACTCCTTTATTAGTCTCATTTTTGTGTGAATTCTTTAGTTTTTTTCTAAATAAGAGATCATGTCATCTGTGGATGGAGAGAGTTTTACTTCTTCCTTTCCAATCTGGATGCTTTATATTTCTTATTCTTACCTAATTTCTCTGGCTACTCCAGTATAATATTGAATAGTAATGGTAAGAGTGGAAAACCTTGTCTTGTTCTTAGTCTCAAAGGGAAAGTAATCAATCTTTTATCATTAAATGTGATGTTAATTTGTTTTTTCATAGATGCCCTTTATTCTACTACTTGTTTGCTGAGTGTTTTATTGTTAAATAATATTGAACTAACACTACATCAATTAGGCTTTGGTACAATAACAGTGAATTATAGGTAAAAGGATGGTAAGCTCAGACTCTATTTACTAGGTAGTATTTAGAGAAATCCAAAGATAATAGGGGGACAGAATCAAAGACAAAGGAAATTTATCCTTTGACGCCTGCAGTTATAGCAAACAGTAAACACAGCCTTGCTCCTAGCATAAACGAAAACCTCACACTAAAGGCCTGTTTAGTGCTCAGTTCCTTTTACCCAGTATGTCATGTCTGGCTTTCAACAAAAAAAATTATAAAGCATGCTAAAAGACAAAAACACAGCCTGAAAAGAAAAAGTTAAGCATCAGAACCAAACCTAGGTATGGCAGATATTTTGAATTTATGAGACTGGGTATTAAAATAACTCATTCATATGCCAATAGCTCTCATAGAAAAGGTTGACAATATACAAGAGATAGAAACCCTAAGAACAAATCAAAAGAAAATGCTAGAAAGAAAAAACACCATAAAAGAAATGATGCCTGATATGGTTTGGCTCTGTGTCCTCACCCAAATCTCATCTTGTAGCTCCCATAATTCCCATGTGTTGTGGGAGGGACCTGGTGGGAGATAATTGAATCATGGGCTCAGGTCTTTCCTGTGCTATTCTCTTGATCGTGAAGAAGTCTCATGACATCTGATGGCTTTAAAAACGAGAGTTTGCCTGCAGAAGCTCTCTTTTTGCCTGCCGCCATCCACAAAAGATGTGACTTGCTCCTCCTTGCCTTCCACCATGATTGAGAAGCCTCCTCAGCCACATGGAACTGTGAGTCCAGTTAAACCTCTTTCTTTTGTAAATTGTCCAGTCTTGGGTATGTCTCTATCAGCAGTGTGAAAATGGACTAATACAATGCTTTTGGTGCATTAATCAGTAGACTGGACACGGCTGAGAAAAGAATCAGTGAGCTAGAAGACATGTCAATAGAAACTTTCCAAACTGAAAAAGCAAAGATAAAAATGAATGAAAAAATTAGAATGGACTATATAAGAACTATGGCACAATTACATAAGGTATAACATACCATTAACTTATAATTATTTTTATTTTTGTAAGGTCGGTAGTGATGCCTCTTTTTAAATCCTGATTTTAGTAATTATAATCTTCTCCCTTTTTCTTGGTATCTAAAGGCTTGTCAATTGTAGTGCTCTTTCAAATAACCGATATTTAGTTTTGTTGATTTTTTTCTATTCTCTATTTCATCTATTTCTGCTCTATTCTTTAGTATTTTCTGACTTCTGCTTGCTTTGGGTTTAGTTTTCTCTTCCTTTCCAGTTCTTTAATGTGAAAGACTAGGTTATTGATTTGAGATCTGCCCTCTTTTTTAACATAGACATGCATAGCTGTAAACTCATCTCTAAGCACTGCTGTAGATGCAACCCCCGTTTTGGAATGTTGTGTTTTAATTTTCATTCATTTCAAAGTATTTCCTTATTTCTCACATGATTTATTTTTTGAGCCATCGATTATTTAAGAGTGTGTATTTAACTTCCAAATATTCTTAAATTTTCCAAATTTACTGATGTTATTGGCTTCTAATTTAATTCCACTGTGGCTGGAAAACAATTTGTATAATTTCAACCCCCTTAAATTCACTGAGGTTTGATTTATGGCCTAGTATACGGTCTATCCTGGAGAATATTCCATGTGTGCTGGAGAAGGACATGTATTCTTCTGTTGTTGGGTGGTATATTCTTTAGATATCTTCTATATGCTTGGCAATTTTCTCTCTAGTTCCTGTATTCATTATTGAAATTGAGGTATTGAAGTCTTCAACTATTATTGAATTATCTTTCTTCCTTCAATTCTGTTAATGTTTGCTTCATGTGTTTTCAGTTTCTATTATTAGTTGCATATAGGCTTATAATTATTATATTTTTCTGATGGGTTGATAATTTTTAACATTATGAAATGTCTTTTTTAATCCCCAGTGACATTATTTATTTTAGTGTCTGTTTTGTCTGATATGAATATAGCAACTTCATTTCTTTTATGATTGCTGTTTGGATAGTATATTTATTTTCATTTTTTTTTTTTTACTTTCAACCATTTGTATATTTGAATCTAGCATATATTTTTTGTTGACATAATATATTTGGGTTTTGTTTTCTTATTCAGTCTGCAATCTCTGCCTTTTGATTGGATTGTATAATCCATTCGTATTTAGTGTTTCTATTGTGTGGTTGGATTTATGTCTGCCAATTTACTTCTTTTTTTGTATGTCTCCTTTTTTTGTTCTTCTGTTATTCCTTTGCTGTCTTCTTTTTCATTAAGTGAATATTTTCTAGCAGAAAATTTTAAGGCCTTTAATGATTTTTAAACTACATATTTTTTGAACTACATATTATTTGAACTATTTTCTTCATGGTTGCTCTAGGGCTTGAAAATACATCTTATCTTTTACTTATCCTTTTATAATTTTCAGAACTTAAATGGTATTTACCTGGGGAGAGGGTCTGTCTGCCACACTCCTCACATTGCCATTCCATAGTCAGTCCCTACCATATCAAACTTTTTAACCTGTTTCATGCAGCCACATCCAATTTTTGAACATCTTGGAAATAGTTTGAACTAATTTCTGTATAGAGAAAATACCAGAAAATACAAGTCAATTACTCTTCTACACAGCAGAGTTGCACTTTATCTCCTGCCAGCCACTTCAAACAAAAAATTTAGAACCTCAGCCAAAATGACATGGTGATGGATTGATCTGATGACTCCTTTGTGGTCACAGCTCTCCATTGTTACCTGTTCTTACATTCCGAGGCACACTCCTTTAGCTCTGCTTTGATTTTTGAAATGTATTTTAAAGAGCATTCTGTGCCTACTCCTAGTTCTGTGAGTGTTGAGAGGGCCTTTGTCCAATTGCACATAAGTTCAGATCTATGACAAAATTCACATGCAGGGAACAATTAGTGCATAATTAAGGACAAAAGCAGGCGGCAGTGTGTTGAAGTGCAGCAGAAATTCAGATAAGGGAGATGTTACCTTAGGTTGCAGGAGCTGGTGGAGGCCCCAGAGGGACTCAAGCAAAGCCCTAAAGGATTAGATCAGCAGTGGAAGGAGTAGGGGAGGGATAAGCACCTGCACCTGTAGGACCCCAGAGTTCTTTCTTCTTCCCTGGAGAAAATTAGTTTCCAATTAACATCCTTTGTTGACTTGATTGAAGATAAAGGAACACATTTCTTTCTTTCTTTTTTTTTTTTTTGAGACGGAGTCTCGCTCTGTCACCCAGGCTGGAGTGCAGTGGTGCGATCTCCGAGCTCACTGCAAGCTTCGCCTCCCAGGTTCACGCCATTCTTCTGCCTCAGCCTCCTGAGTAGTTGGGACTACAGGCACCCGCCACCACGCCTGGCTAATTTTGTTTTTGTATTTTTAGTAGAGACGGGGTTTCACTGTGTTAGCCAGGATGGTCTCGATCTCCTGACTTTGTGATCTGCCCGCCTCGGCCTCCTAAAGTGCTGGGATTACAGGCTTGAGCCACCGCACCCGGCCTAAGGAACACATTACTAAACTTTTCTGGTAGCTAGGTCATCCTTCAAAGGCAGTGGCTTATGTGATTTGCAGACCAACAACGCCAGCATCGCTTTGTTGTTAGAAATGCCAAGTTCTTGTTAAACATGTAAATGCTCAGACCTTATTCCAGACATATTAAATCAGAACCTTTTGGGGTGGGCCTGAGAATTTGTGTTTTACCAAGTTCACAAGTGGTTCTCAAGCATGCTAAAGATCAAGAACACTGTTCTCAAGTGTTTTACCTGCCCACGCTTTGCACCCAGGGCATATTTTGAGTGAAAGAGTCGAGACCTGCATCTAGAGGCCCCTAAGAATGGACTAAGGCTGGGCAGGTACTGATATCCAATTAGCACATTATGTAAATGGAAAACTGCATGACTGCACCCAGGCCAGCAGACTAGTTAAATAAGTAAATAGAAGGACGTCTGGCTCTCATCTCCCACAGCTGCCTCACATTTTTCAATCCAGGCACCGGGCAGCAGAAGCAGCGGGGGTGGGGTGGCTCCCTGGCATAAGGTAATCTGGCTATCTGGGGAGAAAGAGCAGCCATTTAAAATGCCCTCATGAAAATAACTCACCATCAGCAAGGTTATTACTCAGCGCTCATTCCCCTACCAGGAAGGCAGAACCATAACCAACACTCCCAGTCATCCTGTCAACCTAATTTCATACTCCCTCCCCTATTCTTTTTGTTAGCACTAGTTTGGGGAGAATTTTCCTGATTCACTGAACCTCCAAGCCTATAAATTATTGAATCTTTCTGTGCTCCCACTCCGGATAGGGTTTGGAGAGCATGATGAGAACCACTTGCATATTCTCAAACGAATATTGGTTTCTCAACAGCCTCTTTTAACACAATAATGCTAAGAGGGGCTTAGAGGGGGAGGGTCTCCAGGGGAGGTCAGGGTTCCTTTGAGAAAGGCCTGTCCAGATGGATGGGCTCGGCTTTCTAAAGCCCAGCAGTTTGGTTTCCAGTGGTGGTTGGATTCAGCTGCCAAAAACCCAAATTAGGAAAGGTTTTGTTGATAGCCCATAAGAGGACACTCTGGAAGATGGATTGAAGTTTATTGCCAACCCCGGACAATAAATAGACATATATACAACCCAGAGAAAAAGCGTGTGCAAATATATATGTGTAAATATATATATGTGTGTGTGTGTGTAAATATATATATGTGTGTGTAAATATATATATATATATTTATGTATGTATGTATGCTGTGTTTTACCAAAATAAATGTGTTTCTCACAGTCTTTGCCATGGACAAAATGATCAAAACCAGCTGCTCCGTGGAGTTCTTCATTGAAAGGAAGAGAGAGGTGGAGTTGGCAGTGAAGCGGGATCTGCAGACACACTTCAGCATCAAGCTGACTTATCACTCCTCTGGAAACGGTTAACATGCCTGGTCCAGCCACCCGTCATGTGGATGTGATGTGCCTCTCAGCAGTTCTGAAGATGACAGGTATTTACTTCACCCCCAAATCTGAGAGGCAAAGGGTCACATCACAGGGGAAGCTGGTTTGCTTCTGAGCCAGTTCATTTGCATTTCTCATTAATCCAGGCTAGACCCTTTTCCAAGTCTCCACCATAATCTATTCACAACAGTTCAAACATTTGACTTTGTTTTGGTTGAGTTTACTCTAATGTGGTTTCTGCATAGCCCTCTCTTTTATGGTAATCAAATGTTCTGCCAGCATTTCTTCTTCTATGTGCACCAGCTAAGGAAACCAGATGCTTTGGGTTGGTCTTTTCAATGTATCTGAGTGTTGTTTTTGTTTAGTATTTCAGAGGTTTGGCTAAAGAGCACTGTTTTGTAAATCTGACCCCTGATGCACCCCATTTCCCAACCTACTAATAGTTTTGGCTACTGCTCCCATCTTGATTTGAAACTGCTCCCCATCACTATGCAGATTATCGTGTGGAAAGACAAGCTCATTTAATTCATCTTGTTTGATTTGCTTAATTTTCTTTTTGACCATTTATTCCTTTCTGCAGTTTAAAGAGGGTGGATAGAGAAGCTGAACAGCTGACCCAGAACCACGCCCTCTATTGTCTCTCAACCAATCACAGACCTGAGTGGGATTGGTCTCTGATGTGTGGGGATTTTTCCCTCCTCACACTATCAGTGTGGGAAGGAAGCAGGCCAGTTCTCGTGGGAGTGTTGGTTTATAATGCAGACTGAAAGTGTTTCAGAAAAGTAACTTGGCATTGAATCAAACTAATAAGTGGAGCTGTTTGTCTGTATGGATTGAAGAAAGACTTTCTAGGGCCTCAAGACTGTGTGGGAAAGAGAAGAGAAGAGGGCTAAGGTGACTCTGTTAGAGGAAGCTGAGTGAAATATGGGGCTTGAAGTCAACATAGTAGAAGGATGCTTTACAAATGGGGTGATAGAAAAGGAAACAATCTGGGAACTTTAGCCCTCTCTGACCCTGGTTCTATCCTCTTGGTTGGTGGCTATGATTCTCTGCTTGGCTTTATGTCTGCTTGGCTTCTTACAGAAAATTGGAGGGGAAACTAAAAAAATCAATGACCTAATTCAGGAGTCAAAGAAAACCAAAGAAGATCAAGTGGTCCCCAAAGACTGGGCTTGGATACCTGAAAGAATATAGAGAGAAGCAGCATTTGAGATTACATATGGCGGTTAATAATGACTGAGCCACCGAAAACACAGAGGGAAAAGGGCTAGATTTATGCTAAACAAAATCAGTGGGATGAGGAGTTCTCCCTCCAAGGACTTTTGACGTTTGCTCCGAGACCTGGAATTTGAGGTTCTAAATGACACAGGGTGAGGAAAGCATAAAAGGGAACAAAGTTCAAAAAAAAGAATAGAGGTCAACAGTTAATGGGTTAAAGTTAGTTTAAGGTTATGAGTCTAAAATCCAGAGAAAAAGCACCAGACATTGGTTTTTCGAGAACAATAGCTACCACCACACACATACAAACCCAAATACAAATTTGAAATCTCTAGGGAAGAATGTTCAGCACAGAGTCTTGGCATTTATTCCAGATGTTCAAAAGACTGCACTTTCCCACTACAAGTTTGTGCCTTTGTGAAGTTTTGAAGTTTACTAACAAGGGGTGGTCCGTTTGAAATGGCCCCATACCACCACAGTAAGGAGTAAATACTTGTTAAATTTCAATTATGTGCCAGAACAATGTGGGGAAGCTGGGAGAAGAGAATAGTGGTAGGGACAAAACCCTTGTCCTCTAGAAATGGGCTAAACAGGAGATAAGGCAAGGAGGTGGGCATTTTTGGCAGAACAGCAAGCAAGGGTTGAGAATAAAAATGAGCAAATTCATGAAAAATGTTTCCATGTTTTAGCCCAAGCAGGATACTATATCTCAACTACAGGCTTTAGTTCTATAAATTATTGACTGCGTCTGGATCTTGTTATAATTTTCAAACATGCTTTTGAAAATCTAGGCACATGTGAATTAGACAGGGTTCCCTAGAGGGACAGATCTAATAGGATATATATAAAGGAGAGTTTATTAAGTAGTATTAACTCACACTATCATAAGGTCCCACAATAGGCTGTCTGCAAGCTGAGGAGCAAGGAAGTCAGTCCAAGTCCCAAAGCTGAAGAACTTGGAGTCCAATGTTCAAGGGCAGGAAGCATCCAGCATGGGAGAAAGGTGTAGGCTGGGAGGCTAGGCTAGTCTAGCTTTTTCATGTTTTACTGCCTGCTTTATATCCTGGCCATGCTGGCAGCTGATTAGATTGTGCCCACCCAGATTAAGGGTAGGTCTGCCTTTCCCAGCCCACTGACTCAAATAGTAATTTCCTCTGGCAACACCCTCACAGACACACCCAGAATCAATACTTTGCATCCTTCAATCCAATCAAGTTGACAGTATTAACAATCACAACATGTATTTTACTCATGGGCTGTAATGAATTTAGCAAAGGGAAAACTATCTTGCTTGAGATTTTTTTTTTTTAAATGAAACACATTCTCACTCTGTTACCTAGGCTGGAATGCGGTGGTGTGATCTCGGCTCACTGCAGCCTCTGCCTCCCAGGTTTAGGTGATTCTCCTGCCTCAGCCTTCTGAGTAGCTGGGATTACAGGCACCCACCACCATGCTTGGCTAATTTTTGTATTTTTAGTAGAGATGGGGTTTCACCATGTTGGCCAGGCTGGTCTTGAACTCCTGACCTCAAGTGATCTACCTGCCTTGGCCTCCCAAAGTGCTGAAATTACAAACCTGAGCCATCGTGCCCAGCAAGATGATTAATTTTCATAGCAAGCATATCAATAAGATCTAGATTAATGAGTTTTCCAACAATTATATATGTAGTGAGAGTTGGATATACAGCATGATTGAATGGATTGAAGATATTATATTTGACATTCTCTGAGTTTTTCAGGGGTTAGCTCAATGAGAAGACATAGATAAACTGGATTTCAACTACTGTGTCATTAAATGTTGTTCTTCCTTTTCTTCCTTTTTCATTTTCTACCATTCTGCTGTTGATTCTCCTCTACTGTTCATTTTAAAGATGTGCACACTAGCCTGTACATATATGCAAAGGTTGGTGGAAGGGCATGACCAGAAACAGAGATTTCTGCAAGAGGTGGAGAGGGTCAAAGTGATGCTCCCAGAAGGGGAATGTAGATGACTTGCAGGGGTGATGGATCCCTGGAAATGCAGGTGTTTGTAAGGAAATGATTTCAAGAGCCTAGCCAGGATGTGATATAATCAGACAATGCTGAGATTTTGAAGTAGGCTGAATGATGGTTTTGAAGTTCAAATTTTAGGGAGCTGAGCATCTTGGAATGCTGATAGAACTGCCAACAAGTTCAGAGAAGGAGGTTAGCTTTTTCTTTGCTTGTCTGTGTATGACGGCCGGACATTTATGCAGAGGTGTAGTAGTAGAATAATTGGAAAAATTGTCCCAATTATTTCCCTCTCTGAATCCATATTTCTTAAAATATGATTTTGCATCTCCTTCCATCAAGAGGAGTGCCTTCTTCCCCACCCCTTGAATCTGGGCTGGTTATATGTCTTGCTTTGGTCAATTAGAATTATGTGGTGGAAGTAACAGTGTTACAGTTCTGAGCCTTGCACAGGTGTGTTTACTCTTTTGTAACCCTGTCATCACCATATGAGCAAATCCCGGTGAGCCTGCTAGAGGGTGAGAAACCAGGTGAGCAGAGCCAGGTCATCCCAGTTGTCCCCTCTGAGTCCATCTGAGATCACCCAGTTCTTACCCACCCACCACGTGACATGGATGTGTGAACACACCCAGCTGAGATCAGTCAAGTTAGGCCCACATCACAAAACCATCCAGAGTATTCATACACTCATGAGCAATAAAAATCAGTGACTGTTTTAAATCACTGTGTTTTAAGATTGTTTGTTATGCATTATTATTATGGCAATGGATAACTGATACAGGTATCTTGGACAGAATTCACTTGCAGATCTAAAAGAGACAAACAGAAGCTGGAAATTGTACATAGAGTTGATAGGAAAACCACCTGATTACAAATCACTTATCGGAAATGCTATGTGGAGAAGAATTAGAAGACATGGTCACTGAGCAGGAAGAGACATGACTCTGCCAAGGTATTATTGGAAAGGTTGGAGGTGATCTACTATATGGAAGCATCTCTGAAGTCTAGACATAAATCATCACAGTTCTAGAAAAAGTGGAAGAGAAAACACACCTTTGTAAAAGGACTGGAACATAGGAAAGTGATTGAGTTTGAAACACCAACAAAACCATATAGGGTGACGGACAGAAACCAGATTATAAGGTGTTAAGGAGGGAGGAAGAAAAGACAAATCAAGGTTAGTATGATTTCCTATGCATTCTAGAGGAAAGATGTGGTAGTGTTGTAGGAATTCCTTCTTAATTCAGCTAAGAGCTTGATTCTTGTCACATGGCCATGAAATATTAGGCTCACAGACAGTTTGAAGGGTGAGAATAATGGAATTTATTGGACAAAAAGGAAAAAAGGGAAACAGGGACCCTCCACAAAGCCAGAGTCCTGCTAGTGGGCAGATTGAATTCCAGGCTCCACCTAGGAAGAGGAGGGGCCAGGCTCCTCCCCGCTGCAAACAGCACAAACTTCTGTGGCTCTACCCCCCTCAATGTGCACTCCTCCCAGTGCACAGGCCAGTTGGAGTTTTTGCAGGAACCCCTTTGCACTTGGCTGTCTCAGTAGGGACTCTGATAGATGGGAGAATGGAGGGAAGGCCTTTTCACTAGAGGGACCGACATGTTCTTAAACACAGAGAGGTCATACCAGACAGGAGAGAGATGACTTAGGGGAGGGGTGATGATACTGGGGCTACTAATGTCTACTTTATAATGATAAGACCATGAAGAGAGCATTTGACTTGAGGGCCTACAGCATTTGCAGATATTCATTAATTCTGTGAAATTCGTCTGTGAGATTTAGTTACACACTCTAAGTTGGGAGCAGTCTGAGCGCCAAAAATAATGTGGCTATCATATTATTTTACTCATGTTACAGATGAGTAACTTTAGATATCAAGTAGTTAAATAACTTGCCCAAAGTCAAACAGGAAGTCTGTTACTGAGTTGCTGAAAGATCCCAGTTCTACAAATAAACCTCTAGTCTACTAGCTTTTCACCAAATGAGTTAGAAGTCAGGTTAAGTCCATTTATTTTATGGATCCATTGACATAAGCAAAAAAAAAAATTATTTCTTATGAGAGGTTCTAAATATCTAAGATGGTGTTTACTTTTCCATCTTTTTATTTTATTTTATTTTTACTCTTTATACACCTTTACCTTATACACAGATATGTTTGGCTTCTCTCTGTGTTTTAAGATGGTACATGCTAGGTCTGGGTTGCAACATCCAGCTTTTCCTGATCTACATTGACTTTTTTTCTTTTTTTCAGATGGAGTTTTGCTGTGTCACCCAGGTTGGAGTACAGTGGCATGATTGCAGCTCACCACAACCTCTGCCTCCTGGGTTCATGTGATTCTCCTGCCTCAGCCTCCCAAGTAACTGGGATTAACAGGCACCCGCCACCATGCCCAGCTAATTTCTGTATTTTTAGTAGAGACGAGGGTTCACCATGTTGGCCAGGCTGGTCTTGAACACCTGACCTCAAGTGATCCACCCACCTCGGCCTTCCAAAGGGCTGGGATTACAGGTGTGAGCCACTGCATCTGGCCCACATTGACTTTTTATAGGCAATAGAAAACTCTTGAAGGCATTTATTAGGTTCCAGAGTTTAAAATTCTTAATGTTTCAGGGAAATCCCTTTGATCTGCTAGTGTCTAGGCTATGAAAGGTGATCGCCATTCTTGGGAAATACACCTAGATGAATTCACCTGTGAAGGTTATAATGATGCTTATCACTTTGAAGCTTAACTTTCTCCTGCAAGATCATCTCTCAGCTTTGCTAATTTCTTTCTCCTTGGTTGGTCCAAGGAAATTTGTCCACCACACCAGAGCTTTCAGACCTCCAAGTTCTCTATAGAATGAGAATTTGATGCTTTAAAAGTAGAACCTACCAATCAACTAGTCTGACACATGGAAAGGTAGTATTTTTTTTCTATTTTTTACTGCAGATTAAGAAAGCTAATGAATATTAATGGCAATGTGCAGTCACCTATGAAACGACCTTGCACATGAGATGCACTCTAGCTTCCAAGACAATTGGGAGAAATGCAAAACTGGGGAGAGTCAAAGTGCCAGACAAGAGAGAAGACAGAAGCTGGAAAAAGTGGACAGAAATTTGATAAGAAGGGAAAAGCAACTAGAAAAAGAGAGGAAATGGAAAATGTAGAAAGCAAATGGAGTGGAAACATATATCAGATATAAGTAGAAGGGAAACTGATTTTCGTATTTCAAAAGACTGAAAAGGTTGCATTTCATGCATGGGTGTGTATATATGTATGTGCGTGTACCTGAACAACTACACTTAATCTCAAGGGTTTGAAATATACCATGATGATATTAATTTAACTAATCCTCTCTGGCAACTGTGAAACAGATCTGCCAACTTCCTTTCCACTGGGGGAAACTGAGGCAGAGGAAACAATGCCTCACTCTAGGACATAAGTGAAGCTGGCAGAAGCCCTGGCAAAGTGATGCCAATCCTCCTTTTCCCATGGGGCCTGCCCAGAGGGGAAGACCATTTGAACTTGGCATTTTATAATAATTCATGGTATGTTATTTTCAGTTGTAATTGTCTTATGTCTAATTTTTATTTTTATTTTATTATTTATTTATTTATTTATTTTGAGAGGGAGTCTTGCTGTGTTGCCCAGGTTGGAAGGCAGTGGCATAATCTTGGCTCACTGTAGCCTCTGCCTCCTGGGTTCAAGCTATTCTCCTGCCTTAGCCTCCTGAGTAGCTGGAATTACAGGTGTGTGCCACCATGCTCAGCTAATTTTTGTATTTTTAGTAGAGACGGGTTCACCATGTTGGTCAGGCTGGTCATGAACTCCTGACCTCAAGTGATCCACCCGCTTCGGCCTCCCAGAGTGCTGGGATTACAGGGGTGAGCCACTGTGCCTGGCTTACATCTAATATTTTAATTAGCATTGTAATGTATCTTACTTGAACCCCAGAGGGCATCATTGAAAGAATCAAAAACCAAGAACCCAAAAACACACAGAATGAGTGAATGAAAATTAAAAATACTCCTGGGAGTTCCCGGCCTTCTGGCTTGTGTTCTAACCATTAGATGCTGCTGCCTTTCTCCAATCCCCTCCACATCTTCTTTTGCCCTGGGCTTCCTGGTTTCCATGTTGATTCTGGTTGCTTACAAGGTTGCTTTGCATTCCATCTCATCTATACAGCAAGGAGCAAGCACAGCTTTTGTTTCCTTTCTTTGGGGATCAGTTTCAAAGTTCCCTCCACAGCCCAAAGTGTGTTGCTGGTGTCTTTGTTGTAGGCCTCTGCTAGCCCCAGCCTGCTCCTCTCTCCCACCCCCACGATCTCCTGCCCTTTTCATCCTTTATTTGCAGTCCCCAGTCCGCTTCTTCCCCGCCATGCCTCTGCGGCCTTGCCTCTCTTTCAAGTCCACGTTCAGATCTTTTCATCACGTTGACTCAGCCTGAAAGGACGCCTATTTTTTCCCTCTCCTCGCTTAGATTTATAGCCCTTGTCAGGCCGTCCTGCCATGGCCTCTGACAGCCCCTGCCTTTCCTAACATCAGATTCATTGCTGTTCCTAAGGTCCTTTAAGATTTTAATGCTAAGTCTATAAATTTAGTTTTCTTTCTGCTTTAACCTTTCTTCAGACCTTCCCATTGTCTGATGGGATGTCCCCCAGGCGTTGATTTGCAGCTCTGTTCCTGCACTTTAGGAGCAAGTTGGCAGAGGAGGGGATTGGTTTGGAGGGACGGAAGGGAAAATGGGGAAACCAAAGGCTGAATTTAGATTTCCATCAGCTCCAACAATTCTTCAGGGTTTGATAGGAATTGACATTTTCCTTCAAAGCTGTGATTTGCTGAGGACTTGTGGTACCTTTACATTAAAATAGTATCTGAGAGTTAAAAAAAGTGAGGGTGGGGGGGAAGTTGCTGAGCCGATATTCAACCTCCCTTAATAAATGCATCTGAGCTTACATTTTTCCCTTCTGATGTGTCAGCTGGGGATTCTCTTCCATTTTCTACACACATGGGCACTGCTTAAATCATTCTGATTTCTCTCCCAGGCAGACTTCTGCCGAAGAAACTTTTCACACCTTAAGATAATAAAGCCCCCAGTTAGAAGGGTGGAAGTGGCAACCGGCTTGAAATTTCAGGAGAGAAGAGTAGGTCATTGCAGAGAAATAAAGAGCTTGCCAGCTCCAGGAAGCGCAATGAGTACATTGGAAGTATGATTTTTGAATTCATTTTGTCTTTCCTTGGCCTTGGAGGTGTTAACAGCACCGTTGGCCTAGCTTTTTCTTTTCCCTGGTTCAGGGCAGCTATAATAAGGAGCAAGGTTGGCAAAAGGAGTGGGAGAGAAAGGAAAGAAGTACTTTTGTGTCCAAATCACTTTGATTCTATTGCTTGTTGGATCTGAAATTTATTCAGGGTGACTGTAAAAGTTGAAGGAGCAAACCATTAATGGACCATTGAAATATGTAAGCAATACGTGGAAGTCTTGTTTCCCCAGGCCAGACTCAGATGAGGTCAAGGCTTTTGTCCTTTGATGGCATTTGTCTCTAGGAACCCATTCCCTTTTCTAGCTCGGATTCCAGGCATTGGAATCCTGGGGTCACTGATGCTTCACATGCTTTTACTTCAAGTTCTGGTGTAGGCTTCCACTGCTTTGATCTGAATTTTGTTCCTACTGGTGTTGTCCCTGTGTCTCTAGCTGTTGCTGTTGCCATTGTCCTCAAACCTCCTGCCAGGGTTCCTCTCTGCAGCCCCAGTCTTGAAAAAGTGGTTCCCCAAACCCCCACAAATAAGAGGTTAACACATTTTGAAAGCCGACTTTAGGTGATTTGACATTCAAATAAAGGCAGCTTAATATAGAATGTGGCAGAGACTGGCTAAGCAGTTCATTTTTTTTCTTGGGCACATGGCTAGATTGCATGTGTCAGTCTTCTTTGCAGCTATAAAATTTGCAACTGTATGACTGAGTTCTAGCCAATAGGATGGAGATAGAAGTGATGTCTGCTACTTCCAGGACTGGCCCATAAAATTCCTACACAATCTTCCATATCCTCTTTCTTCCCTTGACTAATGGTCAGTTTTAAAATCTGCCACGAACTATGGAGGGGAGAACTAGAGCATCTGAAAATGTCTTATCTGATAGTGAGGACTGCATAATTGTCTTGGAACCCATGCATTTCCTCTGCTAAGCATTAGAAAAGCCCAGGGAACTTCATAAACACTTACTTTGATCTGTGTTTTTTACAATATAATAAGAGTTACCTTGAGTGAATTGGGTCACATTACTTAGAAGAACATCCTTTGCTCTAGAAAATTATGAAAGCTTGTAGAAAAGCTAGGGAGGGATCCTTACCATCTAGGATTGAAGAATGAAGAGGTCTCCTGTGTAGGGGAAGAGCTGAGGTAGATTGTTTTAGAGTTCCCAATTCTTCCCCCTCCCTTTATCTTTGTCCTTTGCCATCCAACTTTGAAGCACCTTTTACCAGTAGTGGGGTATACTTCCTGCCCCTTGTCCTTCAGCTCAGCCATGTGACTTGCTTTGGCCAACAGGATGTTAGCAGACACTATGCAAGCCAAGGCTTTCAATGCATTTGTGTATTGGCCTTGCCCTCTGCTTCTGCTATCCCCATGAGAAGAATATGCCCTGTATTAGTCTGTTTTCATGCTGCTAATAAAGATATACCTGAGACTGAGTAATTTATAAAGAAAAAGAGGTTTAATGGACTCGCCATTCCACATGGCTAGGGAGGCTTCACAATCATGACAGAAGGCAAAAGAGGAGTAAAGTCACATCTTACATGGTGGCAGGCAAGAGAGCATGTGCAGGGGAACTTCCCTTTATGTATACTATCAGATCTCGTGAGACTTATGTGTTGTCATGAGAACAGCACAGGAAAGACCTGCCCCCATGATTCAATTACCTCTCATTGGGTCCTTCCCATGAGACATGGGAATTATGGGAGCTACAATTCAGTATGAGATTTGGGTGGGGACACAGCCAAATCATATCATGCCCTGTCTAGTCTACTGGTCTGAGGAAGATGAGAGACATGTGAGGCAGACCTGTATCCAATTTGTAGCCTCAAACCAAGCCCAGCCTAGCTCAGACTAGATCACCTTACCCCCAGTCAACCCACAGATTATGTGACTGAGAAATAGTTCTTAAAAAAAGCCGTTGCCCTTTTAAAACTTAAATTTAATTTAATTTTTATTTTATTTTTGAGACAGGTTCTCACTCTATTTCCCAGGCTGGAGTACAGTGACACAGTTTTGACTTACTGCAGCCTTGACCTCCCAGGCTCAAAAAATCCTTCCATCTCAGCCTCCTGAGTAGCTGGAAGCACAGGCGCATGCCACTATGGCCAAATAATTTCCCTCCCTCCCTCCCTTCCTTCCTTTCTCCTCTCTCTTTCTTTCTCTCCCTCTCTCTCTCTTTCCTCCCTCTCCCTTTCCCTTCCCCCTTTCCCCTTTCTCCTTCCCTCCCTCCCTCCCTCCCTCCCTCCCTCTTGTAGAGATGGGGTTTTGTAATATTGCCCAGGTTGGTTTCAAACTCCTGAGCTCAAGCAATCCTCCTGCCTTGGCTTCCCAAAGTGCTGGGATTACAGGCGGGAGCCACTGTGCCTGGCCCGAGTTTTTTTTTAAAATCGAGGTGCAATTAACATAAAAATTAGCATTTTAACCTTTTTAAGTGTACTATTCAGTGGCATTTAATGTATTCACAATGTTGTACAATTATCACCACTCCTAGTTCACTCCCAAAGGACACCCCATACCCATTGAGCAGTCATTTCCCAATGCTCCCACCCCAACCCCTGGCAACCAGTAATCTGCTTTCTGTCTCAAAGGACTTGCTTATCCTGGATATTTTACATACATGGAATCTTACTATATATGTCCTTTCATGTCATTTAGCATAAAAGTTTTGAGGTTCATCCATGTTGTAGCATGTAGTGCTTCATTCCTTTTTGTGCTTGAAAAATATTCCACTATATGGATTTATCACATTTTGTTACCAAATTGATGAACATTTGGGTTGTTTACACCTGTCTGCCATTGTGAATAGTGCTATTATAAATATTGCTGTACAGGTTTTGTTTGAACACCTGTTTTCAATTATTTTGGCTATATACCTTGAAGGGGAATTCCTGGGTAATATGGTAATCCTATATTTAATTTTTGAGGAGCTACCTAACTGTTTTCCATAGTGGATATACCCTTTTATATTCCTACCAGCAATGTAGGAAGGTTCCAGTTTCTCCACATCCTCACCAACACTTATTTTCTTTCTTTAAAAAAATTATTACAGTTATCCTAGTGGGTGTGAAATGGTATCTCACTGTGGTTTTGGTTTGCATTTTGCTAATGACTAATGATGTTGAACATCTTTTTCCAGTTCTTGTTGGCCATTTGTATATCTTTTTTGGAGAAACGTCTATTCAAGTAACTTGGCCAGTTTTAACTTTTTTGTTTGTTTGTTTATTTTAATTGTTGAAAGTTATTTATATATTCTGGATACTAGACTCATCAGATATATAATTTGCAAATATTCTTTCCCATTCTATGGATTGCTCTTTTATTTTGTTGATATTGTGTTTTTGATGCACAAAATGTTTAATTTTTTTTTTTTTTTCTGAGACGGAGTTTCACTCTGTCGCCTAGGCTGTAGTGCAGTGGGGTGATCTCAGTGCACTGCAACCTCCACCTCCTGGGTTCAAGCAATTCTCTGCTTCAGCCTCCTGAGTAGCTGGGATTACAGGCGCCCACCACCATGCCTGGCTAATTTTTGTATTTTTAGTAGAGACAGGGTTTCACCCTCTTGGCCAGGCTGGTCTTAAACTCCTGACCTCAGGTGATTCACCCACCTTGGCCTCCCAAAGTGCTGGGATTACAGGCGTGAGCCACCATGCCCTGCCAAAATGTTTAATTTTAATGAAGTCCAATTGATCTTTTTTTTTCCTTCTGTTGCTCACGCTTTTGGTGTCATATCTAGGAATCCAAGGTCTTGAAGATTTACCCCATGTTTTCTTTCTTTCTCTCTCTCTTTCTCTCGCTTTCTTTCATTGTTTCATTCTTTCATTCTTTCTTTCCAGAGTCTTACTGTGTCACACAGGTTGGAGTGCAGTGGCACAATCTTGGTTCACTGCAACCTCCACCTCCTGGTTCAAGTGATTCTCCTGCCTCAGCCTCCTGAGTAGCTGGGACTACCGGTGTGCACCACCATACCCGGCTAATTTTTGTATTTTTAGTAGAGATGGGGTTTCACCATATTGGCCAGGTTGATCTTGAACTCCTGGCCTCAAGCGATCCCCCCGCCTTGGCCTCCCAAAGTGCTGACGTTACAGGCATGAGCCATTGTGCCCAGCCAACCCTTATGTTTTCTCAAAAAGTTTTACAGTTCTATCTCTTACATGTTGGTTTTTGATTCATTTTGAGGTAATTTTTGTATGTAATAAGAGGCAAGGGCCTAAGTTGTTTTTTGTTGTTGTTGTTGTTGCATGTAAATATTTAGTTGTCCCAACAAAAGCCATTGAGTTTTGAGGTTGCCACACAGCTTTGTTGTGGCAATAGATAACTGACGCAAAGCTTACCTTTTCTACTTCACATCTCATGTACTCTCACTGCTGATATATACCATGTTCTGAGATGCTATGCTGAGTCAGCATTTTGGAGGCTCATTTTAAATGAGTAAGTAGGATGTGGTTGTCTTGAGAAAACCTCACATTCCTCCTGATTCATGTTATTAATTGGTCCTGGAGAAGAGCTGACTCCCAACCATTTTTCACTGTGATCCTCAGCTGGATACGGATAAGGTTTGGGAATGCTAAGAAAAGTAAGCTGATTAAAAGTCTCTTCACAAAAAAACTTCTCAACAACAATTCCTAGTATTAATGATAATTATTAGGATACAAAACATCTCTGTTAACTTTTATGCTGAGTTTGCAGCCTGTCTCTGGTCACTTCTCTTCTTCTCTGTACACAGCCCACTCAGGGCCCAGAACAGACGTGAAGGTGGTGGTGACAAGCTCTTCTGTGAAGGTGGTGACGAGCTGAAGCATCCTTCGCTTCCTGATCCACGACTAAATAAATTCAGGCACGATTCTTAATCATTTTGCACTTCAGTCTCCTCATCAGAAAAACGGAGCTAATAGTAGTACCTACCTCAAAGGGATGTTATGAATACTTAAGGAGTTGGTATTTGAAGCCTTTAGAATGGCACCTGGCACAGAGCACACACTATGTCGATGTTTGTTAACTAAGTTTAAAAACTCTTGCTGCACATGGGCAGGGGTTGGTGTTGGGGGTAGGTCACCTGAATTCAAGCGACTGACTTGACTTGAGCCTTGTTTCCTGACCGGGTCCTCTCTCTCTAAACCTTTTCTATAGCCTTCTTGACTGTTTCTCCAGGAGGTGTGGGAGCAGTTCTTTCCGTTGGGACCCTTTTGTGGACCCATCTGGGCTTAAGTTTGGACAGCCCTGTGAGGGTGGGGATCAGTGATATAGACAAGTCCTGTGGAATTTTGTCCCTGACTCTTCCCTTCCTCCTCCAGCTGAGCTTGAGGGGGCCAAGATGGCGGGTTCTTCCCCGTCAGCCTTTCACTGCAGCAGGGGTGAGCCTAGCAGGTGTTCGAATCACATCCGCGGATTGGTACATGGCACTGCTGTTCCCCTTAAGGTGTGAGTCAGATAGATCCTGGAGACCCTTTACCTGGGGTAAAAAGTTAGAAAAGGTTTTCATCGGTCATGGAATTAAGTCGTGGGTCTCTCCCAGCTTATTTATTATGTAGTCTGTTTGGAGACGTACATGGAAAGAAAACAAATGTTTCATCCCTAGTTTTTCCACCCCCCTCTTTTTATTGTCGAAGTTGAATACAGCTGCTGTACTTTTCTACTCCAGCACCGGTGTCTGATAAGGGCACAACTGATTTATGGTGGGAGAGCCTGGAGGTGAATTATTTATTCTCCTTATGTAAGAGATTAGCTATTTCTACTTTAATGGATTTTTGTTGTGGCGTGTTTATGTATTTTTAGATGGATTGAGAAGTCTTCTGACCTCTAATATCATACCACACAAAGCTATTTGCAAATCATATTAAATGGCTGACTTGAAACCAATGAAAGCAAAGAAATGAAGAGTTATAATACTGAGTCTGGGATCCAAGAGATTTTTCTTAATTTATACTCTTGTGTCCCAGAAGGAATACATGCGTGTACACATAGGATCATAGCCCAACAGACTGTATTAAGCTAGTCAGCACAGGGGTCCAGCTCTCTAGGGACAGTTTCCCAGCCCAGGCCAAAGTGTGGAGGGGAAGAAGCCTGGAAAATGGGGACTAGGACTGTTCAAGATGGCGAACTTCCAGGGCATCAACTTCAACCATAGCTCATGGCAGGCAAATAAGCGCCTCAGAGAGAAGACCAGGTTTTCTTTCCTTTCTCCTTGAAAAAAAGATGGTGCACGCTCTCTCTCTCTTTTTCATCTATGTTGAATAGACAATAAAAAGTTTTATGGTAAAAAGTTTTCCTTTTTACCCTGTTTCCCCTCACCCACTTCATTGGCCTAATTCTCCATTCCCTGCCATGACAATCATTCCTCTTAGTTTCCTCCATATCTTTCCAGAGTTTCTTAAGGTAAAACAAATAGAAGTATACATTTTTATTCCCTGCTTTTTTATACAGAATTTGAGATGTTTTGTACACTGTCCTTATGTGCCTTATTTTTTTAACTTAGCAATATATTTTGGAGATTTTCTTATGTAAGTACATAGAGGTCTTCCTCATTGAAAATTTGGTTCATCGCTGTATAATATTCCATTCTATGCTTATTACAAAGTTTATTTAGTGAGTTCCCTACTGGCAAACACTTGGCTTATTTTCATTTTGCCATTTCAAACAAGACTGCAATAAACAATCTTGTACATATTACATGTCACATGGGTGCAGAGTTAATCTGTAAAATAAACTCTCCAATGCAGCCTGCTGGGTTGAGAAGTCTAAGTGTTTGTAATTTAAAAAAAAATATATATATATATATTTTAAGGTGGAGTCTTGTTTTTTCACCCAGGTTGGAGTGCAGTGGTGTGATCTTGGCTCACTGCAACCTCTGCCTCCTGGGTTCATGCAGTTCTCCTGCCTCAGCCTCCTGAATAGCTGGGATTATAGGCATGCACCACCACACCTGGCTAATTTTTGTATTTTTAATAGAGACAGGGTTTCATCATGTTGTCCAGGCTGGTCTCAAACTCCTGGGCTCAAGTGATCTGCCCACCTTGGCTTCCCAACGTGCTGGGATTACAGGCGTGAGCCACCATGCCGAGCCATGCGTTTGTAATTTTGGTAGCTGTTTCCAAATTGCCTTCTGTAGGAGTTGTGCTTCATACACTCCCATCAGCAGTGCATGAGAGCGAGGCTATGCTCTCTCACTGTGTGTGTGTGTGTGTGTGTTTGTGTATGTGAGAGAGAGAGACAGAGAGAAGAGAGAGAGGAGGGGGTGGTTTAAATTTCCTTGCAAATTGTGATAGTATTTATTTTATTATTTGTAGTTGATAGTATTTAAATAAGAGGGAGGACAGGACAGAGGGAAATGGGAGAGGACCTTCTGGATGACCAGAATGTGAACAAGAAGCAACAGTGACTCTAGATAATGATAATAACCCCAATAGCTCATACTTACATAGCACTTACTAAGTACTTGGCACTAACTGCTATACTAACTGCTTTAACTTTTTCACTTATGAGATTAGACAGGGCTCATTTTCGTTGGATTTTCTTCTGATTCTTAAAAACAGGTATTGAGTATTTACCACATGCCAGATACTGCTAGGTGTTGGTTGATGTAATTTTGTTGACAGAAGTCCTGCCAAATGTCAACAAAAAGGGAATTTTGGAGGGAAGCTCTTACTCACCCCAACCAAGATTCTGTAGAAAATAACAACAGATTTGTAATTATACTCTTGTTTCTGGTCCTGTATCATGTTTCCTGAAGGATGTTTGCCTTAGAAGCTGCAATACAAGGCAAGGTGTGTGGTTGTCTCACCTGGTGATGCTGAAGCAGGGCAAGTCACGGTGGCTGCTTTACCACACACGTGTGCTGATGGTGTGCTTTGTTTCACATTTCTTGGTTTAATAATTATAGTTTGGGGTTGGAGGAGGTGGGAAGGGGGAGGGAGAACTTGATTAGGTGTGTGTGTGCTGTAACACTAAGCTAAGAAATAAATCCAGTTCAGCTACATATCAGATTTAGTCAATAGCTGGCAGTTATAATTAGTACATGCAATGTACTCTTGCAGAGGAATATTGAGAAGGCAAAAAATTCTGAATGCACATAATAAAAAATATCTTCGGCCAGGTGCGGTGGCTCATGCCTGTACTTTGGCTCATGCCCAGCACTTTGGGAGGCAGAAGTGGGCAGATCACGAGGTCAGGAGATTGAGACCATCCGGCTAATACGGTGAAACCCCGTGTCTACTAAAAATACAAAAAAATTGCTGGGCGTGGTGGCAGGCGCCTGTAGTTCCAGCTACTTGGGAGGCTGAGGCAGGAGAATGGCGTGAACCCGGGAGGCAGAGCTTGCAGTGAGCCGAGATCGCACCACTGCACTCCAGCCTGGGCGACAGAGCGAGATTCCGTCTTAAAAAAAAAAAAAAAATATCTATATCTATATCTATATCTATATCTATATCTATATATATCTATATCTATATATATATATCTATATATCTATATATATATCTATATATCTATATATCTATATATCTATATATATATATATCTCCTAGACCTTCAGGAAAATATACTGATGTTGAATGGCAAAAGTATCAGAGGCCAGAATTAATTAACTTTGAGAGCCAGTTCCTCCCATTCTTTCTGTAATCTTCAACGTTGCTCCAGAACCTGTTGTCCTTCCCTTCTGTCTCTGGCTTCTAAAGTTCATCCGTAGGTTTGAGGTAGGAGCTCACCTTCCCAGTCTCCTTTGCAGCTGCAATGCAGATATGTGACCTGGGCTCTACCACTCAGATATGCTGGTAGGAGCATAGGAACCTACTGTCTTGCTTCCTAATGCCAACCTGTCTTACGGGGCCAGGAGATGATTACTCTTTGTTCAGCTGATCGCTTTTCCTTACATTCCACACCATGGGGCCAGAATACCAAGTTACCCTTTTTTTTTTAGGATGAATTTGAGTAATGAAGGGGATTGTAGGGTGGGACAACTGTCGTTAGAGTCTTAGACACTGGAAGATAATTTTGGGGAGTTGTAGAAGCTAGGAAAAACACTCGCAGTAGAAGATCTGTCTTTTGTAGGTATCAATGCCATTTGGAAATAGAAAAATAGGGGACTTTAGTAAGGAAAATAATTTAAGGTAACTGAAGATTGTTTCCAAGTCAGAAGCAAGAATTGGGCTCTGACTCTAGAAATCTGGGATAATGCTGTTTTTGTCAAGGTGCATTCAGATAAATGTAAAATCATGGCAATTATTTCAAACAGTGGGGAATTTAATAGAGGGATTTGGATATAGGTATTATATATGGGAATAACTTGTCTGAGCTTAGAATCAGCTGCTCTCTTTAGACAGGACATGTCCTTTCCTGTGTGCCACAGGCCCTACCTGGCCCATTGACTTAGTAGTAGACTGGGCTGGTCTCTGAGTGTGGGATCATTATTATAGAAGAGTTTGTACTTGGAGAATCAAGACATGTTTCTTTGATTAATGTGTTTCACTTTTTTTTTTTTTTTAAATAGGTGAACTAGATTTTTGGTAACCATTGATGAGTGGCTCCCCTAATTTTTAGACCTATATTTGATACTCCTTAAGAACAAATCCAAGGTCCTCTCTGGTTCTCAGGCTATATTCTTCCCTAAGAAATCCCATTCACACAGTTATGTCAATTACGCAAGGACTCTTCATGACTTCAGCCCAGTCCTGGATTCTAAGTTCCAGATCCGTTAATATGCAACTGCCTCATGGATGCCCCAAAGGCAACTTATTTAACACATTTGAGACTGAACTTGCGATGTCCCTACAAAATCTGGTTTTCTTTCAACATTCTCTCAGGGATGGACACCACTGTCTATCCAGAGGCTCAAATGACAAACCCAGGAGTCGTCTACGACCCCATTGCATTTCCCCATATCCAATCTATTGCCAAATTCCCTCTATTTTTACCTCCTAGATATCTTCTGGATCTGTCCTTTTTTTCCTGTATCTCCACCCCTAATTCCCTTGTCTAAACTACCATCAACTCTTTCTTGAATTACTAAAACTGCCTCTGACCTAGTCTGTCTGCTCCTGTTTGATCCCCATAGACTGTAAGATCCTGGGGGTACTGGCCATGTCTGCCACTGTGCTAAGTATTGTGGGAAATATTTGCTGAGTGCACACAGCAAGCACTCAGAAAATGTTTCCCACAATACTTAGCACAGTGTTTTGCACATAGTAGGTGCTTAATAAATACTAGATATTTGTAAATACTAAATATTAATTGAGTAAATTAAGTTTCAAAATGGACTGATAATCAGTTTTCAAACCATCTAAAAGTACTAAAAAAGGTCTGTAACCCTCTATTTTTCATGGGCTATAAGGGAATACTTTTCAGGGTTTTTAGATGCAAGTGACAGAAGCTGAGTCTGGCTAATTTTGCAGAGAAAGTGTTTGTTAAAAAGAGTTTGTAAAATCATTTTAAGAGCTGGAGAACCAGGTAAGAGGTTAAACTTCCAGAAACATGCCTACGACTGTGCTGTCAAACTGGTTTGATGGGGAAGCTTCTGCTGCCACCATCACGACATTGACACTATAATTTGCTGTGTTCAACTTCTGCACCAGAAATCAGACTTGTTGCTTTCACCAGAGCATCTGATTAGTAGATTCCAGGTCACATGTCTGCCTTGCCCCTGCAAAGGAAACTAGGAAAGTGAGCTCCTCCCCAAACATAAGAAGCATACCTGAAAGTTGTCAGGCAGCCACCAACATGAGCAATGTCCTCCACAAATGGACATTCATAAAGTCTTCATGTGCTCCTAGCTCATAATTATGCCTCTGGGTACTGGCATGTGCACAGTAAATGGAGTTATGGAGATAAATGATAAGATAAATGAGTACTCTAAACTCTCCCTACCTTTGCAGCTGATTTTGCATTTCACCATTAGATGCTTTGGTTTAACCATCTAGAAAATTAATGTAATACCATCTTCCAAATGCTAAGAATCAGCAGTAATAGTAATGTATTTTGAGGTCCTTGGATAAAAAGCAGTCTAAAGATTCACTGTATCATTATTTAAAATAGATGATTTCTAATGAAAATGCTAAGTTCAAAGGGCTTGATGGCTTCTCAGGATGCAAAATGGGCAATGCCTGGTATATTAGCTTAATAAACCAGTCCCAGGGATGCTTGGCTGACTTTCCTTCCCACTCCTCTGTGGGCATTAGAAGGCAGAAATATGCAGGCTTGGTAATAGCTGTAATCAGTCACAACAAGTGAGCTTATTATATTGGCTGCTTGCACAGTCGGAGCCTTCCAAAGCTAATCACAGCCCTTTTGCAAAGTTCATTGGGTTGGACTTTCTAATACATCCTTATCCCAGCTATGTTGAGAGACAGAGAAACTGAAGATGAGGCCCCTGATAGCACCAATTACCCATGTGTTATACAGCGTGAGAGAATCACATGTGAAAAACACCAATCTCTTTCCTTTTAGTCGTGGGATCTGCAATATTTCCAGCAGGGTAGTATCAGCAATTGATTTCCTGTTACAGCTCTCCTTTTTTTTCTAGTTCTTTTTTCCCTTAAGTGCAGTAGACTTAGCTCTCTTCTTCCCTACTGCTGTCAGTCAGTTCTTTGTCACTGCCTTTTCTGCCAAAAAGGGCTAGCCCCAGCCTTTTAATCGCTCTTAGTCTCTTGCAAGCTGCTACTTCTTTCATGCATTGCTCTCCACCATGGAAACACCTTCATGGATCCTCATCCTCTCATTAGCCCTCCTTCTTTTGTCTCCCATTGATTTGTCAAGTCTCAGAACTCCTGCACACATAGTGAACTTCCAAGGATTTGCAAGATAAGGTCACGATGTGTCTATGTGTCTCTTCTGTTTCTGGTCTGCCGCAAACCTTTGTCACTTTCTCTTTTCCCTTTCCTCTCATCAGCTGGCACAGATGCTTCTGCCCTTCCTGTAATAGACCATGGTTCTGCAAACAAATGGACTCCCATAACATGGGCTCCCATAAGGTGCTTTACATGGAGTGTGGCAGGTTCTCTTTGTCGTTCAATAAAATGGGCCTGTGGAGAAACAAATGCATCAGGCCCCTGCATCATGTTGCACCGGTTGTGCCAAACTCAGCCTAGGGATAATTTAGACAATACACCTAAGCTAATTTGACGGCAAGCTTATTTGGAGGAAAAACGAAAAGCATTAGGAGTTCTTTTTTGGAGCAGTCATTAGATGCAGATTCTCAAAAAGGTTTTTCAGAGCTGAGTCTGGCCCCTGATCAGCCAGCGATTGACTATGACAAGAGAGGGAAAGGCACAAACATCTCCTCAGATGGCATATAAATTATAGTGGGGTGGCCATAGACTGAGAGGATGTTGGAGGGAGATTGAGTATTTTTTAAAATATCTTTTGTCAGCCCGATTTATTTTTGTCTTTCTTCATAAGACGTGAGAGTTTTGCATCAGCGCATCTAAATGAAATAATTTGCTAAAGGTCAAATGCAATTCCCTCCAGCCAGCTTTCATTTACCTTCTAATTAATAACTAAATGCTCACACATACATTAGCCCGAGTCTCATGCATAAAATAATAACTACCATTTATTGAACACCTATTACATCCCAGGCATTTTGCATGTATTACTCAAATTCTTACAACCCCACAAGGTAAGAATACCTCTTTAATAGAGGAGGAAAATGATGCTTAGAGAGGCTAAGTAATTTGCCCTTGGTCATGTAAATTACTGTCTAAAGCCAAATGCTCCATGCTTTTTCATGCCATGCTGTAAGGCAGCTGCTTCCTGCAAGGGTTGGATGCCTTGTGCCATCTATTGTTGCTGATGAATGGAGAAATGAGAGGTTGGTATAGCAGTATCTTACTTCCCAAGTCAAACACCTCTCCATGGGAGGAAGCTGTGTCACCCAGAGCTCCTATTCCTTGATGGTTGTCATGATATGTATTTGGGAGGGGGCAAAATGCTGTCTGGTACAGACTTCCTTTTCATTCAATTCCATTTCCTTCCCACATCCTCCCACATGAGGGAGAGGTTGCAATGGAATCAGAAGAACATACATAGAATGAGTAAGGCAGGTTTGGACATGCCTTACCTGGAGAGATGTGCAAGTGGGGCAAAACAGATTTGCAGCCAAATGGTGACTTCTTAAATCAAGCATAACAAATTGGCTTGAGGTTAATTATCAGCCCATTACTTCCAGCGAGAAGCAGGAAGAATAGAAAAGTAGGTAAAATGTGTTTCTGTGGCTTTCCAACCTTCCTCCTGTGTCCTGTTTCTATGTGTCCTAGACTCTGAAACTTTATAATAAATTAGTCATTATACAAATCCACTGCTTATTTTTCTCCCACATTACTTTTAGTATGAATTTGTGAACATCATTCAAACCTATTTTAATTTTCTTAATATTTTAAATTTGAATAAGCCAGGTAAGCTTTGAAACATTTATAGAGTGTTATTTGACAACATCACAGTTAAATGACAAAATCACTACACTGATTTCTCGGTTCTCCTTTCCATTATGCCTGTAATTTGGTAAATTTCCAGTAGGTGGCGCTTCGTTGCTACAGCTGCAGAGATCCGGGACAGTACCTGGAACATATTTAACGAGAGTAACTTCTCAAAAGTGAGGTGTGAATCACTTGCATTAAATTATCCAGGCCCTATTACCTTTACTTTGTTAAAACACAGATTCCTGAACCCCAACCCCATACCCAATGAATTTGACTATCTGGGATTAGGAATCTCCATTTTTAAAAGACTTCCTTGGTAATTCTGATGCAGATAAAGTTTTGAGAATCACTTGTTTTGAGAAAAACAGAAATGCAAATTAAAGATAACTATAGGGTGGCTCACTCCTGTAATCCCAGCACTTTCGGAGGCCGAGGTGGGCGGATCACCTGAGGTCAGGAATTCCAGACCAGCCTGGCCAACATGGTGAAACCCCGTCTCTACTAAAAATACAAAAATTAGCCAGGCATGGGTTGGCAGGTGCCTGTAATCCCAGCTACTTGGGAGGCTGGGGCAGGAGAATCGTTTGAACCTGGGAGGTGGAGGTTGTAGTGAGCCGAGATTGTGCCATTGCACTCCAGGCTGGGTGACAAGAGCGAGACTTAGTCCCCCCCCCCAAAAAAATCTAAATATAAAATAGTAAGAACAGTATAGAAAGTAATACTCAACGTAGAACAACATACAAAGAAATACTCTACCAAAAAATCTGTCTTCAGGTTAAGTTCTTTATCCCAGTAGACTTTGATTATTATCAATCATTGTTTAAAAGTAACTCTACTTTTCCTTTAAGTAAAGGTCCAGATTTTCAATTCCTGTTAATGTTGAAAATCCCCAATCCCTTGGTCTCTTCTTATAAGCTACTGGCAGACTTTCTCATCCTGCAGCTTTTTTTGGAAATCTTTAATACTTTGACCTTCTTGTAATGTCTTATCACCTGGCCAAGTTTCAGCTAATCTCTTTCCTAAGAAAGTATGACTTTATCAATTCCATAAAAGTCTCCAAATCACCTTTTTGCTTCCTGTATTTCATTGCTTTGAAAGAGGAAAGAGAAAAAAAATAAAAGATCGAATGGCAATTTGCATAAAATTAAGATTTTCTTCAATATGGAAAATGTCCTTTTGGCAACCAACCCACACTTTCCCTCTACAACTGGTTTCTCCAGATGTGGCAGAGGAAGTATTTTTGCTTAGATGGATGATTATTCTTCAACTAAATTAGCAACTACACAAATCCCAGCTGCTTTTATTTTCTTCTACACTACTTTGGGTATTGAATTTGCAAAAATCAGTCAAACTTCTTTTCTTTTTCTTAATATTTTAAATTTCAACAAGCCAAACAAGCTTTAAAGTATTTATTGAGTAGTTACTTGACAACATCACACAAACACATTTAAGCACTTCAAGGGCAATATATTAAGCTGATCTGCAAAATATTCCCTTTTATTGCATTCAAGTCATTTTGTTTTCACTTTCCAAGTCTTGATGAGGAAATCTGATATTGGTTTGGTTTCATCTTTGGCTCCTGCCTCCTGGGAATAGGATTTCTAGCAATTATCACAAAGTGTCATTAGAATAAAAAACATTTGAATATTTTATTGGTGAGCTGCAGGGAGAGGTTGAATTGTCATAATGAGATATTACTTGCATAACATGGCTATTAAGGATTAAGGGTGTTTATCAATTGACTGATGAATCATTCATTCATTCATTTGCCATTTCAACAAACATATATTAAAGACCCATCTTGTGCCTTGTAGTGTTTTTTGGTTCTGAGACAGAAAGATCTGAAATTGGCTTTCTCATCAAAGTAGACACCACAATTTGGTAGAAGATAAATGCAGGACAAGATAGATAGTACAGATATGTGTACAGTACTCTTGTATAGATACTTGTTCTTGGTGTCTTAGACAACTTAGAAGGGGGAAAGTTCCCAGGGAATGTTGGGGTTTAATTCCACCTTCATACAATTTCTACGGCCAATTTGAGCCAAGGCCTGGAGTCTTTTCCTCAGCCCAGGAATGTGAACATCTGCCTCTGATCTTGATCTTCTGTGACTCTAGATTATTTTCTTGACTTATCTGTACTCTTGGAAGTAATTCCTCCCTCACTCTTCTTAACTGCCTCAGCCTCTTGCATCACTTGGAGATCTTGTGGGTAAGTCCCTAGGAAATTGTTTCCAAGAGCTGTCAAGTTGCCATCATCTTAGAAATGTTGTTTCCAAAGAATAGAGAATTCAGGGCCATACTGAACACTAATGCAGGCCTCAAGCAATGGTGAGCCTAGCATTCATCTGACTTGATGGCACAAAAGAATTCATAGCCATATTTACCAAAATAAAAATCTGCAGCCCTTACTTCTAAATTATCCCCATTGTGTTCTGGAGGGTAGAAGATTTTGTTGAGTGGAACGGCTAAGATGATGTACTACATTTTAGCCAATGATCTTTACTATATGGATCATTTACTTGAAAAGCGAGGCTTCTCTTCTTTGTGATTAACGGTTGAGAGTATGGTCTTTGGCGCTAGAATGTCTGTGTTCAAATCTGGCTCCTTCCTTTACTTACAGGGCAGTGTTTGGCAAGTTACTTCTCCTTTTTGGACTTCTCCTGATCTATAGAATGCAAAAAGCAGTAGAATCTGCCTTGCAGGAATCGTGAGGATTAAATGAATAATTCATTTAATACATTGTAGGTACTCAATACATGCAAACTATTATTGATTTGATTATTTGTGGTTCAGGAGTGATATGGTTTGGCTCTGTGTCCCCACCCAAATCTCATGTTGAATTGTGATCCCAAGTGTTTGAGGTGGGGCCTGGTGGGAGGTGATTGGATCATGGGGGTGGCTTCTAATGGCTTAGTACCATCCCCTGAATGCTTTCTTGTAATAGAGTCCTCACGAGATCTGGTTGTTTTAAAATGTGTGGCACCTCCTACTTCTCTCTGTCTTCCTCCTGCTCCCACCACGTAAGACATACTGGTTTTCCCTTCGCCTTCCCCCATGATTGTAAGTTTCCTAAGGCCTCCCCATCCATTGCCTCCTATACAGCCTGCGCAACTGTGAGTCAATTAATCTCTCTCTCTTTTTTTTTTTTTTTAATAAATTACCCAGTCTCGGGTAGTTCTTTATAGCGGTGTGAGAACACACTAATACAAGGTGCCTCCCATTTCTCTGAGTGGCACCATTGTGGAGACACACAAGTGGGTCTTGTCAAACTGGAAGCACCTTGTTATTTCTGATTATTACTGTTACTGTGGATGCATTCATCTAACCCACTCTTTTAATGAGATTTAGAGTCTCTCTGCTCAGAAGAGTAGCACTTATTAACCTATAGGGCAGCTGTGAAAATAAGCAGTAGCCCATATGCCCGAGGCCTACTGAAGTTCACAGGGGTGAGAGGAACCTGATAGAGATCACAGAGTGAGAAAACATTTTCTGTTTTATTTGGCTTCATAGAAATCTATGTCCAGTGGCAAGCAAGTGACTGGGTGAGAAAGAGGATAGCTGTTGCTTCAGTTATTATAATCAGATGCTTCTGTTCTCATAGCTTCTTCCCATGCACAGGACCTCCACATAGCAACATGTAATCACTGATAAATGTGAATGGGATTCCACGTGTTGCTTAGGGTCTGCATGGGGTTTTGTGGAGCCCTGAGGACTTTTTTAAATTATTTAAATTTTTGAATAGGTAATTCATTTACATGATTCAAATATTGACAAATATAAATAGGTATACAGTGGAAATTCTCCTCCCTCTTTTGTCCTCCTTCCTCGTAGTTCTCAGCCCCCCTGCCCATAGGAAAACCGTACTTATTTCTTACTTAACATTTTAGGTTTACTGCAATGGAAACATACCGGCAGGACTGACTGCGTGGGAGTGTGGAAGATACACAGGGCTCTGAGTGCAGGAGGGTGGTGCAGTTGATTTCATGCTTTGCTGTCACTGGCTTGAAATTCTTAATAATTTTGAACCCTATAATTTCATTTCACACTGGACTCTGCAAATTACAAATTACATATCCTGCATATTAGGCATGGTTCTTCACCTTGATTTTTTGTTTAACTGTATGTCTTAAAGATCTTTTCATATTTATACATAAAGAACTTTCTCCTTTTCTTTGTAGCTGTCCAGTAGTTTATCCTTGAGAATTTAAAAACCATATACATGGTCACCCAATAGGAACTCCTTTAGGGATGTGTGTCCCAATTTTCCAGCTCTGATGCTTCCAAACTTGGGAGAGAGAAAAAAAAATGGAGGGAAGTACCAGGAAATCTTTCCTCTGGCTGAATCCCTCATTCCCCGCTGCCTAGTTTTGGAAGCCTTTGGAAGCAATGCTCATTTCTTTACCAGCTAACTGCTGACCATGTCCCTACTGTCCATTGCTCTTTTCCACCATCCCCACCCTATTCCACCTGTCAGCCACCCCATTATTAAAATGCTTGGCAAGCAATCACCTGAGCTCCATTAGTCACAGCAGGCTACTTCTGTCTTTGCTTCAATCTGGAGGAAAATACTTTGGGCTGAATGAAACCATGGCCTCCAGAGACCCACCTTAAAAACTCCTCTTCCATTCCTTCTTTATTAGTACTCACCATCATTTATGGATAAATATATGGTCAGGGCTCAACCATGTGGCTGCTTTTGAGAAGGTAGCCAAGGCTGTCTCTGCTAAGGGATCTCACACTGTTAGAAGGCACCAAGTGGTGTTCTGAAACCTGTAACTCATTTTGAAGTAGCCAACAGCTCTGGCTCCATTGCAGATCTAGTGTCATACGGGACTGCTCACTCATTCAAGATAGTCCCGAGTTTAGAAAGTGCACTGCGCCATAGCTGTTCTGAGCAGTGTTCTTTTGAAAAGGACAGACCATAAAGTTCACATTCACTGAGAGGCTAGTGCTGTGGCCCTTGCACATGAGCACATGCCCTGCCCCTCCCTGCTGATTGTGGCTTGGGTTTGAGGACATGGATGCAGGATATTTGTGCCAAACTATGTTGTAAGCATCAGCAGTGATGGCAGCCCTCCTGCTGAGCTGAGTGAGATGCTGGCAGCCGAGGGCAGGCAGCCGTCACCAGACCTGGCATGTCCAACAGCTGGATCATGCCCCCAGTGTCGAGCATTCATGTGGCACAGACACAAGCATGCAAACAGTGGAGCAGAGTGAATGGAGAGAAGATTCACAGCCTCGCTATGTTCTCACTTCTGTTCCTTACCAGGCAAGGCAAGAGTAACCACAAATCACCCAATGGCTGCTCCCTGTTTCAATCAAGCCATGCCCTCGGCACCTGAAAGGAAGATTAACTAGATGCTAAAAATGCACTTTTGGAGTCCATTTCCACTGCCAGGAAAAGCTTCCAGGTATCTGCTACCCCTCAGGGAGAAAACAGGCTACAATTCCAATTAAACACCATATTGAGTACTTTGGTCTCAGTATACTCCACTTGTTTAGTTTATTTGAATATTTGATAAGAGAAGTGCTGGGGTGGCAAGAAAATTAATTAAAATAAGAAAGAACAATCTTAAGAGAGAAAGGGGACAAAAAAAACTAAGAAGCTACAGACAGCTTCTCCCCACACCTGCCAGCAATGAATTAATCACTAATCCATTCATTATTTCCAACTTAGGAATCTCTGTTCCCTGGACAAAAAAACAGGGTTATTGTTTTTAAATGTCTAATTAAAACACATTGAAAGACAGTCTCTAAAATGTGCTCGGCCAGTTCTAATCACATGCGTAATATGGTTGGGAATTGCTGAAGTGCAGTCTTGCGGCTTTCTGGAATGGGAGGGATCTTTTCTCATCGAAATGCTGAGTCTTTGAGCCCTGTTTTCCTCATGGTTCACCACGTGCTGCATCTCATTCAGGTACCAGTGGGTAAGGACAAGGAGAGAATATCAGCAATGGTCTCCTCTGCATCCATGTGGTGGGAGGGCGGCAGGAGGGAGGGTTTCTACTGCAGCTGTCCTGGGCTGCTGATTGGAGTCTATATATTTATAATAGCCTTATTGAGACATAATTCACATACTTTAAAGTTCACCCTGGATTATATTTTAATTCTGTGCAATGAATTTAGGAAAATCCTGTGGGCATTTTCCTTGGGCTGAGAATGGACAGATGGAGATCTCCAAATCAGGCCTGCCTGTCCATCCATCCAGGTGAGGCCAAGCGCCTTGTCCATCCTGGAACTGTCCAGCCCACACAGCTGCTTCTCCCTCTGTTTTTCTATTACCTGCTCGCCCTCCTCTACTTCAGCAGCCAAGAATCTTTACCCAAAGTGATTAATGGCTGTGTTGTGTTGGGACAGCTCTGACACTGATTGAGTCCCTTATCTCTCTTCTGTGTCCTCCCTAAGACAGCTACCCTCTCAGGTATCAATCAGTGCTTTGGCTCTCTATTCCTGGGTGAGCCAGAGACTGTCAGCGATACATTCTGATTGTCATCTTCATCTGAGCTGCCACCTGCCCTGCACAGCTTAAAGGGTCTTTTTAAGGCACACAGGGGAGGGGAGGTGCCAACAGTGCTCCTAACCGCATCTGCCACGGCTGGGGACAATTCCATGTGTTTTGGACAAATTTGGGGAATACAGTTTCTAAAAGGCAGAACTGGGGACATTTACGTGTATCAGCTGCTGAACCTCCAAACCTGTTTGGGAAGTGGAAGGGGGTGGCAGCAGCCTCACCTGGCAGTCCCCCCAGGGAGACCCCACTACCCCCGTAAAAATCAATATCGTGGGCCAGGCATGGTGGCTCACGCCTGTAATCTCAGCTACTCGGGAGGCTGAGGCAGGAGAATGGCTTGAACCCGGGAGGCGGAGGTTGCAGAGAGCCGCGATTGCACCACTGCACTCCAGTCTGGGTGGCAGAGGAAGACTCCGTCTCAAAAACACAAAACAAAACAAAAACGACACAATCAACATCATGTTCTCTAGCAGAGGCTCAGTCACAAAGAGGACTTTGAGAAGTGAAGAAGGTGAGCGAAGGACACACAATAAAGCGGGCCAGAAAGACACCAGGTGAACACAGGAGTGGAGTGGGGTGAGGTGCAGTCCCTGAAAACACCGCAGGAGATAAAAACACCGGGGCTGGGGAGAACGAAATAGAACATTTGTCTAAGCCTGGCTTTTGAATTGGCCCCAAATGCAGTGACATTTTCCTTTTTGGCTGCTTTGAAAAAGGAGGAGAGGAGAAAATGTAGACTGTGACATTAAAGATAGATGGGCTTGGACAAATTGAACCGTTTTGAAGGTTTCCCTGATGCCCAGAAGGCTGAGGGTGAGTCTCCACGGTGAGCTTTTGGGAGAGGCGAGCTCTCTTCTTCTTAAGCCCAGAGAAAGCTGCATAATGAAACGGCGGCTTTCAGCCCAGGCCGGCTACAGGGAGGTTTAATATTTAACATCGCATTGGCTGGTGAGTGCGCTGGGGTTGGCTCATCCACTTCAGGCTGACATTTGCTACAGGAACTCACCGGGCCTCTCAGTGGCGAGAGGTGGGGCACAGGAGTGAGGCCAAGACACTGAGTGTTTTGGGCTCCTTAGGAAGGCACCTGTCCAGAGCCCCCCTTCCCAGGCAGAGCCATCCATCTTGGGCCTGGCCGTGCATTTGACTTTAAAAGTAGGTCCCTTTGGCCGGTGCCTCTGCATGTGAATGGCATCTTGAAGGAGCAGAAATCCCATTAAGGAAGAACTGTTGACCCTTCTGTCTCACGCAGTTGCCTCTCTGCTGACCCTCCATTTGTGGCCCGTGAATCCTTAATGTGGGAAGTGGTAATTGGAGAAGGGAGATTAGAGGGAAGAACGAGACATAGACTGCATGTGACACTGGAGAGCAAGGACCTAAAGGCCATTTGATTTATCAACCTCTACAAATGGGAGGTGCTCCGTCCCCATCACCCCCGAACTTGTTCCAGAGCAGCTCCAAGCCCAGCATGTCTTATTCTTCTTGGCTACTCCACAGTCTCTAGCACAGCTTCCATGCTGGCAACAACTAGGTTCCCCGTCAGTGTCTGTGTGAGAAAAGGTTAAAAACCCAAGGGAACTGGGTGCCAATAGGGATGAGGGCCAGGGATGAGGGTATAGGGAAACAACACGCTCTCTCCATAGGAAGCAAGTTACATGAACAGCTAACAGAAGAGTCACCCTGTGTTCGTGCCACATCTAGGTGCCCAAAGATGACGGTCCTAACCGGTGCAGGCTGGCAGAAGGGATTTCATGCAGTGCGCAGGTCAAATCTGCTTCGCTTGGCTTTGGCTGCCACTGCGTCCCCCTTTTTGATTAGTGCAGCAGAATTAACCTCCCCCGCCTGTGGGCTCTGTTCCCACCATGCAACACAAATTGAAATAGTGGGGTGGCAGGCGGTGGCAGTGGGGGCTGTGTTGGGGAGGGGACCACAGGGACCTTCCATCTTGTTAATGTAACACTTCCTTATGTGATGGGAGCTGAGAGCAGCCTGTAATGAATTTCTCCTGTGGTAATCATTCACCAGTGCATTGTGACCCGTGTGTTTTTGCTGTGCTACACATTTCCAGACTTTTGCAGTGACTTGTCAGCACCTAGTAAAAATGAATTGGACGCGACCCATCACTTCGTGCTATGCCCTCCCAGCTGTCTTTCATTCTGTTGAGAGAAGGAGTAGGTGGGACCACCTGGAACACCACTGCAGACTCTGGGGCTGTGGCAGGATGCTGAGCCCATCTCACAGGCAGGTTGATGCAGGCACACCAAGTTTGTGGCACTTGTTATGCAGAGTCATGTTCTTTGGTCCAAATGGCTCCAAAGTGGCCTTTGCCTTTTGCACCTGTTGTTTCGTGCTGCACAATGAGCTGTTCAGGCGGTTTCTTTCTTTGAGAAGGCATGGGTGCAAATGCTGGTACAATTAGGCATCTGGGCACCCCATGGGTTCTTACCAACTCTGGTGTGAAGATCCATTGATGGCAGGGGACAAGGCTATCGTCTGAGTCGCACGCATGAGCATCGCCATCTGCAACTGTAATTCTAGCCACGTGGTCAATCGTAAGAAGGGGTTTATAACCAGCTTTTACAGCATTTGTGGATCATGATGATTAAACAACAGATGGGAAACCAACCAAGATTTCTAATCTCTACCTCTTCATTGATGGAGTGAGCAAGGGCTGAGGGAGTCACTTTGTGGCCTCTCTCTATGGTTCAATCTATAATTAGGGTAGGCACGACTCCTCCTGACTTTCTGCAACTGTTTTCTACACTCTTTATTATCAAATCTTAAGCACAAATTTTTGGTTTGGGAAATATGGCCCTGAAATTTTGGTAAGGTCCCAGGAATCCCATGGTGAAGAGAAAGCTCTTCAATTAGGATTATCAGGTAAAATATAGGGCATCTCATCAAATTTACATTTCAGATAATGAGCAATTTTTCAGTTTAAGTGTGTCCCAAGTATTACAGGGGACTTAAAAAAAATCAAGATGCTCTTTAAAAAATTGTGGTAAAATCTACATAACATTTACCATTTTAACCCTTTTGAAGTATACATTTTAGGGGTGTTATACATATTCACAGTGTTGTGCAACCATTACCACTATCCATTTCTAGAACTTTTTCATTACCTGAACTCTATACCCATTAAAAAACAACTCCCGGTTCTTTCTTTTCCCCAGCCCATGGTAACTTCTAATCTACTCTTTGTCTCTAGAAATTTTCCTATTCTAGGTACTTTCTATAAGTGTAATCATATCATATTTGTCCTTTTGTGTCGGTTTATTCCACTTAGCATGATATTTTCGAAGTCCATCTCTGTGGTAACATGTATCAGAATGTCATTCATTTTCAGGATGAATAATATTTCATTGTATGTGCACACCATATTTTGTTCATTCATCTGTTGATAGGTATTTGTGCTGTTTCAACCTTTTGGCTATTGTGAATAATGTGTCTATGAATATCAGTGCACAGATATCTGTTTCAGTCCCTGCTTTCAATTATTTTTGGTGTATATACCTAGAAGTGGAATTGTTGGATCATATGGTAATTCTATGTTTAACATTTTGAGGAACTGCTGTACTGTGGCTGCGTGGGACATTTTTATGTGCTAAATCTGGCAACTTTCCAACTGTTTCAACAGAATTTTAATCTGAATATTATATTTAGCCTAAATTATCATATTTAAGCAGAAACTAATAGTGCCCATTTCCATGCTGAAACTTATGGCATAATCTCTCCATACAGACTCCTGGAAGGTTACTTGCACATTTTCTACTACAGTGAAGAACAGGTAGCAAGAAGCAAGAACAAAAACACTTATCTTTTAGTCTGTACAAACTGGGCAGCTTGATGCCTGTCAGAGGGGAATTTATACAAGTCATTCATTCATTCATTCAACAAATACTTATGCACAGGCAGTAGGTGCCAGGTGTGAGCCGGGGATCCTGATGCAAAGGTGAATGAGACATTCCTCCTCACCCCCTACTTCGCTCTAGCCAAGTTTCCTTTGGCTTCAGCATCTTTGCCTTCTCCCCCTGCTCACCTGACTCATCCTAGGATTTCAGCTCCCATAAGACACAATGCTCAGGTCCCTGCTTACACACGCGCAGCTCTCTGCACTTTGCTTTGGAGCTCTTGCCATATCGTTATATTTGTGTGGTTTCCTGATTCACTTGTGTGTTTCCAGACTGTAAGTCCCCGAAGACAGAACCAGGTTGTTTTGCTGATCATGTCTCCTAGCACCTAGCGAGGCACAGTTTAGGCATTTAATCTAAAATAGGCTTATTATATAAATGAATGGATACATCAGTTCTTCCCTCAAGAGGTCATGGGGGATGAATATGCATGTCAGTTTCTATGTCAGTAGACAGGAATGAAGGGCTCTGGGGAAAAGAGCAGTTCTGCCTCTGGGGAGCTGGGATTGGGGTCCAGCTCCACGATAACATCAAGTCAAGCCCAAAGATGCCATCCCCACCGTCTGTGCAGAAGGGAGCCTGAGACAATGTTGGGAAGGGAGCATCCGGAGAGCTTTGCCTTGCTGGGCTGTGCAACACACATACAGACAACCAGCCAGAACCACCCCATGGACTAGGATGTCATAGCATAGCTGAGGGCTCAAAATCCATGTAGCCCAAACATCCACTTTACAGATGGGAAAGCCAAGATGTGTTGTGGCCTTCCCAAGGTCACACAGGCAGAGGCAGAACCGAATCTTGAACCCTGGTCTCCCAAGCCCTGAGACAGTGCTCTCCGCCTCCTCGTCATGTCCACATTCAAGGGGAAAGGAGCACTGGGGGATTTCAAAACCCTACAAAGCTTTCTTCGAACTCCCACAGGCATTAAAAATAGTCAGCTGGGAATAGAAACACGAATGTTCAAGGCGAGATGAGATGAGGGGTGAGAGGAGGAAAAAAGGTGAAGACAGAAGGCAAATCTAGAAAGGCCGCCTGCCACCCTCTCTGGAGTCAAGGCCCTGTCGGGCAGTTCTGCCTGAGGCTTGGCAAGGCGGAGGTGCAGCAAGGCTGTGCTTCAATTCCCAGTGGAGGCAGTCAAGGGCTTCAGGATGAGATTAATTAGTGGGGCTATGCTCCAAACCACGGCATCCTGGCCCTGCAGACAGTTCTGAGAAGCCTGAGGGGCTGTGGAGGCTGCAGCCTGCACCTTGCAGACTGAACGGCACTGTTTCTGGGGAGGCTGTTAGAGTCTCAAGGGTAAAGAAGGGTCCATGCCTGAACACAGCTGCCAGGGCCTGCTGGTCTAGTGAGGGGTTTGCTAAGGGACCTAGAACCAAGCACCCCAAATCCTCACATGTTGAATGCCCAGACCCCAGGGCTTTGCCTCTCCACTGGTGAAGGGCGTTCTGCAGAGGCCTAGGCACCTCAGTGTGCACGTGAGCCTGACAGGGCCTCAGGTCAGGGTTTGAACACTGTGTGGGCCCTGCTTGGGCTGGGCTGTGTCCTCTGCAGAGAGGGCACCCTCCTGCACTGGTGCCACTGTGTAGGAGAGGGGTTGAGGGAGGGCTCAGACTCACTGTGGCCAGGTGGGATATGTTTTCTTAGTGAGAAGGCCTCCTTTTCTTACAGCACTTGTAAAACTGTGATGACAGGAACAGCACTCACACACACACACACACACACACACACACACACACACACAAACGCACACACACTTGTCCTATAGGGTTTTCTGACAAGGAAGGGTGAGGAAACAGGTGTTATTCTCTGGATGAGCTGCAGAAGTAATCTGGTTCTTAGTTCCCTTGGAGGTCTCTTGCTTGGGCCTCCAGAGAGAACATGAGAGGCATTGTCTTTCCACCAGGAACTGCCTCTGAGGGTCACTGAGAAAACTCAGGAAGGAAGAGGACCAGCCTTGGAAGATGGGGTGGGCAGCAGGCGAAGGTGGCTCAAGAGTTCTGAGAGATAGGAATTCAGGGGCAAGCCCTGCCTTTGCCTCAGCCTGGGGCGACCTGTAAGCTTCCAGGACTCTTCCCATTGTGTTGATGGGAATGACTGTTAAGTTACTGTGAGCCCCTAGGGTGGATGGTGAGGTAGCTCTCAGCCCCCACCACTGGTTGCATTTGCTGTTCTGACCATCACCCCCTCCCACCACCCCACTCCCCATCTCACACCCTTTATCCCCCGGTGGAGAGATCTTTTTCCCAAGAGTTTTGTTTAGCTCAGCCTGGGATTAGAGCCTGAAGGCTGTGAGAACTGAAATTGAGTCATCTTTCAACCTCTTCAGGTTCCCTCCCACACCCCCATCAACACCACCAACGTCACAGGGGCAAAGGCGGCCTCTGCATCCAGATGGGTCCTGTTTTCTTCAACCATGGTTCTGTTCCAACCTCATTTCACTGGCCAGCCTGCCTCCCCTGAGTTTCATGTAAACATTTCCAGAAGGATGTAGATTAGAAAAAAAAAAAAAAAAGGTCTTATGTAAACACTTGCTGGCTAGGGACCAGGAGATATTATTAGTTTATTAGGGCTTTAAAAATACCCAAAAGCTCAACTAAAGGAGAGAAGAAATTTGTTTTCATTTTAACCTCTGTTATTGTTGCTAGGGTCAGTAATACAATAGAAGCAGGCATCCCAGGATACACAAGATATCGTAAGATCACAGGAGGGTCAAAGAGGGAAATTGCAGAGATTTGACTATGGTGACATTATTGGTCAGTGAGGAATGGGTGGTAGTGGGGGCTGCCCTTTTTTATCAATTAAAAAGAGCAGAAGAATGATACAGAAGAGAGAGCACTTCCTCACTGGGGCCTTAAGGTGCAGTGTGTCCTGGCCCTTTACCTTCCCAGCCCCATCTCCAGCCCTTCTCCTTTGTTGATCATGTTCTTGCATTTGGCTGTTTGCTTCCCGTCCCCTCCCTGAGTGGAAGCTCTAAGAGCTTACAAAATCAGGAACTGCTCAAAAACATTTCTTAAATAAGAGACCGAAACAAATTTCCTTTTCAGGGTAAACAGAGCCCCAGGATGGTGGCAAATTTGGCTCAGGTTCAGAGCTTCCATGGGGAGGGAGGTTCATAATGAAGTGTCTCCCTCCCCCTTGCCAGGGAACTTATTGTACTACCTAGGTAGTTTTGAATCCAATAACCAATAGGTGAAAAGGTCCTCAATCACCTCAGTCACCTGAGGCCAGGATAGTTCTTCCACTAAAGGCACTAATCCCATCATGAGGGTGGGACCTAATGACCCAGCTCATGACTTAATCACCTCCCAAAGACCGCACGGTCTAATACCATCGTGATGGGGATTGAAGCTTTGATGTAGGAATTTTAGGAGGATACAAACATTTTCATTTCTACTGGATCAGTGGTTCTTAAATTTGAAAGAGCAGCAGATTCCCCTGGTGGGCTTTGCTGAAGCACAAATCCCTAGACCCCACCCCCAGAGCTTCTGATTCAGTAGATCTGGGATGGAACCTAAGCATATACATCTCCTCTGACAAGTTCCCCAATGATGCTAACACTGCTGGCCAAGAACCACACTTTGAGAAGCACCATCACAGATGCTGAAACCACCAGAGATATTGACAATCAAGGGTTTGACCACAAAGGAAGGAGCAAACAATCTAAAGTTGCAGGGCCTGGTGATGTCCAGGGAGGAAGAGTTTGTACAGGTCACAGCCTCTGAAGTCTACCAGGTAGGACTCTGAGTTAAAGTAGCCCATCTGGCCAG
The DNA here is from genome assembly GCF_000001405.40 of Homo sapiens. Taxonomy (NCBI): domain Eukaryota; kingdom Metazoa; phylum Chordata; class Mammalia; order Primates; family Hominidae; genus Homo; species Homo sapiens. Next base: position 205,799,621 of record NC_000002.12, on the reverse strand, counting down.
ATGGCCCATCACCCATTCCCACACTATCTTCATTTTATAAGAAGCCAACCTGCCCATTAGCCTACTGCTTCAAATGCTGAGAAGAAACATTATCCCAAGAGGATGACTTACCATCTCAGTTTGCCCAGGATCGAGGGGTATTATGGACTGAATGTTTGTGTCCTTCTAAAATTCATACATCAAAGCCTCAACTACCATTTTGATGGTATTAGGATTTGGGGCCTTTGGGAGGTAATTATGTTTAGATTAGGTCATGAGGTGGGTCATTATGTCCCACCCTCATGATGGGATTAGTGCTCTTATTAGAAGAAGAAGACAGAAAGATCTCTCTCTATGGAAAGGCCAGGTGAGCACACAGAGAGAAGGCAGCCATCTAAAAGCTAGGAAGAGAGCCCTCGTCAGACACTGAATCTGTTGGTGCCTTGATCTTGGACTTCCCAGCCATCAGAACTGTCAGAAATGTATGTCTGTCGTTTAAGCCACCAAGTCTGTGGTAGTCTGTTATACCAAGCTCACTCAGACAAAGGGTTTTCCAGGACACAGTGATAGTGACAGGAGGCAAGGAAATACTGGGTAGAAGAGGGTGGTATCTGGTAAGGGTACCACCCTCTTCTTTGGTACTGCGGCCCAAAGTGAGAACATACATTCTTGTTTTCCTGCCTGAATGTTACCTTTTCTAAAACCACCCTGTCCTGCCCTGTCCCCCATCCTGTACCCAAAGAAAACCCCAGGCCCCACCAGCAGAGCAGCAGAGCAGCAGAGTGGCAGAGTGGCAGAGAAGGAGAGAAGCAGCAGCCAGATGTTGGAGAGAAGCAGCTTGACTTCAGAGGGACAACTTGGTAGCGGGACCTCGGAGAAGAGTTTGGCCAGGGATGCCCAAACTCCAGGGGAAGACCACCTTCCCACTCCATCCCCTTTCCAGCTCCCCATTCCATTGAGAGCCACTTCCACCACTAAATAAAATCCTCCACATTCACCAACCTCAAATTTGTGAAACCTCATTCCTCCTGGATGCTAGACAAGAACCTGAGTGTGGGTGCAAGAGGCTGTCATCATGACTCTACACTGAGCTGTTTAACACTTAAGCCATCCGTGGATGGCAAAGCTAGAAGAGCGCACTGTAACACAGGCCCTCTGGGGCTCCAGGGGTCATGGGCGACCCCTAGACTCTGCCGCAGGCCCGCACAGGGTTCTGCTCCTGCCGGTTGCCCAAAAGTGCTCATCCTGGCCTCTGCGCCTGCTCTCCTGTGTTCTCCCCCTCCCACAAGGGGTTGAGAGCTGCAGGCTGAGTAAGCAAGCCACCCTATCATGAGTCCTGTGAATGGGTTGAGGGAACTATCCTATTTCAACAGGACATTCAGTGCTAAAAACCTGAAAAAGTCTCAGGCAAAGTGGGACAATTTGGTCACCCTTATCCCGGATCTGTTTGTCTCCAATAAAGACAATGCAGAGAAAAAAAAAAAAAAAAAAAACCACGATGCAGAAAAATATCTCTGGTATAATGTTTATTTAAATAGTAATCTTAAAAAGGCTTTATACAAATCATATAAACACAGTTTGACATTGTTGTTTATTTTTTACATTGAAGAATCACAGTAAAAGCTCTCAAGTTCCCGTGATCTGGCTCAGCCAGTGAATGGTCGAATACCTCTAACTGCAAACCCTGAAAAAGTTAACCTGCTATGTGACAGGTTAACTCTTTCCCTTGTTTTCTTGTCATTCATGCTTATTCCTTGGACCCTCATCCCTGTCAACTCCCCTGCCCCACCAAAGACAGAAAGCAACCCTGTGGCCCTGTTGACCACCTAGTCCGGGAGAGTGTGGAGGTAATGTGTCATTCAGTACAAGGCAAAAAGGAGATCAATACTGGCAGTGGGGTTTCCCAAAGGGAATGACTCAAGGAGATGGGTCAGCTAGCCTACCCACAGATAAAGATAACAAACACACCAAGGTGTCCCCTGGCCAAGTCAAAATTGGGCCCAGCGTCTTTCTTTCTGTCTTATGACAGACCAGCCTCCAGCCTTGGTGTGGTATCTACATGTAGCCCTGCGTACCCTGCTTCTTTTTAGCATTCAAGGCCCACTCAGGGCCTCAAATTAGCCAATGGTGAATATGGATATAGGACTTTTAGAGGGATGCAGGTTGAGTTGTACATAACTTAGAGGTGAAGTGCAGGTCCGAAACAGGGCTAGACTTTGGAGAACTGTAAAATGGCTCACTGAGCATGACAGCATCAGGACCCCTGGAGTGGCTTTCAAACTTACCTTCTTCTGCAGGCTACTTCTGGAAATCCCTAGGACTTACCAGCTTTCTGAACACTGCGCATCATGGGAGGGTGAAGAGGAAAAGGGGCTAGTTAAAATCTTGCTTCTACTGTGGGCCGAACTCAGGAGGAGCCCTAAAGCTAAGCCCTTGGGCTTGACAGCTCTACTTTTCACCTCTAACTACCACTGTGCCAATGAGTGCCGAGTGCCAAGATCAGCTGTGACACTCGGACCCTAGGTCAAAGTCACAACACCACCACTGAGTCCCACATGACCATTCACATACACAGTAGATACAGAGAACTCAAAGCAGCAAAGACACACACACATGAATAAACAGCTGTTGGTTGAACTCTTGCTCTCTGCATACAAAACACTGTGACATTACCATTTGAACTAGCATTTCCATAAGTTAACATTTAAAGGAACCAGCCAGTCCCATTCACCCTTCCCCTTTCACCTGGGTATAAGACAAATGAAATCGTGGGTGACCACAGCAGCAAAAATGGTCTGACAATGATATGCAATAGGCTGGGCATACTGGTTGAGTTTCAAATATATTTCCAGCACACAGGCAATCCTTAGGCGTTAATATGAAATCAAGATTTGGATCTTGATGCGAACAATCTTATCCTTCACACAGTTTCATTCTATTCCTGATGCCTCCCTTTGAAGAGTAGTTGAGAGTCATCTAGGGCTATGACTACCACTCGGGTAGCAGGACTCATTCCTTTAATAGGATCAGCAGTGAGTTGGGGTACTTGGGAATGGAGCCATCGGGGTTAGGGAAAGAGGAATGCCTTAATTCATAAGATATTCACTAATTTTTACATAAAGGGAAAATACATTTTTCTTCATTTTTTCAAGGCACTTAATAAAAACATAAATTGGTGTGCATGCGTGCGTGCGTGCATGTGTGTATGTGTGTGTGCGTGCATGTGTGTATGCGTGTGTGCATATGTGTAAGAACCTAGGTCTCTCAAGGCTGAAGCAGCATGGTTAAGCATTCTTGTCCACAGTACTTGCGGACTTCTGGTTAGAATCAGTTCTTGTACATCCTAGCTCTGACTCTCCCGAAAGGTTGAAATGGTGTTTGTAACCCAAAGGAGAAGTCGGTGTTTACTAGTCTATTTGAGAGACAAATGCATTTCAAAGGGTCTCTGTCTACACTGCTCAGCCTTGGCCCTCATATGATCACAGAGGTTGGGCTTCTCTTTCCCTCTCCTCTGTTCTCCTTCCCGTCCAGTGGTGACCAGTTACAATAACTCGCTGATGGGGAGAACATACCAATAGTCTCTATTTTTCCCTCTATTTTCCCCTGCCTCTGAGAATATCACACAATGCTGCTTCCAGGGGCTTAGAGACCTGAAGAATATGTGTATGTGTGTATGTATATATGTATATGTTTTAGAAGAACATGGAGGAGGGAAAAGAAAAGGCAAAACCACCACCAGAAGCCCCACAAGGGAAGCCCCACCACCAGACACTGTGGGTCTAGAATTAGCGAATGGCTCCTATTCACTCACAAAGCACTTTAAGCCTCGTCCAGGCGCTTCTATGGATTTTGACGTGTGAAGTTTCCTTTCCAGTTTGTTTTAAATCGCATACAAGAAAGAGCTGTTCATGCTGACCCTAAAATGGCAATTTTCCCCTGGATAAGAAAAGTTAAAGGCAACAACATCCTACTTAAATGCTAGGACTGGAAATGGCAGCTTGTAGGGTTGGCTGGCAGAACCTACACCACAGTAAATCCCTTAAGTCAGAAGACAATCAGAGGATGGGATAAGCTGGACGGCTTTTTTGAGTTTTATTTGTAAAGATGGAAAGGCTGAAAAGACACTTTGCTTTTCAAGTGTTGATTAGAAAGAGAAAGCGGAGAATAATGATCACTGCTCCACTTCTATTCTGGAAAAGTCATTCTCCTCTTCTGCCTCTTTGAGTTGCTCACAGACCAAAGAAATAAAATATAATAATAATAATAATAATAATAATAATACAAACTCACAAACAAAATAGAACTGTGACCCCAAAGAGATGAGCTCCTGTTTTGTCCCAGCAGAGAACACAGCCCCGTTCCTGCAATGACTTAGCCACCGCGGTCCTAGGAGGGTAATCATCCCCTGTGCGGCTGCATCTCCCTTCCTCCTGCGACTCGCTTTTCTGTCCTGTCCATACCTTCGGTATTCTGGATCGGTTTGATCGAGATTATGGCATTCAGTTTCCAAAGGAAAAAAAAATGTAATCTTCCCCAGCCCCTCTTGCTGGAATGAAACGTCAGATAGGATTCAGGTGCAATCCGTCATGCCTCGGAGCAGCACTTTTGGTGGTTCATCTTGACCTTGTGCTTAAGGCCATCGTAGAGCTCGAAGTTGTAGTTCTCCAGTGTGGTGCAGCTTCGGGAGCTCAGGCCCGAGTAGGAACAGGTGCAGTAGAGCAGGAGGCCTGCACAGGTGGCCCCCAGGAGGACGCCCAGTGAGCTCATGGCGATGATGGTGATGAGGATGGGATCCAGGGTGTACAGCCAGCTCTTTTCTTTGTCGGTCGAGGGGGCGCCAGACCCTGAGGTTGCAGAAGAAGAATTGCTCCAGTCCACCTCGTATTCATCTGCGATACATAAAATTCATGAGAGATTGCAGGCACTGCCTATGTCAGGGTGAAGTGACTGAGCCTCCCCAGCCCAGAGGCTCTTCAGAGCACAGTAGTTAGCAGCAGCAGCTCTGGAATTAGACTGCCTGGGTTCAAAGCCCAGCCTGGCCGCATCCTAGCTGTGTAACTTTGGGCAAGCTATTGAACCTCTCTTTGCTTCAGTTTTCTCCTCTTTGAAATGGGGATAATAGTAAAATCTGCCTCAACTGGGTTGTTAGGAGGATTACATGAACTAATATTTGTAAAGTGCTTGGTGTCTGCAACATAGTAAGTACTAAGTATCCGATATTTAAATAATTTGAGGCCGGGCGCGGTGGCTCACGCCTGTAATCCCAGCACTTTGGGAGGCCGAGGCGGGCAGATCACGAGGTCAAGAGATCGAGACCATCCTGGCTAACACGGTGAAACCCCGTCTCTACTAAAAATACAAAAAATTAGCCGGGCGTGGTGGCGGGCGCCTGTAGTCCCAGCTACTTGGGAGGCTGAGGCAGGAGAATGGCGTGAACCTGGGAGGCAGAGCTTGCAGTGAGCCGAGATTGCGCCACTGCACTCCAGCCTGGGTGACAGAGCGAGACTCCGTCTCCAAAAAAATAAATAAATAAATAAATAATTTGACTTACATTAGGTAAGCTCTGATTTTAACAGCACCTTTGGGGTGGCTTTACAGCACCTAGGATGGCCTTGTGTTCAAGGCAACCTCTACATCCCTCCTTTCCAACCTCCTCAAGCTAATGAAAGGACAGTCTGGGACTATTTGCACATGATGAGTTTCCTAATTTGGTATTCCTGGCCATATAAGCAGCAGATTTTTCCCAGCCATCAGACCTCCTTTAATAATAAGGCATCGTGCCTTATTGTTACTGGTTGAACTGTATCCCCCTCCCAGACACTTAAATTCATATTGAAGTCCTAACCCTCACCACCTTATTTGGAGATAAGGCCTTTACAGATGTTATCAAGTTAAAATAAGGTCATGAGGGTGGACCTTTATCCGATAAAAGTGGTATCCTTAGAAAAAGGGGAAATTCTGAGACACACACATGAGAGAACATCGTATGAACAGGAGAATGGCCATCTCCAAGCCAAGGAGACAGAGCTAGAATAGATCCTTTCTTACAGCCCTCAGAAGGAACCAACCCTGTCCACATGTTGATCTTACATTTCTAGCCTCCAGAACTGTGAGAAAATATATGTCTGTTGTAAGCCACCCAGTCAGTGGTGCTCTGTTCTGGAAGCCCTAGCAGACTAATCTAATTACGTTTCTACACTGTGGCCAAGGCATGCCCACATCTGGGCATCATTTTTTGAAATATCCTAATAATCCCATGAAGAAGGCAGGATATTATATATATTTTAATAGGTGAGGAAACTGAGGTTTAAAGAAATTAGGCAACTAGGTAACTCACTCCAGGTCACAGGCTTAGCAAGCAGTTAAAGCAGGAATGGAGATCAGGCTTTCTGCCTCCTTACCCATTGCCCTTTCTACTCCATTCCAGTGCGCCTCTGCCTGATCTACTGCGGTCTCTCCATGTAGGTTGGTCATGCACTTTTGCCCATAAAAGGAGTGTTGGACTGGGTTTTGCAGGGAGAGTCTGCAGTCAGTTAACAAGGTGCTGTTTGGGTTAGTCACTCCAGTTTCTATAACTACGCATGAAGTTTCTGATTAAAGGCAGGTTAAAAGCAGCTGCTCTATAAACTGTTCCTCTTAAATTCATCAATCTTAGTCTACAGTTATTCTTTAAGTGGAATCTTGCTGTTGAGTCTGTTGGAGATCAACTCTGGTACTCAGAGAAGCCCAGAGAGAGACCTGTGCTATTCTGAGTTGAGGGAAGAAATTACATCTACATATTTGCTCAGCAGCCCTCTAGCCTCTTGAAGTATATGTGTTTGCAGTGGAAAAATAGAACTTGGAATAAATATAAAGATACGAGATGGTCAGTGTGAAAAAGAAACCGAAATCTTGCAAGAAGCTCCAAATTGGAATCTTGAATAGTGTGAGGAAGGTTTCCCCCAAGCCAGGGAACCAGAAACCACAGCAGGTCTGGGAGAATATTCACATTATGCTCATTCACTCAGGCCATTTTTGGGAGAAGGTCAAAAGATTCAGACTATGACACGTATGGAGGAGCTGATCTTTCACTTGTAAAGGGTTTATTCAGATTCAAAGTCCATCCAGGTAAAAAGTTACTGGAAAGAGGGGATCTGTTTCAGATTAGGCAGAGGAACTCAATAAACTTTCTAAACCTCTAAAGTTGACCCTGACAGATCCATTGATGGTTCCCTCATTTTTCTCCAGATTCTTTTATATATTTCTGACTGATAGTTCTAGATTTGGGCCCTCCGATACCCAGAGCATTATTTTTGTTGACACCTTTATAACCAAACTTGAATTTTACGATTACCTGCTAAATCATAACAGTACTCACCATCAATTTCATCTTCATATCCTTCTCTCTCATGTATTTCTGGGATGTCCACTATAATATAAAGAAAATAAAAACAAGTTAATAACAAGTTCTATCACCATGGCTAAAAGGCAGGGAGGCAATCTTTACGAGAATGACTCCCCATTCTGGCAGGCAGCTAGAGAATCACCTCTACTTCTAGATCATTCATTATGGACATTACTGGATTGTTCTCCTTCAGATGACCTGTGTCTTCCTCCAACCACAACCAGTAACACAGAACTAAGAAGAAACTCTGGGTCTTCAGTGCCAAGCAACCCCTGCCACTGTGCCTTTTTAATGACTGGCATTCATTAGGAACACAGGTTTCATTTAAGGCACCTTCAATGGCATCTTATGCCCAACAGCAGCTGCCTTTACTGGGATGTCCATTTAGTGTATCATGCTGCACCTCTTCATAGGCACGCATCTCAGTGGGCACAAAAGCATCAGAGTCTTTCTCCTCTGGATTTCATGTAAACATATGGTAGTTTAAGGAAGTCTTGTTTCATCATTATATGTTTTAATTTAAGAGCAGAAATGGAAGGCATGTCATAATGCCTGTTGACCTTCACATATCTGTGCTAATATTTCTCATCCTTCCCAAGTCTATTTTTCCTATTAGCTTTCTTCGTGGTTTAGAATAGATCAAAGATGGGCATCCAATCTGACTAGCCAGGCTAAGTTAATTTACTATGAGTTTTCTCCAGTATTATCACTGTCTATCTTTTTCTTTTTCATGATAATTTGGGAGGGTGATAATACAGGTCTCTCTATTCACTGTGCTGTCCAACTTATAGAAATCAGAACCACTGAAAGTTATCTGTCTAAAATGGTAAAACATTAATAGAGAACATCAAATGCATGGCAAAGAGCAACATCTTATCATTTCTTCCTATCTCACAAGCTAATTATGCCTTTCCAAGCTGTCAGCTCAAGACAGCCCCAGTGAATGTGTATGGCCCTCTCAGAGTTTTGTTCCACCAAGTCAGATAAACAATCTTGAAGTCACTACTATAAATTGAAATCCAAAAATCAAGGCTTAAAAGAAAATCAAAATCCCAAACGGCTGAAGTATCAGACAAGAGGGAGAAAAAGAACTTTAGACCATCCCGAAAGCTTCCTTCATCAGCACTACATCTCGGGGAAGATCTACTTGACCATGATCTGAACTGAGCATTGATCCATCACTGTCACATTTGAAATTCAGTCTTTTCCTGGAGGCCATGGTTTCAATCATGTTAGAAGTCTTTCTCATTTCTGGCCAAAGTGCTAAAGCACATTCTCATCCCCCTCGGTCCCTAGTAAGGGATGCACAAAACAACTTGCCAAGACCCCACTTAAAAGATTGATGCCACATGGCACTAATCCTCCATAACTCCAGCCCATTCCTTGCATGTTTAAAGCACAGCAAGTGGCACCTGCAGGCCACGCCAGCCTCCCCACCTCAACGCCCATTCCCTGCATTCTCCTCCAGGCCCCAACAGAGCAGGTTGTTTCCTTGGAAGGGAGATGTGAACATGAATCAACAAGAGGAAGGTGGTGTTTGTCACAGGGATCAAATCGAGCTTGTGAAAGTCAACCCACAGGGTTTTTTTCCATATGAAAAAAAAAAAAAACATGGAAGAAAACCGTCACATTTCCAACAATTAATTGGTTTGATGGGCTGCTCATATGTCTTAACATCTTCACCAGTAAAAGAGGCAGAACACTGGATAAGAATATGTGAATCAGCCTAGGATGAGAACCACGGGGCTCCTGCCAGTGACTTCTGGGCCAAATCCTATGCTTGCTTTTAGGGATCTTGTTTCTGCCAAGGATGTGATGAATTCTTGGAGGCTAGAATGCCATCTTGCTCCATCTCACACCCTCAGGGAAGAAGTCTTAGGATACCATAGATCACTGGCTGGAAAGGGGTGAATGTGGCATTGATCTTAAAGGAAAAAGGGTAAAATGATGCTAATGATTTTGAGAACATTTTATCACAGGAGATCACGGCCTCTTGTCTCTGGAGGTTGAGGACTGGATGAGATGATTTCCTAAGAATTGGCCCATTTCTAAGACTCAATGAAATCAATTGCCCAGATGCAGCTGAGATTTCTGCACCTGGAGAATCAAAGGCTACTTAAGGTGAAGAAGAACACTTTAGTGGCTTGACTTGGCTTTTTATATAATCACTGCTCCCCTGAGTTTGAGTGAGTGGGAAGGGGGTCAAAAAAAGGATAAGTTAATCAACATTTTCAAAAGCACATCTGTTCACCAAGCCTTAAAGAAAGAATGGCACACTGGGGAAAACACAAATAAAGGGAACATTTGTACAAAAAACCATTTACTTTGATAGCAATTTTCTCTAGTCCCCTTGCTAATATTCTTGATATCTGTGTTTGATTAAGAGCTTTCTCTCTCTCAAAAGCATCTTTGCCCTTTACCAGCCACTTTCCTTTTCTGTTGAGCCTGGTAGGTAAACTGCAGCCTGTTTCCTTAGGAGGCCAGCAGGAAGGAATGTGGTTCTCTCATTAGGTCCCTGTAGTTCTAGCAAAGAATAGGCAAGGTGTGGCAGGTAAGATGCTACCAGGAGAACCAACGGGTAAAGCTACCGGCCTCTGGGAGGCAGAGGGGAGAATGATGAGCTAGGAGCCCAAGGCAGAGGGTAGAGGCCACAGCTCCCTGGAAAGGGGAAATGGCAGCCACAGGATGGCAGACCTAGCTGCCGAAGTCAGGGCAGACATCAGGAGAGAGTGGGAGAAAGGAACCAGGGACTCAGAATTTTGTTTTCAATGGGGAAAACTTGAAGAGGAAGTTCCAGGACTCTGTTTTAGTGGGTGGGTGTGTTGGTGAGTGTGAGATGGGCTAGGGAGAGTGGAATGGGCCAAACCTCTAGAAGAATGCAGGTCAGGAAGGGATCTTACCACCCACACGAGTTCCGCTTTCAACCTTTGTGCTCCCATGACCCTGTTTCCTTCTAGGCCCCCATGTGGATTCAGTCTCAGGTCAGCCTGACTACAAATACTGACTCTCAAATAACTGTATTAGGGCCAGGGTGGATCCCCAGTCTGCATTCAAGTTCTTTGGGTGTGGCTGGGACACTGTAACTACCACCATATCCCTACTGCCCCCTTCTAATAAAATAAAAGAGTCTGCCTTATCTCAGATCCGGATTGGCTGGATACACACTTTGGTTGCCTGTTTCACTGGCTCACTACTTTGATAGAGTAGGGCTTTGAGGGGCTTCTCATGAACATGAAGAAGTGGGGATCTGAAATTTGGGGTTTCATGCTTTCCATGACAGGCATCACCCAGAGCAGGAAACTAAATTACATTGTTCTTCAAAGGGCAGTTTTCATTAACCAACTAACCAGCCTAACACCACTTAGTAAGAGGGCTCACTGCATGCCCAGGAAACAAACTGATGACTTTGGAAAATAAAGATGTAAGGGACCAGGTGTCTACCATCAAGGCCCTTCAGGGTGGTTGGGAAGTGAAGACTCACCCATGCCAAATTAGCATGAAAGAAAGTGAGGCATTGCGGAGAGGACTCCCAAGTGCTGCTGGAGTCCAGGGCAGGGATTGGGCAAATGAGCCTGGGCCACTATCAGGAAGGAAAATGTGGGAGTGTAGAGGAGGATACTGTGGAATTGAGGCTGCTGCAAGTTGGGCATCGGGGGATTTCTGTTCCCTTTATCTGTCTGATTGATAGAAATGCTTTCAAACATGGCACCTGATCTCTTGTCTTTTGGCTTGCATTCATTCGTATCAGGCTCATCAAGGAATTCAAAGCGATCACCTAGCTTTGCCACAAATCTTCCACCTTGCATATATCTATGTGAGAGTCAGACCTCTGCCTTCCCGATCTCCAACACCCATCCCTTCCCCAGCTGTTGCAGATCAGCACAGTGAGAGAAAGAGGTCAGCTCTGAATGAATGATGGGAAGGGGTTTTACAGAGCTTGAGTAATCAAGTGGGCACAGTAGCTACTGCTTAAAAACAAATACAACCCAACTTCACAAAACTCTGGTCATTTTCATATGAAGATCAGTCTCAGGCCAAAAAGTCACCTTATTTTGGTCAGTGTCCCTTCTCTCTGCATCATCGAGAGACAGAGTAGGTACACGGTGAGGCATGATTCAAGGTCTCACTGATCTCCTGCTGTCCTGATTTTTTGGAATGAGAGACCAGGGTGGCTAGTTATGAAAACACCCACAAGACTGTTCCAGAAACACCCTCCACCCTGGAAGAGTCAAATATTCTCTAGTGTGCTTGTCAATACATTGCAACACTACGGCACAAAGGGTGAACGCCATATCCAGTCACAAACCCAACCTCTTCTAATGAAATAAGCTTTTCCCTGGAACACTGCCTGGTAGTGTAAGACCACACATGCTGCTCAGGGGAAACACCCCCAAGACACTCCAACCTGCTGCCTGGAAATTCCTACTGAGAATGATTTAGTCCTCAAATAAGAAGGCCCTCTCTTATGGCCCTTTCCATTCTTTCTCACTCTCTCTTTCTCTGACACACACACACACACACACACACACACACACACACAGACACTTTTTTTTATCTTTCCTCTCTCCCTCATTTTCTTCCTTCTTCTAAGTTAAGATTATTTGGGATTAGCATTCCTTCATTAGTTTGCTTTTCTGCAGTTTCTTACAGAAAATTCTCAGCCTTCGCTCTGTGTCTACACAGAGCATATTGTATGAGTATATTGGCCTCGACACTGTTTACTTCCCGCATTGTAAAGGAGCTTCACAATATGGCCAGGAAAGTGAGAAGTCTGCCCCAAACCACTGGTTACTTTTGGGTAAATAATTTAAGACAGCCCTGGGACACAGATCATTTCAGGTCACTAATGTGCTGGTTTCTTTGAAGAGTCCCTTCCATGCCAACCCTGAGCAGTGGATTAAGAGGTCTGCTTGAAGCTGATGACAGGCTTGTCATCTGGAGTGTACAGCAGAGACACTCAGAAGCCTGGTCAGTGGCAGCATCACCCTGCACTGAAGGAAGCGGCGTGGGATGTGGAGGGCCCTAGGCTGGGGGCGGAATGCCTACCTCCCATGTGGTTCTGCCTCAGGTGTCAGAGCCTTGACCAGTCATTGACCTCCCTGGGTCTCTGTTTGCTCCTCTGTAAAGTAAACACTGATGCTCTCCTCTCCTCTAGAATTCCCTTGTCTTTACAGGAAGGAAATGAGAAAGGTACGAGGGCCTTTCTGATGAGGGTTCTTTGAAGAGGGTGATGGTTGAGGGAGACAAGGCAACTTCTGAACAAAAGGGCTCCATTGCCCCATGATGCTCACTGCCCCATTCTTCACCCTAACTCTGTCCTCTCCTGGGAGTGGCCACTCCCTGAAACCATTTGTTTTAAGGTGTGCACAGAAAGAGAAGACCACAAAAAGGACAGGTCAAGAGAACCCATGAGGTTCTATGTGTTCAATACTTGCCCGTTTGGCTCAGGACTTAGTCCTGCTAATTGGTGACTGAGGAACTGACAAAGTGGGTAAATTGTGCCTATAGTTTTAAGCCTCTGTGTTAACTGAGGCTGGGCTGAGAAAACCTCATGGAAAGCCAGTCTTAGCACATCCACTTAACCTACCACATTTCAACCAGCCTTGAAGGCAAGGATCGAAGAGCCTCTTACACACAGGAAACCACTGAAATCATTCATTTTCACAGGTACCAGGTGTCATCACTTTGACTTTAGAGATGAAATTGAGGAGGGAGGGTAGAGAAGTGCAATAAGTCATTGAATAAATCAGCAGTAGAACTGAGAGTAAGCCATAGATTTTCAACACCTTGTTTGGGGGCTGTGATTTATTTGGGATAAGCTCTTGGCCACTTAGTGCCTTTGTTGAACTTGATTCCAAGTTTCTGAACCCCATGGGCCAGTTAAATCGCTGGATTTTTCAGATGAGTAGCCTCCAGAAACTTCTCTCAGCCATTCTCTTTTAATCCCAGCAGGAAATACAACACTGAGACCTCAGTAAAAGATAAATAACAAAGGACTAAGGAGATTCTTCTTGGCACTTCAAAATTCGGTTTAATTCAGTTTAATATTTAGTATTGGCTGAAGGTCCGCCTTCCCCACCACACTTAATTTCCCAATTCAGTTTGTTCATCCAAGTTGCAATAAGGAGCCAAACATTCAGGTGTTGATCTAAACTTTGCCAAATCTCCTCTGTTAAGAAGTCGGGCTACTTGAGAGCCATTCATTCCTTGCTGGGTTTGGCTTGAGTTTAGAAGCACCATCAGAAGAGCCTTTATCACAGGCTTTTATCTCTTGGGCTACAGCCAAATCTAGGCACGGTCATGGAAAAAATATTTTTTGGAATTTTTCAAATGGTTTCAAGTGCGGAAAAAAAAGGAGGGGGCTTGGTGTGAGATTACTGGAAGAGTTTGATCTTGAATTTAGCCATTCGTTTCTATTATTTTTAGTTGAATAACTAGAAGGAAACACTAAAAAGAATTGGAAATACTGACTGCAAACAAGAAGACTGTGAAATGACCTAGTAATACTTTCAAGTGTGGAGGCGGATGAGCAGCTGAGGCCAGAATGTCTCCAATGAGCCCCAACAATGGCATGAAAAGAAGAAAAATGCAGCCAGAGACATGTTTGGCTATAAAGATAGGCTTCACAATTGTGCAGACTGGAAAAACACAGCAAAGCTGATGAAAGAAAATTCTAGAACCTCTTTTTTACCCCAAGTCTTTGAAAAATCAGCTATTCTCCATTGTTGTAAGTAGATATGTGAACAAGCAATTGGCTCTTTTCATTTCTTTTGTTGGCTACCTTCTCTTAGGGCATGAGGGTGGGAAAAACAGAGCATTTCAAGGAAAACCTGCTGTTTTTTCCCCCTCTTGTGTAGTCTTATTTTTTTTCCTGGGATGCTAGGGGAAAAAGTCATGTATCTTCATATTTCAGGGAGTTTTTTTCCAGTGGGCTTTGAAATTTCTCCCCTCCTCTAGTTCCAATATTTGAGGTGTGGATGTTAGAAACATCACTATGTCACTCAGATGGAGTGGTTTGGTACAACCTTGGACAAGTGAGAAAATGGAGTTGAAGAATCAAAACTGCATCCATTTCCAATGTGAAGAAGAATATCTTCTGAAAGATAGCCCCTTTTATTTTGTAGGTCCTTGAAAAGAAACTGTACACCTGTATGTCACTAACAGAATTCACTGTACTTAAAAGATGGGCTCTTCTTCTGAACACAAGAATGAATGAGAATGAATGACTCTGTGATATCATTTTACAGCTACCAAAAATGTACCTCTCTCTGCCCATTCAAGAGATGATTTCCCCCAATAGCTTGCTGGTGGCCAAGGACCGTAATTACTAAGAGACCTGGCTTCAGGTGTGGTCCCCTGTAAAAATGCAATTATTGGAGGAAGTAGCCATGCGGCATTTGTGTGAAGGAATCTGACCCATGCTTTTTTGAAGAAGGCATTGATGGATGAAGGGAAAGAGAAAGTGTAAGGATGCCAGAGAAGAAAAGGGGTCAGCAAGAGAAGGGGAAGGTGCAGAAAGGGGATTTTGGAGGTTGGAGACAAACTGCACCTGGCACAAAGGCAGATGAGTGGTGACCAGCTCCTCCACAGAGAAAGAGGTGGAGACCCTAGCCACATCAGGAGGTGCAGAGCCAGAAAGCAGTGATGGGTTTGTGGGCCCAGGACCCCTGTAAACACTAATATGGGGCTCATCCTCTTAGGCCACAGTTGGCCAAGGCGAATGAGGCATCTCTGGGGCTCCTTTCACACACCCATGTTGGCCCCATCTAGGTTGTAATAACTACCATCTCACTCTCAATGCCAGCTGTGGGGCTGCCCTAGAGAAGCCATGGGGAGGCCCACACCAGCCCCTGAAATCCTCATGCCTGTTCTCGCAGGCCCTGGGTGGCAGCAAGAAAACACAAAGAGACAAAAAGTTTCTTTGTGCTTAAATGAAGCTTCAATAACTAGCAGGCTTTGGAGAATGAGACTTTGGTCAAGGCTGCCTCTAGCTCAAGGCTTTCTGCACACCCATCGTTACTGGAGCTGGCTGCTCTTTAATAAGTTGCAGGGAAGTCCAGTCCAGGCATCCTGTTAATGAGTCCTGCTGCTGGAGAAAGAAACTGGTATTGCTGAAAGCCGTGGCATGGTATACTATCATTCCAATTCTGGAGCAGAGCCTTTGTTTTGGGGAATGTTCGTGATATTTAAAGGATTTAATTTTGCGCAATTACACAGAGAAGACAAAACAAGGCACTGTGTGTGTGTGTGTGTGTGTCAGAGAGAGATGCACTCTAGTTCATCCAGATCTCAACTCATGCTGCTTTCTTTCCTGAGTTAAATACTCATACCTCATGCCCAGGAGGCAATGGTCCTGGATTTTTGGCAGGTCAGGGAAAGCACACACTGGACCTATATAGCCACACACACTCCATTATGTTCAAAGTCAAAGCCACTTTGTTATGACACTTTTCTCTCAGCACACCACAGAAATGAGGGCAGTGCTTTTGCTAGAAATGGTGTTTGGACTGACAGGTCTCTGGGCTTCTCCTCCACCCGCCATTCCTTGCTACTGGCCCCTGTGGGGGCTAGTAGCTTTGCCTATGCCTATAAACATCCCACTAGAAAACCACCTCACTGCCTAGTGCCTTTCCTTTGGGTATTGCAGCCCTGAACTTCCTCAGAAGGAAGCCCACAAGGTCTGCCCCTCTTGGGGCCAGTGTGGGGGCCTGTGGTCCAAGGCCTCTCAAATTTGAGACTTTTTCTTGGTGTGTAGGTTTACCTCTGGCTGCTGGGATAGTTTAGTCTGCAGCACAATACTGCATACTGACCTTAAGGGATGTTTTTTACATAAATTTTTTAGTAGAAAACATAAATAAATAACAGCATGGCACAGCACAGGCATTCTTTGAAGAAAGCAAGTGGAACTCATTAATCATGGAGAACAGGACTCTGCCTGATGAACCCAGGGACAGAATTAACTCCAGTGACACAGCCACCACAGCTCTGGGGAGCTGACACTTAGAGCCAGGTCCATATTCCCCGTAAGTTGGCAGTTAAAAAAAAGAACGTTCTGAAGAAACACTCCCTGAGTTTAAAATTATCTTCAGCTAAAAGTGCCCAAGGTCTTCTCTTGCAAGCAACACACCCACTGTAGAGAAAGAGAGATAGGCATAGAGATCACATGGGTTGGGCAGATGTGGCAGGGGCTCTACAGCCAGGACGTCCACTAGTTTCTGCTATGCTCTCAAGCAGGGACAGGTTAATTTTAAACGGCAAACCTCAGCCTTTTATAGCACCTACTAAAATGAAAACAGGGATGTGTTTGACCCAGAAATTCTATCCTTTGTAAAACATGTGCCCAAAGAAGCAATTTCAAGGATGTTCATTGCAGTATTGTTTATAATAGTAAAAAAAAAAAAAACTAGACACAGTCTGAACACTCATCAACAGGGGAGCAGTTAATACACTCTGGCATATCAACACAATATGGAATGCTATGCTGCAGATATAAAGGATGGGGTAGATGCATTAGTATGTACTGAATTACCCTCAAGATGTCAAATGAAAAGAAGCAAGTCATCCAATATAGTAAGCAAACACTGTGCTACCATTTACACAAAACCAAATGAAACCAAACTAAACCCCAGCTTAACCAAACCACATAACTCAACATGAACATACATGTTTGTAAAGGTATAAAACAAGGCCTGGAAACATACTCCTCAAACCATCCCTCACAGTTACCTCTGGGGAGGTGACTGGGATTGGTCAACAATGAAATCGACTTTGGCTTTTTCTGTATTATTGCACTTTTTGAGCATGTTTAACTTGTGAGTTAAAGAAACCCAGCCAGTTACTATAAAGTCTCCCTCCAGCAGCCTCCCTGTATCATCAGTATCAATACACTCTCAAGCAATGAAACTCCGAGAAAAGAGGTTTTCCCACATAACACTCAGTCCTCCCTCAAGTACCTCTGTTGTTGACTGTTCAAATGGTCTTTCCTATTTCTTGGTCCAATGCCCACGGGACTTTAGCTTTTTGGGGCTCTCAGGGGTCAGTGGCAGAAAAGGCCAAGAACAACTGTTTTACCCAGTAGAGAGGAGATGATTCTAGGTCTGTTATCCACTGGGATTGGGGAAAGAATGGCTTCGGCTTGGTTGTGCTGAAGCACCTAGATTCTCCACTGTTCCATACCATGCTAAATAAGGTTTTGCTCTTGGCGATTTCCCAAATCTTGTCGCTCTTCAGTGTTTAGGTTTGGGTCCAAACAGAACACCTCCAAGCAGTCAGGGCAAACATACTCTGGCCCAGGCTTGTGGCCTGAAGACCCCTAAGGGTGTGGGTTTCTGATTGTATCTGACCTCTATACATACTGTGGTGCACCTGATCTGTGTCAGGATTAATTAAATCCTACACTATTCCTAGCTACTAATTTATTTGTATGAGGCAATTCTTTTCCCTGCTGATTGTAAGATCATCAGCTGGTGTTCCCCTCGCCCCCTCCCTTTTTCTCTGGTTGGATTTGTTTTGTGTTTTCTTTGGGCTGTCACTAAAGTGTATGAAAGGCAAATTACAGCTGTGAGAGCCCCAGTGATCTGCACAATTAAAGAGAAAAAACAAGCCTTCACCTACAGATCTGCAGTTTGGCTCAGATGTGTAGCCCACAATGCAGGCAAGTCAAAACTTCAGGATGTAGCTCTTTTCATCAGAGATTACAGAAAGGCCACACGTTTGTGCAGAACAACTGCAGAGGCCGTGAAGAGGGGCAAGGAAAATAAACACTGTGCCACCTCAGCTTGGCTGGGTTTCGGTTATCTGAGCTAGGGGGGCAGTGGGTGAAGAGAGAACACACACTGAAACCATCACAAAGAACCAGGTAGGAGCAGAAACAGACCGGCCTAGGCCTTGACATCTGGTATTTATGATCCATGGAAACAAAATTTCTGAACATTTATGCTTGGGCTACATAAGAAATGCCACACTGAGGAGTGTTTGGTGGTAACAGTGCCCTGTTTGACATCTAAGATTGGAGTCCTAACAGTCCTTGCCCTTTTAGGGGGAGTAAGTACCCTTAAAATAAGTCTTGGGACTAGAACCAAGGTGGGAAAATTCCCAAACATGGTTCCAAAAACAGTAATGCCAACAAAGCATAAGTGATGGCTAATTTAGTTCAGTCCGGCAAGTTTGGTCCCAGGTCAGCTCAAGGAAATGTTGACTGAGCCTGGGTCTTTGTTTGAAATCAACACTTTTGAGATATTTTTATTTCATTCTTTACTAATGGGAACAAATGGCTTTAAGGAAAGCCAAATGTTATTTAGACAAAAGGGGTAATTGAGCTTGTCACTGGGGAAACAAAAAATGCTCTGATCACTGACATTCTACTTTATTCTCCTGCAAGGGACAGATAGTGACATCTATACTGAACCATCTGTACTAACAGAACTTCCTGTAAGATCTAAAAACCGGAAGCCTGTCTCCTTTTAGCAGCACTTGGACAGGTTTTACAGCTGTAAAAAGCACTCCTTCCTGGATCTAGGTTTGGATAGGATGAAAAGCAGGACTCTGACAGAAATAGGATCTTCTGAACATGTACATTTTCTCAGGACCTTTAAGGATGGTTCTCGGACCCCTGAGGAGGGCTCCCAGGTTGTCAGAAGGCCTCTGATAAATCCCATGAATGGGGTTGGTGGGAAATCCTATCTGCAAATAGGATTAATGTGACCTCTTCTTGACCACTATCTAGAAACCATGAACTGCTGGGAGGCTGCCTTTCCTAGATTTTCCCCCACCTGGCCCAACCCAGTTCCCTTCTGATAGAAATATTTTATATAACTGGGTCACCATCTAAAGAGGAGGACCAAAGAAAAATACTCATCAAGAAAGACCTGGCCTTCTGAGTAAGTTTCCCCAAGTGCCTCTCCTCAAAGTTTTATAGTGTTCCTTTCATAAAATGTTCCACTCTGATAGTTCTATGTCCACAGTCATCATCTAATTATCTTCATTACCTGTTCAAAAATGAAGTCTAGAATATCTTTCAGCCCTGAACATGCTACAAGTTCCCGTTTTGTCTGGGAAAGCGCTCGTAAATGGGAGATTCACATCCCTGTGGAAGTAATAATTGGGTAGGTGAGGGGTAAGATGTCACTGCTGCTTCTTCAAAGGAAGTGATCTGTCTCTGCAGAGCTGGGTACAGGATTCAGCTTAGCTGGTACCACTCTCCCGGAGCCCTTTGAAAGTAGAATCTAATCTCCAGGGATTTGTCATCAAGAGAAATTTCGTGGAATCTCATTTAGCAATTTAGCACTTAGCAACTTTTGCAAAATCCCACACCAATCATAAAAGTTGTCTCAGCTGCACAAATTGGATAAAAATCCTAACAAGCAGTAATAAAAATAAAAAGAAGGAAAAGTTGGCATTCAGCCTCAAGGAGAAAACCCACCTACCTCCCACAGAAATGCCCTGTAGCTCAGAAGGTGATGTGTAAACTTTGGAAGCATCAGTTTGCTCAAAGCCTACATTTCAACTTTGTTCTCACAGGCAAAGGGAAAAAAAACCTCACATGTTTGTATAAAAATATCATCATTTTATTACATTCCACACAATACATTTTCAAATAATTTCCAACGTCCACAAGTTATTTTGACACACAGGCAACTGAGCAATGCAAGGGGTGTCACAGTAATAAGGAAAGGAATAAGAATAGGAAGTAAAAATCTTTAGGTTTTCTTGTTTCGTTGTTGTTCTTTGGTAATTTTCGATTATTTAGGTGTTTGCCTGCTAGTTTCATTTTAAAGACAGGGTCTTCTTAAAGATCGGCTATCAACTTCAGAAATAGTACTGTATTTCCTATTCAATTCTGGCTTTAATCCCAAAAATGTGGGACAAGGGAAAAGACAATTTTACTTTATCTTCAGCATCCAGTTTTGTCAATGACAATGCTGATTTTTTGTTTTCTTTTTCTGCCTTCGCCAGGAACTAAGTGATGGCAATTGCTAGCATAATATCATGGAAGGGGAGTTCAACCCAGAAATAAGGGCTTCCCTCCTGAAGGTGTTGACATAAAACCTCTACTAAGGCAAAAGCTTTATCAGCCCGAGCTAGGCCTTCAACTCATTCACTCATTCATTCATTCATATTTTAATAGTTGCTATCATCTCTTTGTCTTCTGAGAAGCAACTCTAAACACATGCATGCATGCATTCGCCTGTCCAGTCTATTTTTCTTAGAAGAGAATGACCCTTCCCTCCCTCCATGAAATACAGAATTTTGCTTTTTGAAGCTGCGAAGCATGGCATTTTACAGAAGAGCTGACCTTTTAGCACAGTACCTGGATAACACTATGAAAATTGCTGGGGTAGACAGAGCAAAGGCAGAGGTTGCAGGATGGGGAGTGACAGAGAAGGTGACATCCTCAGCTGAAGTGTGAAGGCATTCACAAAGATTAGAGCAGTCTCATATTCTCAACTAAGGCATGTACATAAAGATGATGCCACTTGGGGCATCAGATAAAGATATAGAAAGTTCACAAAGTTGTTGTCACCTTCTGTTACAGAAGGGGAATCATCAGGGTATATGGTAACTCAGCTGGTCACTACACTGGCTGTATTTTCCAGACATAATTTCTCAATGCCACACCTCTATGGGGCACCTACAGGAATGTCAATCATTTCGCAGGCATGCCTGGCCCCAAATGCATGACTGGATGTGGACAGCCGAGGTAAAAGCCCTTAATGAGTGGCATATTAGTCATCACATGGTACCCTGGGCTGATCCCCTCTCCACTCCCCGTTTCTCCATCTTCAGCTGAGGTAGGACACTTCTTGAAATCTCAAGGTAGCACATGCTCTAGCCTTTCATCTTGCCTTTTCTTGGCAGGGCTGCTGTGGTTGAGACAGAGTAGCTCTTTGAAATAGAGTAAGAGTGGGAGAGCACCGTTCTTTCGGGAGGATGAAACGAACCAGATGAGAAAGTTGAGTGTGTGTGCTGAAGGGACATATCTGGATATCGTGAAAGAATGCTGAAAGTCTCTCCCAAGCAGCCAAAAAAAAAAAAAAAATCATTAGTATTTTGTTCTCAGAAGGAACCTGGAGGCTTTTGGCCCAGGCAAACTTCTTTGGAGTGAATTTTATACCTCCCCAGTGGATTTTTAGCAGGAAAGTAAAAAATAAATGCTCCCGAGGCTGAGACCTCATACACTGAGAATCTTAAAATTTGCATTTTCTATCAATGAAATTGACTTCATTATTTAATCCATCCTTTGTACAGTATCATTAGCAACTTCTCTCTTACATCCCGCTCCCCTTGTTGCTTAGAGAAGACACATGAGCAGCAATGGTTACATCTTCATTTGACCTTCTCTGTGATGATGCGGCAACATCTGAATATGCCAGGCCAGCCTACAAGGGTCTATTTGCCAGATGCCATGAATGTTTTAAGGGGCAGCACATAGGTACACTTAAAAAGTGATTACTTTCTATTCTCTGATAATATTTAAATAAGTCAGGTGGACAGCCTTACATTTTAGCGGCTATAGATTCAGGCACACATTAACACCATGAAAGGAAAGCAAATGATCCCTTTTCCCCCCATATTTTACAACTGCTATTACAATGACCAATATAATACCAAAGTATATGTTTTTTAACCTTCGTACTCAACCCCATCCCAAGTTGGGCCCAATAACCACCCTGGGTGAGGAGACATTTCAGTTCTTCCCTCTCCTCCCTTCTCTCGTCCACCTCCTCCTCCTCTCAACTTAAACAGACTACTGTTTTTCCTACGTCAGTCCCAGACTTGTTATTCTCTATGACTTATTCCAAGATTGGATGTAACTGATAAAGGCTAAACATTCATTATGAGCTTCTCTTTTATAAGGCAACATGAGACAGATTTGCTTTAGGGCTGGAGAGGTGGTTCCGCAGACACCCAGTGGCTGTTATCTTGACATTTCAAAGACACCAGAAGACAAGGGGGTCTTGTTTGAGTGTGCTAGGGGAACCTTCTCTTGGGTCAGGTGGGTTGGGGATAGGGATGGGAGAAGCCACACTGCATCCCATGTGGCCTCTATTTCTTTAGGTACCTGGAGATGACAATGACAGCCAACAGAAACCCAGCCAGAGCTAGATAAGGCAACAAAAAGCTTCAATCTCTTCTCCAAGTAAACAAAACTTGTACAGTATATTATTTTCTTGTAAAATGTACCCCAGGAGAAGTAACATAAGAGTTAAAGGGGCCCTCTCTGAACACTCACCCCTCGCCCAAACACACACACAATGAACCAGCCGCTCTCTCACACACCCACACACAGAGAGCTATTCACACACACACATGTCTACTATGTACATACACACAGATCCAGGCTTCCCCTCACGTCTCCTGGCAGACTGCCCACTGAGAGGAGGTATGGGATAAGGCAAGGGGAAAAAACAAGCGAACCAGTCTCTGGAACAAAACCAGCTGAGCCTTGAGTTGTGGAGTGCTTGGGGGTGGATCTCTTCGGATAGTCCAAGATGCAGCATTAGAGTTGGGTTTGTTGGTTTGGAATCAACAAAAAGGAAAAAGAAAAACCAGAAACCAAAATGAACCCAAGGAGGATGGTTGGGATTGATAAGAGTGCTCAGGGTTGGGGATCCGGGAAAGAGATGTCTGAGAGTTCACACAGAAACTAGGCGAGGAGAAAAAAGTGCAAAATCGAGGCAACATGTTTGCAGTCTTTCTCGTTTGTTTTGGGTGCTGTTCTTGCTTCGGCCCTCAGCAGTGCGAGCCACGGTCTTGCTCTAGCTTAATGGTTAGGGTGGGCTCCACCGCCAGAGGGGCCCCGTTGGTGTAGTGGGAGGTTTTGTAGGTGATGGAGTGATCGGTCTTCTTGGCCGCATAGCGGAACCGGTGGTAGTGGAGCACCAGGGCCAGCGCGACGGAGACCAGCACCAGCACGGCGCCCCCGGCGGCCATTACGTAATACCAGTAGGCTGGGATGGGCTGCATGGGCACCGTGTCCACTGTGGGCTCGGTCCCTGGCAGGAGGGTGCCCCCTGGTGGAGAGACACAGAAGAGTGTTGCTAGGCTGAGAGCATGCAGACTAATCAAAAGACTAATTTAAAAAAAGAAAGAAACACACACATGCTTTGGGACATACAGGGAAGGGTCTGGGGGACTAAGGTGGTACTCAGTCCTTAGCACCTGCCAAGCACTTCTCAACGATTGCATTATTTCCTACTTACCCCCTTGGGAGGTAGCTATTGTCAGACCCATTTTACAGATGAGGAAACAGAGGTGGAGAGAGGTTAAGTTAAGTGGTTATACAGCTAGTTAAATAGTAAGTATGGGATTCAACCAAGAATGGTAGAATTACACATCTCTTCTCTTTCTGTTCAACCACAATCACTTTATAATATATGGAAGTGTTCTAATTCTTTCTCCCTCCATCTCCCTCTCTCTCTCACACACACACATACACATACACAAATACATACAAGTAAATGATGCTGACATGACTTCCGGGATTCAGTGAGGCAGATTTCCTGAGTGGTGGAAACACCATATTTGGTCTGGCTGGCCAGCATTCTCAGCAACAATGTATTAATTAAGCTGGCTAGACTTGAAGGTAAATTCCACTTTGGCTTGCCAAGGCTTCTGTGCCCATTGAAATTAGCCTGGTCTTGCCTAGACAGGTCAATCACCACTGTTAAGTCATGACTAATGCATCCTCATTTTTTAATTGGATGGAGGATTTTTAAAAGCAGATTGGAAGGGAAGTTGCAACAAAAAAAATGTGGGCACAAAATGACAGAGGGTATGTGAGAGCGAGAGTGAGTGAGTGAGAGAGAGAGGGAGGGAAATCATTCTTAATGACAGAAAAGACAGAGCAGGGAAGAGAAGCTGGCAGAGTATTTAGAAGGCAACCACGTTCACTGGCCGCTGCCGGTTGCTATGGAGATGATGTAGTAGATTTAAGCCCAGGGTAACTCTGGGGAAAGACTGGCTGGAGTCCCACTTGATGCAAAGCAGTGTTACAACTTGATTCTCCCAAAGATTTACATCAGATGAGAATCTGGCCCAGAAAGGGACTAGGAGCTTTTGAGCTTGCCAAAACCAGACATGATCTTTACTTCTGAAAAATGATATATGCTTCTCCTATGAAAAATGCCTCCCTAGCTGTTTGCATTAAGCCGGAAAGATGCATCCTCTCTACTCATGGGGTGCCCCAGCAGGGGAGCCATGGGTGGGAAGTGCTGCGGGCTCCTTCATGCATTAGTGGTCCTACCCTGTGAGCAGAGGGTGGTCCCCCTCTGCTCAAGATGCAAACGGGGCTCATTTCTATTTTCATGCCTCCTTACACTACCCACCCTAAGATTCAGAGCTCCTTAAGCAGAGGAACTCACTCTCATCATGAGGAACTTGCTCTCATCCATACCTAAGGGTTTATACAAAGAAGGCACTCAATAAATGCTTGGTGAATCAAACACTGAACTGAGGCTAAGACTCCTATTTCTGAGTCTGTGTTCTCTAATTCCTGCAGCCTGAACATCAGAACTCCTCTCTTTGATCTGGGGAATAGGTGGGAGGTGGGTCAGACCTTCTAATGTCTTCTCAGAAGTGATAGAAAAATGAGAACATTTTTCTTGGAAAATATTTCAAAGCCTGCTCAACTTCTTAGCTCTTAATCACTGCTTTCTCCTGCTGTATGAATCCCCTTCCGCTAGGGTGCAGGTTCATTGGCACCTCTTGGGTGACCAGAAGTCCCACAACATTGGCAGAGCTTTGACAAGGATGTGTTGCTCTGCACACACCTTGACAGCCACATCCACAACCCCTGGGGTAGAAATGACCCCAGAATCCCAGGATCCCCTGAATGTCCCTTTATACATCTTCCTCTTCTCCCACCTTATTGCCTGCCCTCTTTGTCTTTGTCCCCAAACTAATTCTGTCTTTTACTAGTTTCATTACCATAGCTGAGAAAGGCCTCTCTCTCTCTCATATTTGTGGCCATGGTGGAAATTATGCATAGAAAGAGAGGAAGAGAAAGCAAGGTGCTGGAAATGGCTCCTTGAAGTGGCCAGCTTGCAAGTCACAGTCAACTGGTGTCAATTCATTATTCAGGTCACCAAGAGGATCTGCTGCCTGGCAACCATCCTGCTGCTGGATTTTCGATATGAGCTTACAAAAATGCACAGGAAACATCAAAGTGTTAAGGGATGCCCCCAGAGTTCCTCAGAGACATCCCTTCTCTCCCCAAAGGGTGTCCTGGGGTTTGTCTCTGATTTTCATGTGGCTCCACAGTGAGGGCCATCCCCTAATGAGGCTGCAGCTCACCCATCAAGAAAAGGGAGGTGATAAATCCTCAGGGATTAGCTTTCCCTCTAAAGAAGTACCTGACCAGACCACAGAGGTGGGAGCAGAAATTTTTGTCAAGCAGAACATGGTCACAACTACCCACATTCCCTCCATCACTACATCATCTTTGTTCAAAAGTCTGCTTTCCTTCAGCCAAAATGCTGGTTTCCAACACAAAATACACAACCTATGGCTTAAAGTGCTCAGGCTGGAGAAGGATGAAGCCTTCATGTTTCTCTTACAGTGTTTCTTACGATAAGAGACAATGTTAGGGCACAATGGAGAGAATCAAGGGGACCTGCTGGAGGAAGGTGAAATCCTAGTACATGGATTACATATTTAGAATCAGAGACACAGACATAGTCTCTCAGAATCCTGCTCTACTTGAAAGACAAACTCCACTTTAAGTAAGACCCTCTTCTCCTTCTCTACTTATCCTTCTCTCCCCTGAAATTATCAACATGTAGAAAACTTCAGTGACAAAAGCTACTTGGGGGACATTATACTGGCTCCTTAAACATTTTCTTTGGGCATTTGTTTGGAGAAATGAGAAATAGTACTATGTGAATTCATGTTTTAATGTCAAGAGGTTAGAAATAACGTTAATGTTAGAAAAGAGAGGATATGACTAGCAAACCCTTCCTGATCCCCTACAAGCAACTCTTGGTTGACTTGCAGCTGGGGGCTAGAAGTTTCTCAGAACATTCACTAGCTAAAAAGACTCAACTCCAAAGGCAGGTGGAGTGTGCTGGTTTAGAATCTGGCCCTGTTCCAGCCTTGGAGAGCTGTATGCTAATGAGGCTGTGGTTTGCCAACTAGAGAAAAGGAAGACGATAAATCAATAGGGGTTAAATCCATACCCAAAGCACCTTCCCAGACAACATCAGCAATCCAATGAATGCCAGATGGATGGATGAATAGATAGGTGGATGGATAAATGGACGGATGGCATAGGGGAATATATTTGGACCAATGTTCAGACTCCCTGGAAAATGTTGATGACCTACTGGTACTTCCCTGGAGAGTTATTTTCAGAAAGTGCTAGAGATTTTGCTAGCTCATGTGGCACCTCTATGGGAAATTAGAAAAAGGTGCCCACTTTAGGCAGATGTCACCTGCACCAGATGCCCGAATTGCTGAGTTGTGCAATTTTAGCTTCACTTGCCCCTTCAGCCATCTGGGGGTGATCGAGCCATTGCTTGACAAAAAAGGAGCCTGGGCTAGGTGGGTGAAAGTGTAGGTGAGAATTCAACCTTGCCTGGAGTTGGTTGATCTGTTGACCTGAATTTTCCCTTTGATTGATCTAATTTCTACCGCTTACTCACATGTCTTTTTTCACCTGGAAAACACTTTCAATTCCTGAACTATTTTTCATTAATTCCCACCCCAGATTCTCTACAAAGTTTTCCCATTGTGTGAGATAATCAGAAACAGATACTTAAATAGTCAATAACTGAACTCCAAGTGCATTTGCAAGGTTGCACAGGCTCCCATCTGTAAAAATTCTGAGCCCCCTGGAGAAAAGCAATGCAAACACAAAGAATTTGAATTTTGAGAAACAATAAAGTTTGAGAAACCAGGCATGGGAGAAAATAAGAAAAACAGTTACACATGAGGTAGTGTTCCGGTCATTCCTATCTGCAAATAGGGTCACTATGCAATTGGGAAACGTGTCTGTAACAACGGCCACCCTGAGTGGACATTTCCTGTGTATTAACCATTGGTCTACGGGCTTCACATGAATCAATTTTGTTTATTCCTCATGACCCTCCAAAGGGAGACCTGAGTACTTGAGAGGACAAGTGATTTTCTCCTGGTTTCACTTGGAGGATAATTGTGGAGAAGGGCAGAGAAGCATTCAGTGAAACCCAAGAGATGGCCCAGGGTCCCCTGAGGAACTGTACACTGCTAGCAAGTGTCAGAGTCACGGCTAGAACCAGGTGGACAAAATCCCAGCCTGTGCTCTAACCCAGGGGTCAGCTCACTGTGGCCTATTGGCCAAATCCAGCCCACTGCCTGTTTGTGTAAATCAATTTTTGTTGGAACACAGACACCCTCATTTGTTTACATATTGCTTATGGATGCTTTTATGCCACAATGGCAGAGCTGAATACTTGCAACAGAGACTGTATGTCCTGTAAAACCCAAGATATTTACTATCTGGCCTTTACAGAACAAGTTTGCAGATTCCTTGCTCTAACCAAGTAGGGAGGGAAGAGGAAACAGTCCTCTTCCTTTCTGCCTCCTATTTCTGTCTGAACCTGTCTGAGGATTGGCGTGTCTCAGTCAAGTCAGTTTCTCACTGAATCTCTGAAATGAGAAAGCATATACTATAGCTGCTTTATGAAATATCATCTGGACCTGGGGGAGTCACCCAGGTTTCCAGAAGAAGTGTTTTGAAAGACACCAAGGGTAAGCCTTCTCTCTTTCTCTTTCAAAAAAGGCTCATTGCATGTCAGAATTGTTTTAGGACTGGCCTGTCTGCACAGTCCTTTCTGTACAGGTTAAAAATGAAGTGCTGGTGGAGGAACATTTCACATAAAGGTTTATTTAATTTGTGAGATTAAACAAACGAAAAAGGTTGGCTCCTCTAGAGAAGTTTACAGAAGATAGTAGAAGAATGTGGTCACGCCCTCTGATGTGTTTGGAAAAAAGACGCACAAGCACAAAGGCATCCCTGAGAAACGACTCTTTCCATCTGCCTTATGAGCATGGTGTGGCGGGAGGCGCCGGGATGTTTTCAGTAAGTTGGCAGAAACCATGTGGATTGCTCCCACATCTAGAGGCATTTTTAAATGCCTCCGAATTCAGATCTCTGACTGGCTGAAGTCTCGGACGCTTCACACTCTTTGGTGGCACTTATGCTACTTTCTGTAAACTGAGTCTTGTCCCTGTGTTCTTGGAGAGAAAAGTTGGTGAAAAACATTTTCTTCCACCCATAGATAAGCTGGCCTCGGCAGTTGTTTACATGAGTGGTAAACTGATGGAGAGGGGACGTGTCAGGCCTCTGTAGCAGGAGAGGTGGCATGCTCCAGCGAACCTCACAAAGAACACCTCTGTGTCCCCTGGGGAAGGATGGCCGCCAAGCAGTTACCCGCTTCACACATCTGATCTCCATGCTTTCTTGCTCAGCAACACCTAGCCTTAATCTGGCAGCTGGAGACATAAGGGGGTGGGGGCAAGGAGGAGGATTCACACACTACAGCTGCCTATCTGGAACCCCGGCAGGGGTTAGGAACACTTCTCTGCCTTTCATCAGACGGTTATGTGCAAAAGCACCATTTAACCCTCTCTGCATCTCAGAAGTGCTTCTAGGAGAAGGAGGCGTGGGAGGAAGGGAGTCCAGGGAGAAAGGGAATGTGAGGCCAGGCCCTGGGATGGGGGACCTTACCCTGGTGGACAAAGCCTTGGGAGGCAGGCAATAGAGGGTGAGGGTGGGAATGGGAAAGGAGAGAAGGGGGTGCAAAATGCAGAGATTGGCCAGTTGGCACCAAAGAAACAGAACTTAAAGCCTAAGGAATAGAGTCAAATGCCAGCCAGCATTACCCCCAAAATGGGCCTCTCTTAATACTGCTCCCCTCTATGCCCAAGAGACAGCTGTGGATGTGCACTTTCTCCTGGTTTTGTCTGGATGAGAACTGTGGAGAACTGCAGAAAGGCACCTAGGGAGACCCGAGAAATGGGGCCCCTGGACCTTAGGAATGGTCTGAGTCATAAACCCCACATTCCCAGCTGAAACGGGAGACATTGATGTTCCTTTTAGCATCCACTAGCGTAGGACAGTCATTCTGAATCCTTCCCTCTGACAACCACCTTCCACAGGTGCACCCAGCTGGGATTTCCGTGAGTCTCTAACAGGTAGGGCACCAGATCGTCTCTCTGCCCGTGCTCTGCTCAGAAACCACAGCCTCTAACACGAACAAAAACTCTTGCCTCCAAGGTGAGCTGCTAAAAATAACCACCTGGTCAACAAACCCCAGAACTCTGATTATGGGCTTCATATATTTTTACTGGCTTCTTTATTGTTCTTGTTTCCTTTATTGAAAAAAGAAAGTATTGGGTAAGAGGAAATAATCCATCACCTTAATTACACCACTTTTCGGTTCTTTTTCCCCCCTTTATACACACGGTTTTTCATTTGTTAAAGCTCAAATCCTAGAAAAAGATACATGACGGCACCATGTTTATAGCCACTGCTTTAAAAAAGAAAAGAAAAGAATGCACACCCAGGCTACATTGTTTAAAATGTGACTCATAACAACCACAAAAAAGGGTCTTTTTAAAAAATCACATGACAACACAGTTTATTCATTCTTTCTTCTCTTTCTCCCTTCTCAACACAGATCTCTTTTTCTTCCAGGCTTTTCTTCATTACTGACTCACATCCTGGCACACAATGTGTCTGTGTGTGTGTGTGTGTGTGTGTGTGTGTGTGTGTATGTATGTATATACACACACACAGCAGAAAACACAGGATGATTTAAATTTAAAATAATATTGCATGGCAAGAAATCAGTAAGAGGCGGAAAATGAAAGATACTTCCAAATATAAAAGATTGCGACCATCTAATAACTCCAGGTCCAAAGGCCACTTTTATTGTATTTCACTAAAGATTTACCTGTACAGTGATTGCTCCCAAAGAATGAGATTACCTTTGTTGCATGATTAATTTATAAGGGAAAAGAAAAACACTCTAATTTGAAAAATGTATAACAATGTAAATGCCTATGGTTGGCAGTGTTTCAACATCAACTTTCCATACCTTGCCTGCCCCCTGATTTCTCTGTTTCCATTTTTTGAGTGAAAAGGCTGATTTTATGCCCGGATCAAGAGAGGACTCCTGCTGTCCTGACCATAAGAGGAATAGTATATGAGTCACTAGGTTAGATGGAACACACAGTCCTCTCCTCTCTCAAACAGAAAAGTTTGCTCAAGGCAGAGTTGCATGCTGTGGTCAAACAGGTCTCAGCCAGAAAGAAGAGACCCATGGCACTAGGTTCATCTGGTTACCAACTCAGATCTCCATGTAAAACGTGCCAAGGTGAATGAAATTCTCCATTCCCAATTCAGATTCTGCTCTTTACTGTGTCCATTGGCCAAGTCTCTGCTCCCCAAGCCTTGGTTTCTTCTTCCCAAAGATGCTTGCCATCCTCCAGGACGAAAGCCATGGCCTAATCCATGCAACTTGTGCACTGCCTTTGCTTAGCCTCAAAGCGGCCCACCAGGAGCACCCTGGAAATTCTTACCTTCAAGTTACTAAGCCCTGTGTTTATTTTGGCTAAATGAGCACTGCTGCTCAGATGAGATTTTATGTATATATTTTTTACAAGAGAGCATGACTGGCCTGTGAAGCCTCATGGTAAGCACAGTTTCAAGGAGAGTGTACGTGCCCTGGTCTGCTTATTCTCTTACGGAAGTGAAGCACTTAGCACTTAGCCACTGTACTTGTCAGTCATGGCCCGACACGGTGTGCACACAGAACAGTGTCTGCAGCAGCTGCTGGCACGTCTTTACCCAGCCTTTCTGGGAGCTGTGAGTCTCCACAACCCAAAGAGAGTCAGGCGAAACAACATCCACAGCTTTCACTTCACCAACATAAGCATTACCTTGGGTCCTGAAGGTTAGAACTCGAATTCGACTGTAATCCAAAGTCGTTCAGTTTGGCTCTCAGCTTTCCTCCAATACTTTGGATTTACATTAACATAAACCTCACCCCCAGAGAGCACCAGTGTATGCACATGAATACTCTTAATACTTTTAGAACTGTGGTACAGGGAGTGGGCATGGGGTTCAGGGACACGAGGAAGGGTAAGAAAGGCAATATATTCTATGTCGGTCTGTCATTCCCCTGTCGTCTGCAGCTTTGTTCCTCACTGGCTGTCTTAGAGCTGATGAGTGGCAAATTGGGTGAGATGATTTGGAGTCAGGGAGCATATCTAGGTGGCAAACCAGGAATTCATCTCTTTCTAGCCCAGAGCTGGACAGATTAATGAGAGTGAAGATAACGAGTCTAGACGGCAGATATAAAAATGGCTGCCCTTATCTCTGCAATGCTGCCACTTGTAGGGGTAAGCCCAGCCAGTACAAAGAGGGCACAGCAATCCTCACAATTGCTGGCATCAAACAGGTCATGAAGAACCCCCATCATTTGGTGAGGGTGTTTTTGTGTGTGCTTTTACACTCAGGCCAACTGCAGTGACGCATTTAGAGTGGCTCCTAAATGTTTGGCATTAGAAACCGGTGTGGGAACTTCAGCAGTGTCCGCTAATAGGTTTGCAAAGAGGGCAAAATGTAAAATCTGCTGCATTGTAACAGCACAAACAACATTGCCATCACCCAAGGCTGGAGGCCTTTTTTTTTTTTTATAACCTGGATGAGGCAAGCATCCCCAATTCTTCTCACTTTGCTCTGCTCTCTCTGCTTTCTCGGGGGAGAACACGTCCTTTCTGATTTTCAGTCCTGCATTTAAAGTGCTCTAGCTCCAGTCATCGAATGCACCTCCTTATTCCCTTGACTGGACACCGGGTCCTAAATGTGGCAACTCTTTCTCCTGAGGCCACCACTTCTGTGTCTCTTTCCTAACTTCCTTCTCTTACAAGCAGCCTGCCACCGTACCTCACTGAGGTATGGTGACTGCAGGTACTGACTGCAGGCTGTACACAGAAGCCCCTCGGCTCTGTGGTTAACTGAAACCGCTGCCTTGGTACCCTGGAACTGGAAAGAAACCATCTTCAGGCTAAAATAAATCATTGCCACCTCATTTCACTTTTAATTTATACTGATTTTTTTTTTTTTTTGGTTCAGTCTTCCCACAGTCTCTCCTTTCTCACCACCCCTGCATTTTCAGCCTCATTGCTCCCCGTTGGACAATGCAAGGCTGAAAGGTTTATCTGTAACCTATTTGTCTCTATTAATAGGTTTCTAAACTTTAATTAAACAAGAGACAGTGAGGCTCTCAATCCCCTTCCCGCATCTACAGGTGTTGCTAGTGCCATCTAGCGGCAGGAAGGTGTGGCGTCTCTTTTCTCTTGCGAGATTTGACAAATTTGGAGGTTGATTCCCCCCATCAAATTCACATCACATGGGGGAAGGAAAAAGCATGCAAAAAAAAAATTTTTTTTTACCTTTAAAATTCTCACCTGCAAAAGCCGAGATGGGTTCTGAAAAAAACAAACAAAAAATTGGACTTAGTTAAAGGCAAGAAACAATTGGGTGAACATAGAGTGAATAATTGGATGAATATGATGATAAACATGACTGCACTCGGTTTTTTTGTACCACTCCATGGAGAGGGCCCCCCATCTTCCACATGTTCTAGGCTGGCTCTAACACATCATCATCATGGGGTGGTGATGGCGGAGGAGGGGGGATTCTCAAAGTTGCTTTGGAACAAAAAGTCCTTCATCAAGAAATGGGTCCCTAAAGTATTGTAATCAGTTACTTACTGCTGATTACTTTCTCAGAGCCTGGATTACTTTTAGATGCCTGGGGCCTGAGAGTTGCCCGGAGGGACTGGGGTGGTCCCAGGTGCTTCTGACATCATCAAGCACACACACACCAGGGGTCGTGTGCCAAGAAAGGCAGTTGGTGAGTTACTGCAGCCACTCTGCTGACTGAAAGCAACCCTCATGCCTTCTCAGGGTTCCTTTCTTGGTTTGGGAAATGTCCATGGCTCTGATGGGACACAGCCAGGGTGACCTCATCTGCAGCAGGAGACCCTGAAGAAAATGCGTGCCTCTCAGGTGGACTGGCTGTTCAGGTGCTTTTGACCAAGATGATGGTTATGATATCCTTCTCGTGCCAGTCACCTGGCCTGCAATGTTTAATCCTACAACAACTTTGGGATCTTGGGCATTAGAGGTATTCGTTTTAAAGAAAAATCTGAAATCTTACTTCAAATGCCACAGTTTGCTCTGCAATTCATTCATGTAAAATAACTACTCAGGTAATTGTGTTATCACTCTTACATAACATATGTACTATTTTTGCTCACCAGTGAAGGCTTCCATTAAATCCATCAAACCTTTCCAGCATATAATTTTGACTGGCAGTTGCTCTCGTCCTCTAGCATTTTCTTTGCTAAAAGCTGGGGTTTGCTGAGGGGGTCTTGGCACCCTGAACCTCTATGTACTTAGTGCATGTCTATTTCTGATTGGGAACAGGGATATAAGCCGTCCCCTTACCTCACACCCCTTCCCACCCTGAACCCAGCCTAAGACACAACTACACCCACACCTTACCTTGCAGAGACTGTGGCTGCCCCACCCACTGGGTAACGACTGCATTGGAAAATGGTGTCCTGCCTCCTCTTGCTTATCCCAGCCCTTGGGGTCTTATTTGAAAGAACCATGAAGAGACAGATATTCACATACCCATGCAGTTCTCCAGTGGGACATCAGTGCTTATCCGAATGTCATCAATGGCAATCTCTCCGGAACGTCCTTTCCCTATCACTCCCTCGAACACAATCTAGAAGCCGGAAGAATAAGAGCCATGGTTAACTGAGTCTCCTAGTCCAAACGGTGCAAGGATTTCCAAGTTTCTGTTAGCTGCAGCTTAAAGCGTGTGTGTGTATGTGTGTGTGTGTGTGTGTTATTGCACCTGGTACACATCTGTTGACCACATGGCTACAGCTCTTGAAATCTTAATTCAAAATGAGTTTGTTCAAATCAAACGCATATTTAAGGGGATAAGAAAATATAACAAGGGGGTGGATATTGTTGTCCAGTAACTAGAATGTATTGATTAAAAGGGCCATAATCAGAGACTATTGAAAGGGGGGTTGAAACTTCCCTCACTATTTTCGAGGTTCCTGTCTCATAAATCTTTCAAATGCCCAATCCAGGTATTTGAAAACTCAGAAGACACAAGTAGGTGGGGGTAATGTGAGAAATACAGCACATAGGTTTTGATTTGTGCTCCTTATTATAAGTTGCCTTAGGGCTTCATTATTACAACTAGGAGGAAAAGAATTTGTTTTTTCACCAGCCATTTACTGAGCACCTACTATGCCCTGGACATAAGGATAGTAACAAAACCTAGTAAGACAAGATCTCTGCCCAGAGAAGCTCACCCATCTAATGGCTGAGACACAAATGCAAACAGGTAGTTACAATACAACACACTCAGGTGAGTAAGTGGGAACCCAGATGGGGGTGGGGAAGGTCTCAGGATGCCTTGCAACCTCAAGGGACAGGGACTGCAGGCTGTACACAGAAGCCCCTCGGCTCTGTGGTCTTCAGTCATTTCTCATGCTCGCCCTCCCCAGGTTCCTCTCTGCAAACTAGCACATGTCCTCTGGCAAGCTGGGTGAGCAGTTGGCTGCTGCACCAGCCATCTGTTGCTGCTCCTCGTCTGGGGAGGAGAAGGTTAATGCTTTGGCTGGTTCTCAGTCACCTCTTCCACAGTGTGTCTACTCCTACCCAAGTTGCAACCACGGCTGAACATACCCATCTGTGCCTCAGTCTCCTGCTCTGTGGGGCAGAGATAACAGAACTCCATTCCGGGAGCTGGTGAGAGAGAGAGAGCACTCACTCTGGAGCCTCTCATGTCTGCCGGCCACTGAGCGCCAACAGCCCCCGCTCCCCTTCCTGTGTTCTTGCTGCCTGGGACAGGTCTGGGAGATTATCCTATTTCCTCCCCAGATCTGAAGGGGCTCCACAGGCCTCTTTCCTTGTGTGTGGAGGGTTTGTTTGTGTTTATTTCTCTGGCTTCTGTGTCCCTTTGTCAGCCTACCTGATAGCAATCTAAAATAAAATGGAGAGGAGAAACATTTGTTGGAGAAGATTTCAGCAATATAAAAGGCAACAGGAGGAACAAAGAACCAAGTCTGGGTGTAGAGATAGGCATATTCTGAATAACAAATAAGAGTGTCATTCAGTTGCCATGGCAACGTGAGAAACACAATGAAAACAGTAGCGCTTAACCACGTTCCCTAACGATGAATGGGCTCGGCCCTTGAAATATTGAAATACGGATCACAAGATTCCCTTTTTGCTCACCCCACCTGGTACTCCATGTCGTAGCTGGGCAGGATGATCCGCCCGTGCTTCCACTCGCCGCCCTGGTCCTCACGGATGACCCACAGCAACTTGCTCTCCTGGCTGGCTTCCCGCACCACCTGCAGCGCCACCCCGCGGCCGCCCGTGGCCTGGTACTGGAACTCCATGCACACCGGGCTTCGGGGCAGGTGGACAGGGGGGCTGATGAGCCGGGCATACTGGCCCTCTCTCTGGCTGTCACTCTGCAGCCGCAAGAAATTCCTGTCATCTGGCAGAAACAAACCCAAACAGAGGTTCTCCATAAACACTCGGGAAAGACACCAGTGTGCTGCTGTGGCCTCTCCAAGGGAAAGTTGGGACTGAGTTTCGGTGTCTTTGGTTTATTCATGTCCTTGTTCTCCAGGCTCTGTGACCCTTTCTTAAGGCTCCTTCAGAGCCTTGATTCAAATGCTGTGTTTTCTTAAGAGTCTCTAAGTCAAATCGGTCCCTCCTGCCTATTTCTCGGTATCATTTCCTTTCCATCTCTTTCACATGGAGCACCCGGCACAGCTGCCTTATGTCTTGGCTGGTTGTGTGCGTGCCCTTCTTCTCCCTCTAGATTCTGAGAGGCCAGACCCACATCTTATTCATCATTAACTCACCCAAAGGGCCAGTGCAATCTGATGAACTGAATTACAAGGGGACAGATTATAGGGGGTGGGGGGCTGCTAGATTGGAGGGTGACTATGACCAGGTGGTTGATGCTTCCAGCCCTGGCCATCTTGGCTGGGCACTGTCCAAATGGCTGACATTTAAAACCTTCTGTCTCCATCAGTGCTCCTAGATGATGCTTGGGCTCTAGTGACTGTGACTCAGAAGCCCAGTGTCACCTTCAAACAGAACAGAGGGTGGGAGCTGAAAGGGATGATTCAGGGAGGCTTGAACTTGGCCTTTCTGAGACAGCCAGGCACATATGGCTCCAGTGATAAAGGTGCTGTCATTATCATTAACAAAGGCTGTGTGTTTAGCAGAGAATATATGTGTTCTGGGAAATTAAGGGTTTACCAATCCAAATGTTTGGAGAATGGCCTTTTTGGCTGATTAGTTTCAAATTCATCAGACACTCATGTGGAAGACCGAGTTCTTGTTGCTGTTGGCAGACTACGTGCCTTGCAGAACACAGGTGTGACCTGCACCTTCAAATCCAACTTGTACAGGACCATTCTGGCCACTTGTACAGAGAACAAGGTGGCATTTGGTGAGGAAATCTCAGTACCTCTTTTTGGCCCTGAAACATAGGGGCGTCTTAGGCTGAATACTTCTGCAAGATGGCAGGGCCACTTTTCTACCACATATGCAGCATGGAATGTGGGCACGTCAGATGCCTTAGGATCATGTTAGTGTGAGGTCATGTTAACCTGGGACAGATGCACAGAGCTTTCTTACTCCACAGGGACTGTGAATATCCTGGACTTGTCAGGGTAGATGGGCTAGGATTCTAGAGCCTAGAATCAATGCAATACTCCCTGGACCACTGCTTTGCTGTTGTTAATCCTGCTGACCTCAACTTTCTAGGTGAGAGCTGAGCCTGTGCTGGACCTCCCATCAGTGGCCCAGAAACAGCTCTTTCCTTCTTGACTCCCCAGCTGCCTCACCTACCTCCCTGCTCCCCTAAGCTCCTTCCTGTTTAGGCTCTCTGGGATTAGTGCTTCAGAAGCTATGCTTCCCTGAAGTCAAATGAGACCAGTTTAGTATGCGTATATGGGATTCCAGTTTGTGCCTCTTCAACCATCCAAAGCCACATCTGTCTACATACCCTACAAGGTGTGACCTCTGCAAGGCCAAAATCAGCACAGATAACTAAAAGGCAGCTGTCTACAGAAGAGAATTAATAATGGTGTCTGCTGAGGGAGGATACACTGATGCCAAATCAGACCCTCAAAGATCTTCTAAACCTATGCTTCCCCTATCAGATCTTACTATTACTGCTGTTAATGATAATAATTAAAGCTCATTCTTGCATAATGCTTTACAGGTTACAAGCACATTTACATGCAATATTTCATGTCATCCTTTCTATATCCTTGTGAGATAGGACTTACTAACCTTACTTTGCACATGATGAAGAAACTGCTCAGAAAGGTTAAAGTGATTTGTCCAAGGTAGAGAGGCAACTTCAATGGCAGAGCCGAGACCCCTGACTGCAGGTTTTCCACCTTCATGCAATAAGTTCTTTATTTCAGCTGCTCTGCAGGTAGCTTGCCCCAAGTCCTTGCAATCAATCACACTCTGTTTGAGGCAAACTGGCTTCCCCACTGGGCCCGTTGCTGCTTTTTCTCCTCTTAGCTGTAATTCTCCACTCCCTGAACCACTCCATCTACCCCGTCCCTTTGGCTAGTTCTTCTCCTAACTATTCTGGCACATGCAACATTAATCCGCTTCTTTTCTCAACAACTCTAGCATTTACTGACTGTACTGCTGATTTTATGTTTTTAAAAGGACTTCAGGCAGGCCATTTTCCATGGATTTCAGCAGGTAATCACTCACTGCCTGGCATTATAATTTAACTGGTTTTTTCATGTCTTTTTTATCACCCCAGTTATATTGTAAATGCTGGTCTTACAAATAATAAGGTTTAACATTGCTTCTTCTCTCTACCCCTAGATAGTGCTATATATATGCCACTCCTCAAGAAAATTTTGTTTCTATGAATGAATGGATGAATGGAGAATGATAAATACACGGTTAAAGAATGATATGAGGCTATACATTGGAAATGAGGACAGGAGAATCAGCTAGCTTCTCATAATCCCTTAGATATAATCCCTTCACAATTCCCTCTACCCTCCCAAGCCAACAGCCACTTTCAAAGGTGAGGTGCACCAGTAATGACAAGGTGGCTTGTGGAAGCACCCAGTGTACCGAGACACCAGTGAGAACCCTTTAAATGCTCCCACGCTTCCGGTAATTTCCAAGCCCTTACTGTTGCCACCTCATATATAAAGGAAACCAGATTTTAGAGATTTATTATTCAGCCTTCTTCCTTCACAGTTTCACAAATAAGACCCACTTGCTGCCTGAAAATTGTTTGGCAGAGATACTGTCACTTGTGTGAATTTACATTCTTAAGCGGCAGGGAAATCATGGCATCATGGTTAGAATTTGGTAAGTGAAATGTGTGTGGAAGTGTGAAGAACTGGGCTGAATGGATTGTATCTGGGTCTGTTCTACTTACCCTTCCTGTTACTGAAACTCCAGGCACAGCCAGGCCAAAGGTTTCACAGTCTGCCCCTTCCAGTGACCCACCCCACCAGGTAGCCCCTTCCCCTCTTCTCTCCTTTCTCCTTCTCTCCCATCTCCCTCTCACGATAAAATGACAATCTCTATGCATGATTTAGGGGAACATTGCAAGACCAGGGAGTTAATGCTAGTGACATGCTTAGCACAAGCAGCTGAAGGATCATAATTCAGTGCTGACATCTGAGCTAATCCACTAGTCTGCAGAATCTCCAGACGAGCAGGCCTCTGGATTTCACTTCGTTAAATCATTTGTGCCCCACTTGTCTGTTAAGTGCTATGAGCTCCAGGGAAGAAAGATGATATGTAAATTTAAGGAATTAGCAGTAGACATCAGTCAGAGAGATGCTGAGCTGCAAAGCGCCTGTCACTGACAGAGGCCTGATTAGAACCAGGGACATCATGAAGGAATGACTCAGACCAGGAAAAGCCCAAGGAAGGGAGAAGAAGAGCAGGGGGAAAGGAATGAACACATTGAACACCTGCTGCCTGTGCGCGATCACACGGGAGGCTTTACCTGCCTCCCCTGATGTCACCTTCCCTGTGAAATCTAGCTCTGCAAAATAAATACCATCTTCTCCATTTTCACCAAAAAGAAACTGAGGCTCAGAGAATTGGAGTGACGTAGGATTTGAATCCTCATTGGACTCAGTAAACCTGCCACAGCATAGCTTCTCATCTGGATTGGACTCCCAGCCTAACTCACTAAGCTTTTAAAGCCTCAGTCTTTCCATCTGTAAAATGGATACAAAGACAGTCTTACTGCATAGAGTTGGGGGAAGAGTAAATGGAATGAGCCATGTAAAGTGCTTTGCACAGTAACAAGGACACATTAAGAGCTCAGGAAAAGTTGTTACTATTAATATCACTCTACACACTCCCTCCTATGCTTGCCTTTATTTTACTAGGAAACAAAAAGGATAGAAAGACCACCAATAACCCAGGAAGGCCAATCCAAGACTCAAAAAGAAGTATGTTTGGCATGAGGGCAGTAAAGATGTTCTCTGGACAAAGACTGGTTCCCCTTATCTGCTCTTTCTCCAGAAACCAGCCGGCCCCAAGTTTTCCATCACCACAGGTCTTTTGTGTTGCTTCACAGTAGATGAAATAAAATATTACATGATCCTGGAACAAGAGTGGGACCTCAAGTGATCTTAGGGCAGGCCAGTCCTGCCTCCCGGAGGAACCGTGCCAAAAGCATCCAAGAACAGCTGTCCACCCTTTGCTTTAAATTCTCCAGAGAAGGAGTTTCCATAGGCCACGTCTGTAGTGTGTTTTCTAGGTTACAACCCTAACCATCAGAAACTTCTTAAATTCAGTTTAAAGTTTTCCTGCTGTCATTTAGAGACATTTCCTCCTTCTACCCCTGATGGAGCATAGCCAATTTCTGTTTTCCAACTTAGAGACATTTTCACTTGTGAAGAATTAAGACTCGTAGTCTTTGCTTCCCTAGGAACCCTTGCCCCTTCAAATGTCTACTTCCTAGGGCATGGTTCAAATGTCTACTTTCTAGGGCAGTGTTGGTTTTCCACTGACCCTTCTTCCAAGCTATTATAAATGCTTCAGCTCTTTTAAGTCATGGCACCCACACATAGATATTGAGATCAAACACGTGCTGCAACTGAAGTTTGTTCTTCTGGAATCTCCCGATTTATGGCCCACCACTGTCAGACACAGAAGATGTTCTAGGTATACAGTGGCTACTGATTACTTGGACCGTCAAAAGAGCTGGTATGGTGGGGGCGGGGGGCTACTTTTTTATTTACTTGAACCTTGAGGTAAAGCCCTTTGGATTGTCAAGAGGTCGCCTGAACGTGACAACTGACCAGCTAAGAACCAGCCCTGCCTGTTCTTGTAGCTGATGGCTATGATGCCGGCAATGGACAGCTTCCAAGAAAAAGACAATGGAAAGGAAATATGTTCCATTGCTGAAAGAGATTGAAGAAATAATGTCCCAGAGATACAATTCCTCTCCTCCTGGACCTGACATACTTGGGAGGCATTTCGCTGGGTCCTTGACCCAAAACATCTGTTGTTGCCAATGATACAGGGAAAACAATCGCCTGGGAATGAACAACAGGAGTTCAAAAGGGTGAAGAGGAAGTACAGAGGACAGGGCCATTCAGCATTTTAACCTGCTGCTGTCTCTGGAAAGGTCTCTTGATATTTCACCTGGCGATTTACGGCCGCATCTGGCTTCAGCTGCTTAAGTGTCATGTGAACACGTGACTGCGACTGGCCCAACAGCAATGGAATCAGTTGTGTCTACACCTCACCAAACCCTGAAATAAATCACCAGCTTGATCCTCCTGGCTATCACAAAGCCAAACACACCATCTGTCCAACACGCACATCTCCTGGCTAGCATCTTGCCCTCCTACTAGAACGACCATCTGAAAGAATATTTAGTGCTGTAGGAGATGTAGTCTCTTTGCATAGTCCATGCTTAAAACATGAGTCAGCCCTCAGCTGGCCTTCCAAGGTCTGCCTATCTCTGCTAAGGTCCTCAAATTAGCAACCAGTTAAGGGAAACACTGACTTTGGATAAACTTAGCAAGATGTTCTCAAGGTTTACAATAGACCATTTTGTGGACATGAAGGTTTCAGTCCTAGCCCTTGCAGGAATCTACCCAGAGCTGTTTTTTCACTCTGCCGGCTTTCATGAAGGTTTTGCCATTGAGGCTGTCTTGTCATTCTGCCCCTTCGTTATCAATCCACACACTGCTGGGGGACTCAACCAATCATGATTTGCAGGAAAAAAAAAAAAAGGGTAAAGAAAGCTTCTTCCTGCTGTTATTTTTTTCTGCAAAGCCTGGGATGTTTTTCTACCTTCCTTAAAGAAGGGCCTCTATCCTTTTCTTTTCCAGTTGAAATTATTCCTTGACTATTGGCTTTCTTTTAGCCAAGCTGCTCCTGATCTTTAATTATCTATCATGGTCCAGAGCCCAGGAAGTTCTGTCTCTGGATTTGCAGTGTCTGTGCCCCAGCCAAGCCACAGCAACCTCTTTCTGAAGACAGTTCAATCTAACAGCAATTCAATGGATTGTTTGCTGCCATCGGTCCCACCTGATCTTTTGAACTCAGAGTTGCTTTTCAATTCAGTCACCACTTGCTCACTGTCTAAAATCAAGCCCATTATGAGTAAATTCACTCATCAGTTATTTCCTCTGATTTCTCTGCAACCATCCACTCACCATACCCATCCACACTTCACTTAATCTTCTTGTGTGCGCCTCCACCGTGAATCATGGCTAAGGTCTCCCACTCTAACGGAATTCATTCAATGGCTCAGTCTGCATCAAAATAGCCCCAGTGAGGTGTTAACAATCTTACTTCTTACATTTGAAGGAATAGCCAGCCACTGTTTGTAAAATTTGGGTATTTTATAACATTAAGATTCTCGACTTACTCCCATTTGAGCTTGTTTTTGAGCCTAGAGTAAAGGTTCTGTTCCCTCAATCCCATAGGCTTTGACCAGGCAGTCAAAGCTCTGTTCAATATCAGCTTCGCTTGTTTTCTTTCTATCACTTTCATGATTGAAAGTCATTGAAGTAATACTGTAATCAGATTTCACAAGGCCAACCCACGAATAAAAGAGCACAGATTTAGGGGGAACACACACTGGAGGATTCTGAAGCTGACCTGGCCTAGTACCCTTTACCTCATCTTCTTTGTCTCATTCCTGACAATAAAAATGACACAACAATCACAATGATGATGATTATTGACCTTACTTAGTATTAATATTTACTTACAATGCTCTTTTTGATTAATCGCAATAGTTCCTACACCATCTAATGCCATGTTACTTGCTTACTTTACTGTAGTTATCTAGTGAGGGAGAATGAGACAGCTATAAAGATACCAGCCACTGAACACTCCATCAAGGGATCCCACAGAAGACACATCCCTCCATTACTTGCTTCTTGGTTCATACCAAAACCAGGGAACTAAAGAATCATCAAGGGCCCCTGGTGGTTGCTCTCATGTGAGTGTCCAAAGCACTGGAGCAGTGTTGTCCAATACATTCTGTGATGATGCCGTGTATACAGTGACGTGCCCTGTCTATGCACTGACCAATACAGTGTAGCTACTGTGCCCTTGGAATGTGGCTGGTGGGACAGCAGAACCGAAGTTTTGGCTGTAATCATTTTAATTAATTAAAATAAAATTGCCACACATGGCTCATGGCTACAATATTCAATGCTGCAGCTTTAGATACCTGCCCGCCCTATGAGTTTTTGTCTCGGTTCTTAAAGGCTGGGCTTTGATCATTCTCAAAACTCTGTCTATGTTCAAAGCACCTGAGAATGTAGGAAACATGCCATCTCCTAGTAAGGGGGTGCTTCCTATGTCATTGTCACTACAGAGGAAAGCCAAAGTGGCCTCTTAGAGAACACTGAGTGTTCCTCCGCAGCTAGCAGGGGTCACTGAATTTGGAACAGGGTCCCCAGAGGCTGGTGTGAACACACTCCAGGCAGCTAAGCCACAAGCAAAGAGCTAAAAACAGAAATTCTGACTGGCTTGAAAGACTATCTTGAAAAACAAAAACAGTGGAATGAAACCAGTGGGTGCTTTTCAGCCTTAGGCAACCACTGGCCAAAAAGAACAGAACTAATTGCTTACTTAAAAGGAAAAGGAAAGGAAAAAAAAAGAAAGAAAATATGAGAAAATAATGAAATCAGAAAATATCCGAGGAATGTAAGCAGTTTCCACATAGGGCCCGTGTTGGGTACTTCAACACGGCTAGCTCCTCTCCCATCCACCTTTCTCTTCACCCTGACGCCCCTCACACTTGACAGAGACACCTCCTTTCTTAAATTTCATTACTTCTGTTTGCCTATCTCATCAGGGGATGAAGCATATGGCACACGCTCGTGAAGAGTGGGACGGTCCCCTCTGTGGATGGCAAAG
Organism: Homo sapiens; assembly: GCF_000001405.40. Taxonomy (NCBI): domain Eukaryota; kingdom Metazoa; phylum Chordata; class Mammalia; order Primates; family Hominidae; genus Homo; species Homo sapiens. The sequence goes on along the minus strand of NC_000002.12, from coordinate 205,755,751 downwards.
TGTGGCACACAACAGGCTTTCAGGCTGACTCTGTGGGCGCCAGCCGCTCTGAACCCATTAGCAGTTGCTCTGCCCCCAACCAAGCCAGCTGCTTCCCTTCTCCCCAATCCCCTCAGGGCCTCCCCCTCCTTTTTTTTTTTTCCCTATGGAGAAGAAGTAAGGACCACCCTGAACAGAAAGGGCTTTCTCTCCTCTCCTGCTTAAAGCCCAATATCAAGCTCTGTAGGGAGAAGGAAAATGGGAAATACAGAGAACGGTTCATAAAGTCATCAGAGGATAGAGGGAAGGGCTCTGAGAACAATATTATGATTTTGTTTCCTGGAGGCAGGTTATAAGTGCCACTTTCCCAAACTTCGGGATTCCTCTGGAATAGGAAAATAATTACTTTCCCTTTCAATATCTTAAGGGAGGAACAACATTAGATTTAGCAGTTCCTTATGGCCGTAATTTTCTCTCTGTCCCCATCCATTCAGCCAAAGGTTGGAATTCTGCCCACTTTGTGAGCTTGCTCTGAAAAGCCCTCCCAAACCACAGGGTATAATGAATCAACTGGAAGGAGGACAAAGACTAGAATTCCCAACCAGTAGCAAAGGTCAACCATAGGGGCTTTCGGGTGAAGGCCAGGACTGGACGAGGAGGAGGCGGTGGTGAACGGGTGAAGAAACAGAGGTCCAGGCCAGGGTCAAAGGGAGGTCACTTAAGCTCCCCTGGAGCTGTGACTCAGTAATTGGTGGCCTTGTGGCCTGGGTAGGGCTGCCCTCAGACACTCCCAGAGAAAATATGCTTAGAAGAGTCAAGGGAGGAGGCCAGAATCATTAGAATGAACCTGAGGACAGACACTGAATAAGAGCCAGCCAACCTCCCCAGCCTGCAGAGGACCCCGGCTATATCCTTTTATTCCAAGCGCCTCTGCTGAGGTACATACCACACAGACACACACACACACCCATGCACAGAAACCACAAACACACTCATGCACACACACATTAACACTAGAATACCCACACCTACACAGACCCCACAAACCTTCTTTACATTCAGATAAAACATGGGGGTTGGGAACAACCATGAATTAATTGGATGCAGTCTCAAAGGAGTGGAAATGAAATGAAAAATCCAGGCTGGGTTATAAAAATAAGTATTTTTTCCCAACGTGCAGGAGGCTCATTATATTAATTAAACATTATTGCAGTGAACAGAGAAGGGAGGGTGATTAAGGCTGGACTGGGGTAAGTGTTCTCTTCTTTTGCCTGAGGCTGTGGTGATCTTCAGATATTAATCTCTCTGAGCACTCAAATGCTGAAGAGATAAACACTTGAAATATGAAAATGTTTTTCTCCGGATCAGGCACTGTGACCCTCCAGGGAAGCAAGTGTGGACTGTGTCAGGAGGCCAGCTCCAAGTGTTCTCCTAGCATCTGTCCCACTGCCCCCACCGGGAAGAAGGGACACGCCAGTGCTTGGGGTGAGAAGCAGTTCTAAGGAAGCCTGCAGAAGGGAAGGTCCCTTTCCCTCTTTTATTTTCTAGCCTTTTCCTATTGTACCCTGGCAAACTGATCTACTAAATTTCCGGAATTCACCCCTCTCCTCTCCAGTGCTTATGGAGGTCTCAGGTCCAGGCCAGAAGTACAGGAGAATTCAAAGTCACTCAGTGCTGTGCTAGATCCAAGGTGTACCAGCTTGTGAGAGCTGCTTGTCAAGTGTTTTGCAAGCCAGTTGTTAAATGTATTCATTAGTAAAAATTAAATTATATAAAGCTATAATTCAATAAATTGTATTAAAAAACAAAGGTAACAAATCCTCAAAACTCAACACTTGCTAGTTATCTTAATACATTTTATCAGTAGCTATACTTCTGGAGTCATTTCTGTCTACTGTATTTGCACAATGGAAAAAAAAACTATATAATGCTCTCTTACTGACTTCTCAACTCCATCTCCATTGATGTTGTGTTGGTAGCTTAAGCTCAGCTATGGTAAGGGTATTTACACCACTGAAAGTGACAAACGTTAAAAAGCAGTTTATTTTTTAATCCCTAAAAAGCCTATTGTTAAACATTTACCATCATACTGCTGTGAAAGCACGTAACAGCAGAGATAGCAGACAACTCTTGCTACCTGTTTAGAAGGGATAGAGGCAACCCCTTCTTGTCAGCAGTGCCAGGAGAAGCTTCTGAAATCTGGCTTTCTGAAACTAAAATGGTGGGCTTAACAATGTATCCAGGACTTACAGCAATACTCTTCTAGAGGCCAAGTGCCAGGCAGCTCTGCTAGATACCCATGGGTGTGGCAGCATTTTGGTCCCTCAAATTGACTTGGTGTAGAAGCAGTGGCACCCTCAGAGACGTATAAATCAAACTCAAGGCCAGTCATCTCCCAATGAGCCATTTTAGGAACAGTACCCAGCTCGAAGTTGACAAGGGGCTCTGTGATAATAGCAGTGGGTGCTGGCTATGGGAACAAGAGGACACTGACTCGTGCCCCATCTCCTAGGGCCTCCCAATTGTCCCTTTTTTCTTTCTCCTCTTTCTTCTATCTTGGCTTCCGCTTCTCCCTCCCAGCTTCCAGGCTGTGCTGTAATCACAAGAGAGGCTGGGAACCACCAACTGGCTATTCTTTGAGGTGACGTCTTGAGCAAAGACTGTGGTGGTTTGTGGGCAAAGAATAGAGGATTGCTGTGCGGTGGGAAGTTATGAAGCTTGTAAGGGAATCTGGGGTTGAAGTATGTGGAACAAGCTGGCCTTAACTCTTTCATATCTTCACTCACAGCTGGCTTACCTGGAAACGTCCGGTCGTTTGGGCTGGAGCTGCTGGCCCAGGTGGTCCGGAGCCACTTGGCATGGTCATACATCCAACCACAGGGCTCCTCGAGGAAATCGAAGTTGCAATTGAATCCCGAAGGGAGCTGCAAATCTTTGTCTAAAAGGGGAAAACAATAACCCAAAGGAAGGCAAATGAAATGGGTTCAGAGAACAGCCACAGTGGTACTATTTAAATGGCTGGCAAGGCCTGAGTGGAGAGCAGAGAAAGAAGTGGCTTCCTTTGCTTATTCATTTAACTCATCTTGGCGATCGCTGGCTTTCGGGTCAGGCTTTGGTCTCATCCTTCCCAGGCATGAAAGCCAAGTCTGCCAGTGGTTCCCATAGTAAGCAATTATGAATGAGGCTACCAAATGGCTTCAGGCTCTAATCAGCCTCTTCTGTCCACCTCGGAGAGCAGACAAATGTGAAAATTGCTGTTCCCTAAATGCCAGAGAAGAATGTCTCCCCAGTGCCCTGGTGGAAGGCTGGCTCCCAAAAAAAGTATTATCTCATCTCCTGCCAACCTGGCTCTCAGAGGAGATGGGGCAGCCCATTAGCATCCAGAGAGACTGAAATCCCTGGGAGGTTCTGCCCAGTGAGGAGAAAGTGACCTCAGAAACAAGGAAGGCTTGTTTGCTACACTTCACCTCTTTGTGATCCGTCTCTATTTCTGAAGACTGGGACAGTCCAGCATCTCCATGGGGAGGTATGCCCGGTGGGAAATTTGGCATGGTAAGAGCAAATCGAAGGGACCAGACCAGCCAGCTTCTCAGCTCAGTGCTGGCCAGGAGGAAAAATAATTTCCCATCATGCTGAATCCCTGGAGGCTGCGACCCCGGGAGGTAGAGAATGCTTTCCCTATGGGAATCCAGGAACTAATGACACAGTGGTGTCCTGTCTGCTTTGATGGTTCACCTGCCTGAGCCTGAAGACAGAACCAAGAGAGTTTCTTCTGAGGTTCCACCCAGCTCCAAAAATCCAGTATGAGCTAATGCCAAATATGTGACTAAGTGGGGGTGGTGTGGACGTGGGGAAAGAGGAAATGGGAACCCAGATTTGGTTGTTTGCCGGCAGTGCCTGCGGAGACAGTGGAAAAATGTTGGCTAATGTTGGTAGCAGGGAGAAAGTGGGGTCTCTGCCCTTCTCACTTCCCTTCCCAGGGTTCTTAGAGAGGAATTTCCCTGGGGAAGGCTTAGAATGCAGGTTAGGAAGTCTAAAGGGAGCCACGGACTGGTAGAAACAAATTACTCACCCTAGGGGTGAGGAGGGCTCACCTCATGGGGGGCAGGGCACTGCTGGCGTCAGAGGGAGGAGGAAGATTGCCACCAGGCCCTGTAAATGCCTTCCCTTTCCAGGACAGGATATTTAATGTTTGCCCACCCTTGGCCAAAGTCAGCTTGAGTTTAGAAGAGACACATGGAATCTATTACAGAAGCATCAACCTGTGGCTTGGAAAAGTCAGCCCTTAGCCTTTACCACCCCTTCTCCTGACAATTTCTGAATTTCTATTTTTCTCTTCAAAAATACGAAGTAATTCAATATAGCATAAATCCTCTGTAATGTTTACATGTATACTGTATCTCAGGAACCAAATTCTACAAAAAAAACTTTTGCAAAAAGAAAAGGGAGGAACCATCAAAGAAACCTCAAATGAAACAAACCACTAGAAACGGGAAAATCATATTAAAAATAAACTTCTGAAATTTTGCAGCAGAACCCTTAATTTTTCCTTTGATTGTCATTTAGCTAGAACCCCCACTCCAGGTCCCCCAACAAGCTAACTCTGTAAATCCAATATCGTATGTTAACTCCCTATGCATTCCACTTTTGGCTCTCAAACTATCTGAAACATGTCTTGGAAGATTCTCCAAGTCTCCTTCTTCTCTCCATAAAACAAAAACAAGTTCATTAAAATGTCAGAATTCTGTATTCAACTAACCCCGACCAACAGTGTCCCCCACCCACACAATAATATGAAAGCACAATCCCCAAAGCATATGCATTAAATTATTGCTTTTTCAGTCACATAACTTCAGCATTTATTCTTGGCTTTCCTCCCATTCTTCTTTGTAGCCATTTTCTGGAGTCATCCACTCCATCAGTGTAGTTCCTCTAACTGTCAAACGGCTGTGCTTGCAGGTTCCACAGATTTTGCCATCTACCTATATCTTTATGTCTCCATCACTTCTCTAGTCTCTTTGCCAATCTTCCCTCATTTTGTTTAATGAACATTTAATAATGATCAGTAATTTACTGTAAGTTGAGGCTGTCAAGCTTAACATTCTAGCCAAAATGCCAGGTGTTCCAAAATTTGTGGTTTCTTATAAATGTCCTCATACTTGGTGACTTTAGCAGTATGATTTAAAATGTGACTGACTTTTGGATTCTGCCAATTATTGTTTTTATCTAACTTGGATATACTCCGAAGATAAATGAAAAGAATTTCCCATGTGATGGGACCCATCCAGAAATGCGGAGCCCCTGAGTTTTGAGGGAACGGTTGAAGATGCCTTTTTACATTTCCGCCTTTGTCTCTGATCTGCACTCCAGTTATAGAGGATACAGTGCACTATCTTATAGAATCATCACTGTTATACTTTCTCAAATTGGTGGCGGTGAAAGACACAGGGAAACACAATTAAGTCACAGGTAACTGCTGGATTAACCCAACTATCGCGCTCCATCACCCAGATGACTGCCGTATCTTCACTTCGCTGTAGCATACACACACAGCTTAACAGGAAAAACTATCAGAGCTGTGAATTCTAAGGATAAGAATGGTTCTCCTTTAGCAGACAAGCAAGATAGTGAGGGCTCAACAAATGAGACTCCTCAAAAGAGGAGTTCTCTTTGGAGTCATCCTTGTCTCACCTGATGTCTAGTGGGTTCACACCAGTAGGGCTGTACTGGTTGTTACACTATCCAAATGCTTCTACATTGGTTGTAAACAGCCACTGCCCCAAACCCCTAAGTGCCCCCACCTCTCTTACCACTTCTTTGAGATCCCCTGGATCTCTGATCTGGGGGACCACTAGGTCCCTGTCCAGCCACAGGCCAGCTCCCACTCTGACTAGTCCGCACCCATGCCATCTGGAGGCAATTTGTGCTTACCATCCTCAAAGCTGCAGTTCTCCCCACACTCTGTGGCCTCCTCTTCGGTGGGGTAGGGGGTGGTTGTCTCTTCGCTCTTCACAGTGGGTCCCAGCGTCTCTACCGTGGGCTTGGAGTCTGTGTAAGGGCAAAGGAAGATAAGAGAATGCTGTAGCAGCCTGTGTTGCAACCCAGCAGGAGGAAGATGCCAAACATCTCTAGAGAAGGGAAAGAAGATGCACACATGTGCACGGAACTCTGAAGTCATGTCTGTGTGCTGTCAACGAAGTCAGGGGCATCACCATAGTAGAATGAGAATGGTCCTGGGTTGCAGAACCAGCAGTGACAGAGGTAGGGACACAAACCCACATTCTTTACTCCACAGCAGAGGCCCCGAGTTTAGCACAAAAGGCCACGAGACAATAATGGAGGGGGCTACAGGCGACGCTGACTCCAAGGAAGGACCAAAGCACACTCTGGCTCATGTTTGCACAAAACTGGATGGACGGGAATATGGATTTAAAGAGGCTCAGACCCTACATGGTGAAAGTGATTTGGGGCTATGTCTTTAGGTCAGGGTGTGGCAAGTTCAAGTGTTTCCTGGATCCAAACACCTACTGTAAGTGAGGAAAGCAGACGTGGTTGTGAGGGCAGGGGAAGGTTGGAGAGAGAGGAGGTGGTGAAAGCTGGGATCTTACATGCCTGGTTTAAAGGTGGCCTCCATGACTGGCTCCAGCAGACTGGGGCCTGGAGGGGAGGTGGCCCAGTGTGGCCAGGCCAGGTCTTCCAAATCTTTCCCCCTTTCCTTCCCCCAACAAGAAAGCAAAAATCCCTAAGTAAAATCTCCAGACTCTACATGTTGGCAACTTATTAAAAATGTTATACTAAGTAGCACACAATGAACCCTGGCTAGGCCAAACCTGGCTGCAGGCAGGGGGTTTTGACCTCAGCTCTAGGTGATTCATTCACCTATTCATTTGCTTATTTGCTCATGCCCGTCATTCATTCAGCAACTATTGAGGGAGTGAATGGAGCTATGAGTCAGGCCCTGGGTGGGGTGAAAGGGGTTCTGGAAACTGGTGCTCAAGTCCATGTGTTTTGGGGTGGTGTCTTCATCCCAGAGCTGTCCTCCAACAGGATGCCAGTGCCTTGTCCCTCTCATTTCTATACATGCTCCTTTGCACTACTGTATGTGATTAGGCGCCTTTGTCAGGCACCCTTCAGGATACCATTTAATAAAGCCAGGAGCTGGAGGAAATTGCTAAATACGCTGAATAGCTTTTTCACGGTCGGCTTCCCACCTTTCTGCTATTAAATACTACGCACATAACCTTTCATACTTCCCTTTGCTGTGTCTGCCTTTTGCTCACAGTAAATAGCAAATAACCTCGAAGTGTCCTAATTTGTAAGTTCAAGTTTGTCACTGTGTCATAGAAACTCGATTGTAAAGCAAACTATGGGGCAGTAAGGCAAAACATAATTATTTGAAACACAAACCAACTAACAGGTGAAGCAGCCCTGTCAAAGTATTTAGCTGCAGCAGCTCAGCCCAGCCCATTATTTTTCCTGTTATCCTTTGGGATAGGGATGAAGAAGTGAACCGAAGATGAGTGTGAGAAACAGATGGAAATTCGAAAAGCAAACATAGCCACGTGACCTATGGAGAACAGTTTCTGGAAATGTTAGGTAGCAAAATGGGTCAGCTGATTGGTGTAAAGAATGTTAAACCCAGGGGCCAATGAGGCACCGGAGGGCAGGGCGTGTAAATGAAAGTGGAGGAACGGCGGGCACCGAGGCCTCGGTGTTTATACTGTTTGTACTATGTTTGTACTGGGTGCTCCAAGGTAACTGCCCATCAAACAGCAACGCTACCCCTGAAATTGAAACCAGATGTCAGAGACTTCAAAGGAAAGGAGGCTGGGCAGAGGGGAACGCTCCTCAACTCTGATCTTCCAAGGAATGGCCAGGCAGGGCTTTGAAATAAGAAACCTGTCACTGACCATCACCAGTGTAATTTGGGGCATGTTGGGATTGGGGAGCAATGAAGGAAAGAGGTCATTAGCAACTGTCCCACTGGCCAGACTGGGAGGGCATGGCACTGAAGGGCAAGGGATGGGGGGAAGAATGAGGTGGACTTCATCCAGCTGAGTGACCTCTGGCAAGTGACTTCTACCTTCTGGGGCTGTTTCCTTGTCTATGAAAGAGGAATTGGCCCAGGTCTGTGATATTTCCCAAACCACGCATCACTCTCATCATTGGGTTGTGGAATCCGTCGAATAGGTCATGACCAGCTTTTAAAACATACCGACTATAATATTTTGGAGTGCACTTCCATGGTTAAGATGACCATTGCTTTGGGAACCTTTTGTTTCAGTTACAGTTATTTATCATAACAGGTTTGCTGGGTGCAGGCAGTAGTCTAAGTATTTCACATCCATTCATTCATTTAATCCTCACAATGACCCTATGGGGTAGACAGACTATTGTCCTCTCCATTTTTCAGCTAAGATAACCAAGGCGCTGAGAGACTAACTTTTCTGAGGTTATGCAGCCAGCCAATGGCAGGGGCAGGACTTGAACTTGGCAATCTGTCTCCAGAGTCCAAGCACTTACCCATACACTGTACCCCGTATACACCACTGTGTGTGAGTGCTTATAAGTGAAGCGGGTTGTGAAGGAAAATTATTTTAAATTGTGTATCATGGGCAGAAGTGTGTGAAAGCCACTGGCTTACAAGCTCCTGGATCCCCTACAGCGCTGAGCCCCTGATTCCAGGGCACATAAATGAAGCCAGCTTGTATCGGGGGGAGGTTTTCTGCACCTGTGAGAGGACGGGTGACACACGTTTAGCAGGCTGCAGGGAACTTTGGCCTCATCCCCAGGTAATGGGGAGTTAAGTGTCTTCCTATGAAGATGTGTTCGCTGGGGCTGCCTTCAATTCAAAAGTGAGGAGGCTAATTTGGGCCCAATTCCCAGCCCGTGTGCCTCAACAGGGCTCCTCTGCGCTGCTGTAGCCAGCATACAGGCAGCATTTTTCTCCCTGGGAGCCAAAAGCACTTCTCCGACATGCCCTTATTAATCCCTCATGCCATCCTGCCGGCTGAGCCCGTGACAGGTACGGCACAGACAGGAAAATGGGGATACCTGGGGCTCTGGCGGAGGAGGGCAGGATAGCTCAGGCTGGTGGCTGCTCCTGCTGGCATCAGGCTCAGTCCCTGAGCCCCAGTGGCTCCCACAAACTCCTTTTGGCAGGCAGTGAGTGAGCTCTGGGTAAGATCTGGTGCCAGCTCTGCTGAGGGAGGAGGGCTGGCGACCCAAGGAAAGGAAGGTAGGGCCTGACTCAGAAGGGCAGGGCCCTCCCTCGGAAACCAGGAAGGCTGGGCACCCTCCGTGGGCCTCACCCTCATTTGGAATGATGAGAGGTGTTCCCCAAGGCCTGGGCCACCTGGCAGGAATGAGCAGGACAATGAGAAGGAGTCCTGCCCCCATCAGCTCCCTGCAACAGGGTCCCTCCTGAGCAAATAAATGCCTTTTACAGATGTGGCTCCGAAATGAAAATGAAGTCTCTTAGCCACTGACATCTGGAGGCCAGATTCAGACATAAACCGATTACTTTATTATCATGAGGGGTTTTTTTCTTCCCTAAATCAACAGCCACAGCCCTCTGGCCTGAAGAGCCAGGGTCTAATTGAATTTGGGTGGGTGGTGTGTGGTTATGATTTGTTTTTGAGAGACTCGGGTTGGAGAACTGAAATGATCCCTTAAAAAAGACAAAGTACATCCCTTGAGAAACTGTCCCAAGTCCAGAGGCTGCAGTACCCGTGGTCTGAGGCAGGAGAACATGGCAGGGGTCTGCAGCATTTCCAGCTCCTGGGATGGCTGCCCCCTCCACAGCCCTCCCAGGGCCTCGTGGGATGCCAGGGTCAGAGGACCATGTGGGTGAGATGCAAAGAGGAGGAAATGTCATCTTACCTGTCCAGTCACAGCCCAGCACCTCCAGCCGCATCCCAATCCCCGCCGGCGACCACCTCTCCGGGTATACCCGCACATACTGTGCCGGAATGGGGTCAAACCTTCGGATGTCAGGGGTGTCATAGTGCATGTTCCCTTCGAACAGCTGCAGGGAGAGAGGCCACTCAGCCCTTCTGGTGTGGGACCCAGTCCCTATCACCTTCTTCCCTTTCCTTCCCCTTCTCCTCCCTGCCCCGCACGTCCTGCTAGGAAGGCAGCTTCCTAGTTGATTCCTGGTCACTGGGACATTCTGATCCACGCGAGCTTCATTTTCAGACCAAGGATTTTATTCATTTGGAAGGTGGTTATGGACCCAGAATTATGGAAAATAGGAAGTAAACAAAGGTGGCAATTTCCAGGTTGTGTCTTTTACCTGGTGACTAAAATGGAGTATCTGGGGAAGAATTTGGCTCCAACTGCGTTTTCAGCTGACTTTGGCTAGAGAGGGGGGAAGGCAGTTTGGGCGATCTTTGACCGTTCTGAATTCCTGGTCTACAGGGAAAGGAACACTTCTTTTTCTAATGTGTGAAAGCCTCCATTGAGGTAACCCAAGCTGACTGATAGTTCCTAGCTCACTGAGAACCTTACGGGAAAATGACCCCTAGGCCAATGACACTGTCTTCTGGTCACACATCGATAGTCTTAGACTGTTTCCCAAACCTTTGTTTAGGGAAAGCACTCCTGTCAAAAGAAACCTCACATGGAGCCCCAGTACATAAAACTGATGATGCGGGGAGCAGGGGGCTGCTTTGGAGGACCAGCCTAGAGTACACTTGGAGACACTCATCCGGGGGAAGGACAGGAGTGGGTGGCCAGGGCCTGCAGCTGATTAGCCCCCAGAAATTCAGCAGGACCGCTCCAGTTTTCAGGATGCCCTGCGTCCACAATTCTGAACCAGAAGCACTGTCTCGGATAGGGCTGTCTCCCACAATGGCAAAGATCAACTTCTTTCCCAAGAAAAACCAGGCTCAGCTCTCCATGGGGAAGCCTGCGGTCCAACTTCTGCTCCATCGATGCAAGGTTCCAGTTACCAAGCCCTGAGCCTTTCTAAGCCTCTGGAGTTGAGAGCTGGGAGTTTACCTCAGCATCGCAAAACCTCCAACCCAACTCTTGCCTCTGTATTCAGAATGGAGACATTTGCTTAGCAAAGGTGGCCCCGAGACATGCAAACTCCCTCCTTTTTTAGGGACCTGTTCTTTTGAGAAAAACAAGGGGTAACTAGAGATAAGAATCAGAGAGCCTGGCCTGCCAGGAGACTGATCTGGGGAGGGACAGAGGTATGACGTCTCCTCCCCTTCTGGGGCTCCTTGTGTCTGTGTTGAAGGCTGACCTTCACTCTGGTGGCAGGGGAGTAAGCTGTACTGGCCTGAGCTTCTGGCTCGGGGTGAGTTTCTCTTGCTTCTCCCTTGCCTCAGTCTGAGAGGCCGGAAAGATCTAAGCAGTCAAAACTAGGAGAATACAAAGGAATGCAGCGACATTCAGAAAAACATCGTTATTTTTGGAAGTCATCCTCTAGTTTCTATAGCTTGGCCTCCAAAAACCACATCCCCTTTAGATGTCTGGCCAATTTCAAGGAAACTTTATCTGAAAGAGTGTATAAAGAGTGTTGAACTTTATAAAAAGGCAGTGTTCAGTAGGGGTTAGGCATCTGGACTTTGGAGTCAGACTTCCGGTTTCTGAATCGGCTCTATCACAGGTGAACTGTGTGACCCTGGGCATGATATCAAGTGTCAGTTTATCATCTCTAAAATGGGAGTGACAAAAAGATCTACTTTGCACAGATGTTGTAACGATTAAAAAAGAGTCCAGGCCGGGCGCGGTGGTTCATGCCTATAATCCCAGCACTTTGAGAGGCCAAGGCAAGTGGATCACTTGAGGTCAGGAGTTCGAGACCAGCCTGACCAATACGGTGAAACCCCATCTCTACCAGAAATACAAAAATTAGCTAGGTGTGGTGGCGGGCACCTGTAATCCCAGCCACTCAGGAGGCTGAGGCTGGAGAATCGCTTGAACCCTGGAGGCGGAGGTTGCAGTGAGCCGAGAACAGGCCACTGCACTCCAGCCTGGGTGACAGAGACTCCATCTCAAAAACAAACAAACAAACAAACAAAAGAGTCAGAAATAAGGTATTTAGCACAGTGCCTGGCACAAAGTAATCTCTCAAACGATATTTGTTTTATTGGATTTCAGGAGTTGGATGACGACTGTTTAGATGGGACATCATCAGTCTCAACTCCCTGTACCACACTTAGCCTCCCTGTTGAGGGTAACGTTACAGAGGCCTCCAAGAACAGCCTACCTTTGGCTGCTGGGTCCTGGGGTCCTGAATGTATTCCCAGTCCTTGCCGTTTAGGCTGTAGGAGACTTTGAACTTGCGCACAAATGCTCTGGCTTCCACAGCAGTGATACTGTCTCCTCCGCGGGCTCCCTGGATGATGACACCTTTCACTGTCTTGGGTGTTCCCAGATCTACCTGAAGCCACTCCTCACCGGGCTGGGCCTGAGGGATTCGAGGGAACCAGCCCGAGCGGCTGCTAACCAGGCGGGCTGCACTGGGGCTCCAGAGGTATTCCTGGGTGGAAGAGGCGGAGATCTGGGAGTCTGCAATGAGGCCTGAGAGCATCCCCAGCATGTTGGAGCAGGGAGCATCTGCAGAGAGGAGAGGAAGATACAAGAGGTCATGGCTGACACCTGCTAACCAGGGACCACCCGCTATAAGAAGGGAGCTGCAAAAGAGCCCAACTGTCAAATACTAAGTCAGCACTAATTTCTTTGCATGGTGAATGTGTACAGCACTGTGGTTAAGAGCCTGGACTCAGAGCTAGACTGCCTGTGTTCATGTTCACTCTGCCACTTACTAGTCAGAGGGCCTTGGGCAAATTATTTAATTGCTCTTTGCCTCAGTTTCCTTAGATCTAAAGGGGAGCTAATAGAGGTGCCTACCTCTTGAGGGCTGTTGCAAGGATTCTGTTAGTTACTAAGAGCTCACAGGATGGTGCCTGGCATATTTAAGTATCCAATGGCCATTAACTATTTGTGCTTACAGCTCTAACCAAGGACTCTCAGAATGTGTGTCTGCACATCCCTGTCGATGACACTAGTCCCCACTGACCCTATCAGGGACACTGAGAACAGGGGAACTGAGCTAAACATTGAATTATTTCCTAGTAATTGTTTTGCCAAGTAGAAGGAAACCTTCCTGGCATCAGTATCAGGTCTTTACTTCCCAAATAACTGCTCTTTACTGCCTTGGATCCTTCCCACATGCTGTTCCCATTACCCCAAATGCTTTTCCCTTCAGTCACCCCCAGACTAACATTTTCTTACCCCCAAGCTCAAGTGTCATATCCACAGAAAAGCTGTTCCCAAATTTTCAATCCTCACTAAATTGGTTTCCCTCAGAGCACCCTGTTCTTTTCCTTCATGTGCACATTCTAGTTTATCCAGTACTTGCATTTGTTTATTATCTATCTTGCTCAGTAGCCTGAAAGTTCTACGATGTCAGAGACCCCATCTATTTTGTTCCTGTCTCTATGTCCCATTCCCAGTGTGTGCCTGGCACATCAGATGTGTGGAACAAATGATTGAGTGGAGAATGCATGAATAAATGATGTCAGGCAAGGCAGGGTCTATAGTCAATGTGCATTTCATACTTGCAAACTGAGCTATGGATAAAAAAGATCCTCCACGTTGTTCCCCTTCTTCAAAATCACTGGTTCTCTCCTTTCAATCTTCCAGAGAATGACCTCTACCTAAATCTTTGCTGATTATCCTGGAACAGCAACAGGGAAGGGACAGAAAATAGTCCCCTAGACAGGATTAGCATAAACTGATCCCATTAGAAGAAAATGGGTCTTTGTGTAAATGTGGTAAGAGCAGAGAATTTGAATTGAGAAAACGTGGGTTCAGATCCTGGCTCTGTCACCTCCTAGTTGAATGACTTTGGGCAAGCTATTTAGCCTCTTTGAGTCTTGGTTTCCTTATCAGTCCCTGGCCCACCTTACCTCACAGGGTTGTTAGAAAGTGTAGGCAAGATGATAAACAAGAAAGGCATGTGGAGATGCAGAGACTGTACAAACACAAGGTGTTTTAACTAGAAACCTCAAACAGGGTCAGACCTTGGAGCACTCCCTGTCAGAGCTGGAATGATTAGGGGAAAGGCACGTGGATGGATGTACACTGAAGACACTTCCAGGTCAAAGAGGCAACTTGCCTGCCCTGGGCTGAGCCCACAAGATAAAGGGGATTGGTCTGTCCATAAATTTCTGGGGCTAATCCAGCCATCATCATCTCCCATCTGCACCCCCTGCATTGCCTCCTATAATGTCCCAACTCCCACTCTGGTCTTCTCCAATCTACATGCCTTGGGTTTCAGCCCACAAGCTGTGTCCATGCTCCTCACTTCCTCTTTTGGTCCCTCTTGCCACCGTGCCATTGAGAAAGCTGTGACCATTGCCTGGTGCACCTTCCCTCCCTTCTTCACCAGGTAATGTCTGTTATTTGCCTTCTAACCTCACCTCAATCATCACCTCCTCAAAGAAGTCTTCCTTGAGCTCCTAGGCTGGGTCAAATCCCCTACGATGTACTTCCAAGGACCATAAGCCTCTATGTCCAGACATTGATCATAGTTTTGATTTTATATTTATTTATGAGTTTATCAGTATGTCTGCCCAACTTGTCCATATGCCCACACAGAACAGTCTGTTGTGCCCACCTTTGTGTCCACAGCACCATGCACAGCTCTTGGCCCCCGGTTGAGGCAGCAGAGAGTGTTATTTGAAAGCAAGGGCTTTGGACTGGAACTGCCTAGATTCAAACCATGGCTCTACCACTTACTGGTGAGTGACCTAGCTCTTTAAGTCTTGGTTTCCTCATCTGTAAAGTGAGGAGAATAATACCCATGGAGTCCTTATGAGGATAATAAAATATGTTACATCTTAGGTGCTTAGAATGGCATCTGTACCTAGTTAGCATTCCATAAATGTTAGCTATTAATAGAAATCGTAGATGCTTAATAAATGTATACTGAATGAATGAATGAAAAGACAAACTCTGGTAGGACTTGAGTCCTTGAGCCAGTCTTTCTGGGAAGGTCATGTGGTGCAGTCATGCTGTTTGCAGAGAGTTGAAAGGGAGCAGAGCCTAGGGCTCAATCAGCACCCCAACCTCATTGGAGCCCCCACCTCACCTGTGACCCGGCAGCCGAAGAGCTCCAGCCGGAGGGCGATACCTGAGTGCCAGGTCTGAGGGCGGATTCTAACAAACCTTGTCAGCAGTGGAGCGTGGAGCTTGTTCAGAACCACCTCAGTTGCATCGTTGTTGGCTTGAAATACCTGTAGCGTAAGATGCAAAACCATGTTATTGAAACCCCTGTTTGTAGTTCAGCCACTTGAGCAGTCTTTGAAGGGGATGGGAAAGTTCTGTCAAATTTTCTTTCCCTCAAGCTTAAAAATAATCAGTGGGTATGTTGTTTTGGGCTTTTTAAAGAAACACTGTAAAAAAAATTAATTTCTCACACTGTTCTACTTGAAAATTATCAGTGGTCTTCCCAGAAACTTTTAGAGGGAAGGAAAATTTTGCCTCCAGGCTGAGAGCAGGCAGAAGAAGGAAAACACTTGAGAAGCTAAGGAAGAAAGAGAAAAGTAGAATATCTGTTTAAAATGAAGTAAAAATATCATCTTTTAGGGCTACCAGACCTCACTCACTAGCTTGAACTTGACACTCCCTCTTCCTCATGTTGCAGGCACCTAGGAATATTTGCAGAGCATTTTCTAATTGCAAAGTGCTTCACGGTTGTTTTTGTTAGTTACTTGATGCCATCCCACCCATGAGCGGACAAGATGATGAGGGGCACCCTCTACCTACAATGGCCCTGTGTCAATCAACACTTTCTTGGTTCTCTCTGATCTTTGTGGCAGGGTCAGGGTTGCAGACAGTCCTTCAGAGTCCTGCTCCAGCTTCCTCTCACTGTAGTCCTGCCCTGTAATGAAATCCATCCCTGTCCCCATCTGACCAATACATCTCTTATGGGAGGGAAGGCTTTTTGGAACAGCTTCTGATCCTACATGGTGGGAGCAAGTCCTGGCTTTCCAGATGGCCCAGATCAATAACTGCCATATGGACCTTATGCTTTTTTGTGCTCTCTGCTCAAAAAAAAAAAAAAAAAAAAGTAACTAGAGCAAAGTATATGTGAGTTTCCCTTGGTTTTCCTGAATAAGGGTAGAGGGAAAAACCAACTAACCAACCATCACTTCTAAATCATTTCTGTCATAGCTGTAACAACCAAGGGACTCTGTAAATCTACTTACAGCCAACTCTGCAACCATCAGCGACTTCTCCTGCTTAGGAGAACTAGATGTTTCGGCTCCTGATATTCAGACCATGCCAAGTGTTTGGGGGCACCAACAGGGCTGGGACAAGAGAACTGGGGAAACTGGTATATTTGAAGACTTTTCAGCCAGATGCAACAAAATATCTTTGAGTATAAACAATTATATCTATAGTACCCCAGAAGGTAGATATTCTTATCTCCACTTCATTGGATAAGGAAACTGAGGCTCAGAGATGCCTGTCTGGATCCAACATCCTTGCCAAGTTTTTAGGTTTTAAGCTTGTAGTTTCTTCTAACACATTTGCAGTGTTTATGCTGGTGGCTGGGAGTCATGGGGCCCTTAAAGTCTCCAGGCATGGGCTGAATGGAGGTAGAGTCACTGTCCAGTGATGTGTTTCCAGTGTGAGTTTATAATCCCACCTTAGAATGGCTTTGAGTAATGGCAAAGAGCAGCACAGAAGTCTACAGCCAATTGACAACACAGTCCTTTCTTCCCCATGAACTGTGAACTCCATCATTTAACAGCCCTATTTCCTGCTTGCTAAGGTTAAAAGTTAGAGCCATTTAATAACACACCACTGAAGACACCATACCTTTTGCAAGTAAATGAAGGGAAGTGGCTGGCTGAAGACAAACAGGGAAGCAGATTTTCGCTGGTCCACCATATTCAGTTTAAACCATTGATCTGGTGCGAAGTCCACCAAATCTGGGGGTGCCCCCTGCGCACCCAGCCTGCTGCTCCCTCTCCTCCCCTGGGAAGTCCTCCCACCCGGGTCCTAAGGTTGACAGCAGGGAGCACCGGGAAAGAACTTGTTAGTCATGCCTCTCTCCCAGGTTTGATTTTGCTGCTTCCTGTATAGCGATTGTGGATGAGAAGGAGTGAGAAGACCAAGTTAGCGAGGGAAGGAGAAAAGCCAAGCAAAGGGAAGGAAAGAAGGTTAGGGCCAGACACCCTGGAGAAGGCCCAAGGGGAGTGGTGACTGACCCTACTTCCTTCGTACTGAAAAAGGGCTCCACAGCTCTCAGGAAAGGGATGGGGAACTGGATCCAAAGAAAAGAGATTCATCAGTTCTCTGAGAATTCAGCATGAGGCAGAGGCTTTCTGTTTTGTTTTGTTTTGCTTTGCTTTGTTTTGTTTTGGAAAGGAAGAAGCAAATGCAGCACTTTGCTTATTTCGGATGGGTGTTGTGAGCAGCAGCAGGGGGGCCTCCACTGGCTTGCTCTCTGAAGATGGTGATGGGGACTGTGTGTGTGGTCGCCATCAGGAGACGCTAAGGAGTTCACATTGGGTGAAAAAAGCTTTACTTGTCACGTGAATGCATAATTGGAAAGTTGAGTGGATCTGAACTTTAACACTGCCGCTAATCCACAGCATACACACCACGCTGGTACCGTTTAGAAACACAGCATGTCTTATGTGTTGTTAATATCCAATTTTATCTTATCCGACCCCTGCATTTCTCAGCCTTGGCAGGCAACGCTAAGAGACCTTTTCTTTCCTCAATGAGTAAATGATTGTGTATTTGGACTGTCTTTGGGATGGCGGTGTGTGCATGAGTGTGGCTCACATGGGCATGGGCTGCACGCACTCGCATGTATGAGCTGAGGGAGGGGGTCAGTCTTCCCATGGATACATGTGGCCACAGGCTCTGGGTGAACCCCCTAATCTCTGCTTACAGTAGCACCACTCAGGAAGGGAGGCAAGCACACAGTTTGTGTCCCCTAGGCCATCTACCTGACTGCTTCAATTGAACTTCAGTCTGCCCTTTCATTTTGCCCACTCTTCTCCCACCCTTGAATCAAATGAAGGATCTTTTCAACTTAGCTTCAAATTACCCTTCACGTTTCCAAGCCTAGTTCCTGAACTGTTTTCTTGTCTGCTCTTGACTTTGTGTTCACATCTGCCTTCTGTTCTTTGGATGGTGAAGGAACACCATCTTATTAGATTTTTTAACACACCTCTCACTCTGAGTGTGGTATAGTGGGAAAAACAACACACACACACAAAACACTACTGAATCAGAAGCCAGGAGCTGTGCTCTGCGGCTAATTAGCTCATAAGTGTGGGCAAATATCTCTACCTCCCTCGGGCCCCAATTTCCTCCTCTGTTAAATGAGGGGATTGTATGAGTTGATTTGTAGGGTTCTCTCTGGTCCCCTGCTTCTAAACCTTTCTTCGCATGACTTTTTGTGGTTTGAACTGCTCTAACAGTGTCCATTTTGCAACAGGGCACTTTAGTTACCCGTTGTCCCTTACAGCCTAAGTGCTTTTGCAGACGGTGGCTGTGGACTTTTTATACACTTTGAATAGTGCCCAGAACACATGGGGAGTGCCCCATTCACAGGGCGACTATACCTTGTTGATGTGTTGGTTCAATACCAGTTCAAATTATTAATAACAAAGAGTAATGAATAACAACGCCTTAGTCCTTACATATTGTCTTTTGCCCAAAGATATCAAAGTGCAATTTATGAAAATCCATTTTTAATGAAATATTAAGCAGTTTCTATTTATCCTGACCCAATGGTTTTACAAGGTCTCTATTTTTCTCCCTGCATCTCCCCTATTTATAGCTAGTAAATGCTATCATATATTATACATCTTTATGACTTTCTCAATGCTTCTGTGGTTTTAGAATCACCCTTCATATGTTTTCTGATCAAATTCACTGAGATGGATTCTTGGCTTCCAGTCTAGGCATTGCAAGGTAAGGGGTTGTGTGCATGGGAAATGACGCCAGGAAATTGGTTTTATTCCCTATTCCCTGACAACTCACTGAATCATTATAGGCAAATCAATAAACCTTAGATACCTTGGTTTCTCCTTCAGGAAAATAAAGTCGATAATAGGCTTGCAGATAGACACTTAAGTTTACTGGCCCTCCCTCCAAGGCTTGCATAGCACCCAGGACAAATGTTAGCGTGTAAGCCAGGTCACAAGTAACAAGTGGGTCTTTGCACAGGTGGGAGAGTTTAAGTTCCAAAAGCCACGACTACTCCCAAGTCCCACCTTCAGGCCAACAATTTTCAGATGACAACTTTGCAGTGAGGTATCTGAGAAAAATCGGTGGGTTGCCTTGTATGTTATACTCAGATAGGAATGTTAACATCTGCTTTAGAAGCTGGATGTCACAGAGGACATATATTTTTTATTTATTTAATTTAATTTATTTATTTTTGAGATGGGGTTTTGCTCTGTCACCCAGGCTGGAGTGCAGTGGCACAATCTTGGCTCACTGCAACCTCTGCCTCCCGGTTTCAAGCAATTCTCCTGCCTCAGCCTCCCTAGTAGCTGGGATTACAGGTATGCGCCACCAAGCCTGGCTAATTTTTATATTTTTAGTAGAGACAGGGTTTCACCACGTTGGCCAGGCTGGTCTTGAACTCCTGACCTCAAGTGATACACCTGCCTTGACCTCTCAAAGTGCTGGGATTACAGGTGTGAGCCACCATGCCTGGCCCACTTTTTATTTGTTTTAAAAGAAAGATCTTAGTATGGTTGTTTACTACCCAAAGGAAAATCACAAGTATGTTCAAGGTGACCCTAGCTTTCTGATGCTAGTGTTGATTATGTTGTAATTATTAAAAATATATGTGTGTGCGTATTTAAAAAGAGCTAAGTTGAACATAAAGATTTCTTCAAGTGCATCTCTGCAAACCAAGTTTAAAAAGCGATTCAGGGCACAAAGTGGTCTGGATAATCTATTGGGTGCCTCTCTGAATTCTGAATATAATCCAGCATTTTTCAATTGATTCTTGAGACCTCTGATTTGTTTTCAGTAGCCCAGAACCTGAAAACCATCAGCATTTCCTGGATTTTCTGATTTGCACCTCTAGGGGAGTGGGGGACCTGCCAATTAAATCAGCTGCTATCCAGCATCCCAGTTTGGTTGTTATCTACACTCCCAGGCAAAGAAAATCAGTGCATTTTGACCATTCCTGTGAGTCCACAAGGCATGGACAATATAATTCAATGTAATATATATTATAGAATATATTCATTCTATATATTATATAGAATATATTCTATAATATACATTATATATATAATTATATATATATATAAAATCTAATAAGAAGCATCCAGCCAGAACGCA
Source organism: Homo sapiens (assembly GCF_000001405.40). Classification (NCBI taxonomy): domain Eukaryota; kingdom Metazoa; phylum Chordata; class Mammalia; order Primates; family Hominidae; genus Homo; species Homo sapiens. The sequence goes on along the minus strand of NC_000002.12, from coordinate 205,735,423 downwards.
TTACTGATGGTTTCTGAGGCCATCTCAGAACATTTTCTCTGCTTCCCACCCCATTTCTAGTCACAGTCACCTCTTCTTTGCTGACCCCTCCTTAAGTTGTCTTTGAAGAATATGCAGTGACTGACATAGCTGAGGACAGTGAGCTTTGCAGCCTTCCTACCTTCTAGGCCTCTAGGCAGAGGAATTTTTCTGCCCAGCCTAAAGCCTTTTCTTATATACCATTCATCTTTGCTATCAATACCCATGTGCCCAGGACAGTGTAGATGCTACCTGTCATCATGCCTGCCTCTGGGGCCTAAGATGAAGATTCTGTCCAAGTCTTTGAGCTCCTTGGAGGAGAGACACGGCTGGCTGTTTCACCCTTCCCAAATGAGGCGGGCCCTTTGGGGTACAAAAACAGTCTCTCTTCACGTGCACCACCTCTCATGTGAGTAGCGCTTCAGCACTCAGCTTGCACACTCCCATCTCTTCATTACCTATGGTGTGAACTACTGTTTACTTCTATTTTGCTGTAAATATCTGAAGTCAGCCAGCTCCAGGGACTGCAAAGAAAGCAGGGAAATATTTCCAAGACAGCGCAGTGCTGGAGCCCTGGGGTAGACATTGTGCACGAGATGTTCCTCTTCTTTTTTAAAATAAATATTTCTCTCCACTAATAAATGTTTCATTGCCTCCAAAGTTCTCCCTTTCAATGTACTTGGCACAGACACTCAAGAAGGGGGAAAACAAAGCAGGCAGAAGAGAAAAGTGGCAGGAATGCAGGACAGAGGCTGGGGGAAGCCAGAAGCATGTTTTTAAAACTAGTGTCAGGAACAAATGTGCTGACTCATCCGCTCACCCTGACTGCAGATCTGTGTGTCCTCCCTCTCCCACCCCCTTCCCTTGCATCTGCTCTGAAACCAGCCATTGGGTCTACACGTAAAAATAAATTGCTAATCAATGAATGCCATCCTGTTTAATTAATTTGTTGCACAAAACAGTCAAGTAGGGGGAGGGAACTGTTGCGATGCGGGGTGGGGGGGGGCGGTGGGAAATGATATGAAGGCAATGGGCTTTTTTTGTTGTTTGTGAATCATGGTCCTGATCTTTCTCCTTTAAAACTCCCCTTTAAAGACAATTTAAAAACTTGTTTTAAAGCTTGTTTCATTCTAGTGGATGTGGGAACTTAGCCAGATATAGAGTTAGAGGCATGTGTGTGTGTGTGTGTGCACGTGTATACTTTACATAGATATATGTATATATATATATATATAAACACAGAGAGAGATTAAGAGAAGGTAGGGATGCCGGTAGGCAAAGAAGCTGTCTAACAACCAAATGCACATTTAGGACTCTGATGACCTCTGCTCTCATCCTCCTTTACTTTCGGGCTGTTTTTGTCATCAGGCAGCTTTCCTACATGAAGGAGGAGACAGAGGCACAGGGGCGGCTGCGTTCTGGGGGGCGGGGATGTGCGCATCCCCATCTGTGTGGGCCTGCGGGGCCCGCTAGATTTACTGCGGGATTATGTTACCCCCATCGAGACGCTGAGGCCTGGAACACAGCATACTAACAGGATTAGGGTTTCAGGATTTGAGACAGGAACGCATCAGGGAGGAGCGGGGAGGAGGGCAGCTCAGGGGTGGGGCTGGAGAAGAGCAGGCGGGGGAGGAGCACAGGATCAGAGCAATGAGCGGGCTTGGGGGGAACAGTCAATGTCCTAGGAAGAGGGAAGGAGAAACTCGGACATTCTAGGACATTCTAGCTGGGTGGGGTGGGCCCTCCACCCCTGGAAACCTCCTAACACAGATGTTTGGGTTTTCTTAAGGAGGTGCCTTTAACTCCCAGGTGGGGAGAGATTGAGGGAACAGGGAGTGAGGTTCCAGAGACCTCTGCCACCTGCCTGCCTCTTCAGGTGGAGGCTCTGCAAACCGGAGCAGGGACAAGGTGACATCAGAGAGCAGGACAATCTACCAGGTGAGGGCTTCACTCCAGTGCTCATCTACATTAGTTGGGGTTGGGGCAAGGAACATGATTCCACAGCCCAAGCAGAATCACAGCGCCCTTCCACATCCCCTCTGTGTGCTCCTTGTCACTGGCCTCTGTGCACAGCCGGGGCCTTGGAGTTTAACATCAAGGCTATCAGCGCCAGGGAGGCGCGCCTCAGCTACTGGAGACAGTTCAGCACCCACGGGAGCTGGGTGACGCTGGCCGCGGGAGCCTGATAGAGAAAAGGTTCAAGCTTCTGTATAATGAAATTTTCCCCTGAGCTTCCTAAGTGGAGAGGCTAAAGGTCTGAGCTCATCCCATGGCAAATGGATAAGGGACAAACTTAATTACCTAGGGCACTGGATCCTTCTCCATTATAATTGAGAGGGTCAGATAAACTGAGGGACTTGAACTTGGAAGGGGTATCAGCCCCCTTCAGAGCACACGCAACATGACTTCTGAAGGCTGGTGCCCATTACAGTGTGAGGTATTGTCCTCATCTCATATTCAACAAACAAAATTACTACCACAAAAGGAATAAGGGGAAGCCCATCATCTGCCAGGAGGTTTTTTTAAAAAAAAGGTTTTTCCTGAAAACTTAAATGATCAAGTAGAAGCATAATTGCATCCCTAAGAGAACAGTGAGGCTGGGATGGATGACATTTATCTGAGGCAGCTCAATGCAGGCCCCATCAGATGCAGGGAAAGGTCTGGATGACTTATCATGGTCCATTCCAGGCCTATGATTTTAAAAGAGGCCCATAAATATCCCATGGGGCCTTCTTACTTTTTAAATTGATAACTTGCTTCTGCTCAAGAAGAGCTTTGTGGGTCTACTCCATTAATTATATCCGCGGAGAGCCTTCCATCTACAGATCTCAAGGTGCTTTGCCGATAGCAGCCGCAGCGCCATTCCATTTGGACTGGGTGGAAACGCTGAGGCGTGCAGCCACTAAGAGATGTTTCCAAGATCACACGGTGCCCTGTTTAAGAAGATCTGAAAATAGACATCACGTGCCTCTAGCTGTTAGCCAACTGATTTGAGGGTTTGGTTTTCTGACACCACTCTTTCTCTCCTCCCAAGTCTCTGATTTAAAAATGATTTGTTTTAATTTAGAAAATAAATATGGGATAGAGGATTTTTGAAGTGGAGTGTTTATTTGTTTTGAAGGGATGTGGCCAAATCAAACAAATGGCAACTCCTTTCAACTCTCCATCCTCATGATTCTGTGGTGAAGCCCAGCTCCACAATAATGAGCCTAGTGGGTTAAGCCATGTACAGGCTCATCCTGCATGCAGAACTTCACTGAAGAGGAGGCTTTCCAGGAAAATGTGTACCTCTCAGTCCTTGGACTGAACATGTAGGAAGCCAATTTCCCTCAAGATGAAGAGTAAGGCCTAGGGCGGATTGTGGAGAGCGCCAGTCTGGACATCCAAGTCTGGTGACCAGGCGCCGTCCATGCAGGCTCCAGTTTCCTAGTCCCTGCAGCAAGGCACTTAATCTCTAAGAGCTTCAATTCCACAGTTGTGAAACTCTGTGAAATACTCTAGTGAATAAGCTGGTGCCTGAGGATTTTCTGAGTCCCTTGGAGGTCATCCTTACATTAATGTGATGAACTCAGTGCATTCCTTCCACTCCTGGTGGGGTAATTCTGAAAATTCTTGGACCCAAGTCTTACCTCATCCCTATCTTCACCCATCCATCCTCGATCTGGCCAATAGCGTGCATTTGGCACCCCACAGACTTTCTCTTTTAGCCCAAATTTCTTCCAAATGCATCAGAATAGCCCAGAAACACTGTGACTAACTAGAGCTGTGTCAACAAGGGAGATCCCCACGTTTACCGAATGAGAGGGAACTGAAGATAAGGGCTTTTGCCTAGACAAATAAGGGCAGTAGTCTCTCTCCCCCGTGTCCTGTCACCAGCTGTGGTTCCATTCCCGAGGCACAGCCTATCCCCAGTGCAGAATCATGGAATCAGCATCTCAGGAGGGCAGGAACTAGACCAAGACCTTGTGCCTCTGAGCTCTTCCCATTGCTCTCCATGCGCCCTTCTTGGTATGTATGTACATAATTGTGCCTATAATTATGTAAACATACATGAACCTTCTACTGTTGTATTAACAATGCCATGTCTGCATCTAGGGTGTTATTAATATAGCTGGGGAAACCAAAAGCAGTAATTTCTGCTTGTGGTTTCTGAAGAAATGTATGCAAAGCAATTTGTATAATCTAAAGGAGCACGTGGGTTGGATATGGATTCCATCAGGCAGATGAGCTCTCTGCCTTGTGGTTATGCCATAAATATACATAAGGCGGGCCCACCCTGTATGAGAATCATAGGTTCCATATTTATGGCATGTGGAATTGGATAAAGATTTGGGATGTGCTGTGCATGTGGCCTGTGTAACCAGGCTGCGTTTGCCAGGAGGAGGCTTGCAATGCCCCAGCAACAGTGTGACTGACCACTTTCTCATAGGCGACCTCATGATGACCTGTTGGATGGGAAGAGACCAAGAACAGGCTGCTGCCTGGCTAGGGGAGGCTGGAAAAGAGTTCCTTAGTCTTTCTCACCCACTGGCAGTAAAAAGGAAGGCATTCTTTCAGAGGCCTAGGCCTTGCCTCAGCCCCGTCTGGGTCCACATTGTAAACAGTGTTTTGCAAAGACATAGGACAGCCCTCCCCCGCCACCTTGAGCACTCATTAAACTTGTTTTTCTCTGACTTCCCCAATTCCCTGGTCTTTGGTATGCTGCATTGCTGTTGACAGTGACCAGGGAGTTGAAATCGAGTTCCCACATTTCTGTCCCAAATGTCACTATTCCCTCTTCCTTCCCTGCACACCGGGAAGGCATTTGCAAACCTTCCCTCTGCTCTGAGCAGAGCAGAGCAGAGCAGGCGGTTGCCTTCATCTCTGCTTTGCTTTTCTGCTAACTCCTGTTGTCTGAATTTCACTTTCAAGCCCACCACTTAGCACCAGTTAGCTTGGCACAGTGCCCACCATCCAGCAGCTACAAAGAGAAACTCAGTGGTGGCACTCGGCATGGACGAAGCCTCTTCCTCCACTGCCCCCAAGTCCCTCCCCAACCCCCACCTCCCCCCATGGCATCAAATCAAACTGCGGCAGACTTGACAAATCTATTTGGCACGGTTCACTCAACTACTTCAACCCCAACAGCCCAGAGAGCTGCGCTGACGCACCGTGAATGAGGGGGAATCTGCACATTAAATACAGATATCTGAACGAAAGATCTGCTAATGAAGGGGCAGCTGAGACCATCCTTGCAGGGGAGACAAGGAAAGCCCCTGGGCGTCCACCACACCCGCAGTGGGGTGAAGGAGCTTGGAGAGTGGGGCGATGCCTAATTGGCAGGCTCTCCATTTTCCTGCCTCCTTCTAAGTACACAAAGGATGAATTTCTAATGGGGAAGAGAATGGGCTTTTCCTCTGCCCCAACTCCATTTATTTGGGCACGACTAATTCAGTAAAACAAAAACAAAAACAAAAACAAAAAAACTCTCAAGTTACCCCTTGGCTGCTGGGGAACTAAATCTAGCCAAGTGGGGAAAGAGGAGGCAAAAGAGAGAGAATATATCCATTATGAAAAAGTTGAGAAAAATAATTCTGAAAACCAGAAAGCTAAATTCAATTTCAGGAATATCTTTCCTGAAGAATGAATACCAGGGATAAAGCCAGGGAGGACAGCATTCTATGAAAATGTGCAGTGCTAAGGTATTTCCAAAAGCAGATTTCCTACAAATGATGTTTTAAATAGCATCCTGGTCCATCTGCATGCTTTTAAAACAGCTTATGCTACAGTATCCCTCTGGGCCTGTGCTGCTTAGTCATTGCGCCTGGACAGGGAGACAATCAGGTGAGCCCCACTCCTCTCCCCGGGGACCACCCCTGCCTGGCTTCTGGCCCTCGTCTGCTAGCTGAGCTTCCGAGATCTACCGGTTTATAATTGAAAAGGGTGGGGTGGAACCAGGTCTCAGCCCCCAAGCTCCTGGCACCCAGTGCCAATTCAGGCTGGGCATTCCCAACGGATGCTTGGTAAGTCTTTCTGAAACCAAGTCAGTGGGAAACCAGACCTGGCCTGGCACATCTTTCAATTGCTAAGTACCTCACTTTCCTTATCGTGGAAATCGGGCAATTGTGTGCATGTGTGTGAGATACCTGGTAATATCCAGAAGCCATGGTTTTCAGATGAGTGGTACCCCGTTACTATGGTGATTTTGATTTTTTAAAAATCTACTCCTTTTCCCGTTTCCCAAGTGAGACTGCCAACATCACAGTTCAGAATTTTCTGGGTCTGAGGTTTCCAGCTGCACCAGTCAGAGCAAGCTGCCTCGGGGCAGTGACAGGGGCTGAGGAGATTCCCTTTGGAAAAGATCTTTGGCCTCCCTAGGCTTGGCCACATGTGCCCCATTTTGATAATTCACACTCTGACAGACCAGGGCTTGGTGGAACTGTAATGCTACAGGAGAGACCCTCTTCCTCCCTCCCTACCTCCTTTTTAGGGAAGGACAGGCAGCCCCTAGGAATCCCCCAGACATCACACTCTCCTTCCAGACCTCTGCACCAGCTCCTGCTCTGCAGGGGGCATCGTGCCCTGTGTTCCCATCACAGATACCCCAATCCTACCCACACAAGCCCCTGGCTGTTTGCAATAAGCCCCCATGGGCTGAGTGTGCTGTGTATATACACATAGAGCCAGCACATCGCCTGTGCCAGCTGCAGACCCAGAATGTCATGTCTTAAGAAAGTGGAGTGCCAGACATTCATCCATATGTATACAACAAAAGCCCCACATCACCCACACAGACCACACCTCCGGGAGCCGCAGATGCGGGAGGCACCAGCAGAGAGAATTCAATGCCTCGCCGCTAAGCATGATTGCCAGTTCAGAGCCCATCCCCAACAAACTGAATTTCTCCTCATTATTTATTGTCCTTTTTCTTCTCCAGGACATTGTGATTCCCTCTCAGGATTTGTGCCCTTTCATTTCCAGAGCTCGGTAACTCCTGAACTATAGTATCATGTGGTTTTGTGATTGTTAACCCAGCATGTGGAAGGGACTCAGGCCATAAATGTTCAGTGAATCCTGGGTGGGGAGAAGTGGACTGGGGACATATTTTCTCCTTCATTTGAAGTCAGAGAACACTCTGCAAGCTCTCTCTCTCTGCTGCGCAAGATGCAACAGCAACTGGCTGTCAGAGAAACGGTGTTTTCCAATCGCTTTAGCCTAAGAGAGAAGATTTTCAAGGCCAGCACGACCCTTGCCTCCATCAATTATCTGAGCCTGACTACACAAGGCCCTCTCTCCTGTAGGAGGTCGGCTTAAAGCTCCCCTGATCCCATCCCTCCTGCCCTGGTCCAATGTGCCTTTAAGGTAGGATCATGGATTTACCTTGTGGTTTTTGCCATGCCGGTACACCATCCAGTCCTCTCCATTAGTGCTGACTTCCAGCTTGTAGGATTTGACATAGTAGCCATTCTGTGTTTCCCTGGAAATCGCTCCCTGTGTTGCGATGGCCGTGAGCATGGTTAAAAAGCGCAGGTCCACCTGGGGAATAGAGGGCTGGAGTAAGAGACCACCATTCCCAACACAGGGCAGTGTCTTGTTTTTTTCCAAAGGACACAATCATTAGACTTTGCTTCCAACCTGTATCTGTGATTCACTGAGACATACTTGTAATTAGTATCAGTTTGCAATTCCATTGGACGATTAAACTCACATTATCTTACACTAAATCAGACACCTTGAAAAGTTAGGTTATTTTTCTTTTTTCTCTCTTTTGCAAATATGAAGGGACAATACTCGATTTTTCTCAATCATTGAACATCTAGAGCTATAATCCCTTCTTAGTAAATGATGGCCTGCCTTGGACTGTGGAAGCAGATGCTGCTTTAAAGAAACAAGGTTGAATCTACTCCACTCTACTCCTGTCCAGTTCAATCCAACTCACTTATAATGCCCTAGTTCCAAAAGTCACACTCATAGAGGCATCCCCTCCCCACACCCTCTCGCTCCATTGTGTATTTAGTTGCTCAGGTCACTAAGGGGTCAAAGGGCATGTAGAGTCTGCCCAAGCAATTAGGCTTATGCACCGAGTCCTGACCTTTTGCTCTATGAGGAGGATGGCCAACATTTTAAGGTACTTCCCCTCCCACAATGCCAAACCCATTTGGAAATTGCTGGATGTCATTCCTTTGATGGCCATGGTGTTTCTTAATGGCAGTCTCCATATGACCAAAATGTAGCTAGCACACACTGGCTAAATTCAATTCAGTAAGCACTTATTGGTGACCTACAATGTGCTCAGCATTACTAAACATTTGAATAAGTAGTACATAGTGCTGTCTACACGTATGAGAAACAGGTGGATAGCAATAGGCGAAAGTATATGATTAAGGTCAAAGATAGGGGATGCCAGTTATACAGAACTTTCTGGAAGTTTTGCAGGCTGCGAGGAGATGGATTTTTGGAGAGGCAGAGAGAAGAGACAATGACAAATGGCCCCAGGGCTTACTGTTAGAACCTCTGTGGACTCCCTGGAGTTTCTAAGTGGTGTTTCTCCCTTTCCTGTTGTCTGCTTTGCAATATCCTTCTTAGAGCAGAGGTCACTGTGTCGCCTCAGAGCTAGGACAGGCTTGTCAGTGGGTCACAAGGCTGTCTTACGTGTGTCATAAAAGCAGTCACTGCTCTGGTGTGGAACTAGTAGCTTGCTTTCCCCCTGTTTACTTCTTCCCAGGGGATGAGAATTGGAGCAGTGTGCAGTGCGGGAAGATTACTCAACATGAGCTGCAAGGTTTATTCAGAATAAAGCAAACAATGGTCTGAAGAGATGCTGCCGAGCATCTGGGGCACCTTGAGTTCTGTTCCTGGTAGTGACATTTTCCTATGTGTTCTTCTGATAGCTCTGTGCAAAACCTTCCTGGCAGGGCTCTCTCCAATAGCAAAGATCATGAGAAGCTGTCATGTGCAGCTAGCACCTCAACAAACCTCCCCTTAGGAGAATGCCCCCCATGTCCCTGATGCCTCCCTGTGCCAAGAATGAGGAAGATCCAAACAGCTTATATAATGTTCCTTGGATATCTATAGTGATAGGGCAAACAGCATCCTGGCCAAACAACTTCTCCCCAGGCCCAGTAATCCCCACAAGGGCAGGGGCAGGCTCCCTCTGATCAGTGTATGCCAGCATGTAACCCAGTGCCTGGCATACACATCTGTTTGGATGAATGAATGAATGGAGTTCTCAGGTATGCTGTGTTTATTTTCTTTGTGTCCTCTGCCTACTGTATTTGAGGAGCTACCCTCCTACCCCAGCAATACATACACACTCTCACATCCTCTGGTATCTGCACAAGTACCTGGAGATACTCCTTGTTGGAATCCAAGTTGGGGGTCCAGCCATTGTCATCACCATGGAGCCGGCTTTGTTGAGGGGTCCACCTCCCATCAGAGTAGGTAGATGAGGCACTGATCTGTTCATTAGCAATCCGGCCAGACTCCATGCCCAGAGGAACATTGCACTGAAAGTCTGGGGAAAGCAGACGGTCAAATGCAGTTAGGCCTTCCAACCTCATACCTCGGGATCCCCCAAATGCTGCCTCCCTTCTAGGGACAAGTCCTTGCAGGCACTTCCTCATTTAAAAGACCCTAATTATATGCTCACATTTTAAAAACAACTACATCAAGTCATGGAGCTTGACAACCCCTCTGGGTCTGAGAGAAACTAAATGGGACCTAAAAGAAATCAGGCTATGGATAAATAAGAGAATCATCATACAGATTAAAAATACAATCTAAAGCACAAGAACTGTTATTGCTGCAGGCTACAGATGCCAGATGCACCATTACTGCAATACAGGTAAATGTGAGATAGACTCGTGGCGATTTGGGTGAGCTCATACATCGTGGGAAGCCTGCTTTATTAATAAACACCCAGGAGGCACTTTTGCTTCTTTCTTTTTTCACTCAACTGTCTTGTGAGTTCTGGCACAGAAGACAGACATTACAAAGCATAAATACTTGTCTTTGGGAAATCTCTCCATGAGCACATGCATGTCACTCTCTATTCCCCCGCACCACCTGTCTGGACAAATAGACCCAGAAGTCACTTACTCTGGCCCTGTGCTGTCAGTTGCATTGCTGTCCTTCTATGAATGCCATCAACACTGATCGATATGTGTGTGTGCATGTGTCTAAGATCGGCCAGCAATCCTTATCAGGTATCAACCTATTCTTTACTCTGTGACTGCACTGACCATTCACGGGACCTGGTGCAATTTGCCATACTGTTTCTTTGTCACTCAATCTTCAGAAGCTCTTTGATGAAAAAACAAATGCAAAACCCAGCAACCTTCCTGCAGGCCAGGCTGCCGTGTCTGTAGTTATATATATGGTGAGTTGTCTGCAATCAGGGTAGGATTTCCACAGCTTGAATCTTTCTTAAAAGTGCTTCTTCAGTCTTTAAAGTTATGTGGGGCTGGACATGGTGGCTCACACCTATAATCCCAGCATTTGGGGAGGCCAAGGCAGGCAGATCACTTGAGGGCAGGAGTTCGAGACCAGTCTAGCCAACATGGTGAAACCCCACCTCTGCTAAAAATACAAAAATTAGCTGGGCATGGTGGCGCATGCCTGTAGTTCCAGCTACTCGGGAGGCTGAGACACGAGAATTGCTTAAACCCGGGAGGTGGAGGTTGCACTGGGAAGAGTGAGATTGAGCCACTGCACTCCAGCCTGGGCAACAGAGAGAGACTCTGTCTCAAAAAAAAAAAAAAAAAAAAAAAAAAGTTATCGTTTGGGTTTTTAAGTAGAAATGGCAGCATATTTGAAACACATGTCCAAGAGCAGCTGATTTGAAGATGTTGCTCAGTGCTGAGGGACTGCAGGTCCCACAGCAGCTGTGATCAGAGTGATAGTTTTTAATTCCTTGCTTGGTGCCTGGCACATACTAGAAGCTCCACAAACTATCTTTGGTGGAAGGGTGAAGTCCAAGTCTAAGCAGTTGTACCAATCTAGTCAGGAAAACATTACCCAGGCCCAGAGATGGTTAATGTCAAAAAATCCAGAGAAAGAGAGGTTTAAAATGGTTCACTTTTGTGACAATTGCCCCTGAGATTTTGAGAGGGAAAAAAATGGCCACAGACTAAAAAAATGTTAGCACAGGAGGGGCCCTGTATAGATCATCCTAACTAGCCTCTCTTTCATTCATAGATGAGGAAACTGAGGTATGAGATGGTACCATGACTTTCCCTGAAAATAACTAATTCTTGTTACACACATATATATATTTTTTAAAGAAAGAAGCACCCAGATTGAAATGTGTTCTTTTCTCATCAACCTCTTCCTGGCAAGAGGATGTGGGCACCTCTAAACTCAGATGCCACCATAAATTCCGTAGAGTTCCCATCTCCTCCCTCATAAGAGCTCAGCCCCCCTTCACCTGTACACCCTCACAGCCCTGACGGAAGGACAGGACAGAGGTTCCCAATCGGCCAACTCACTCTCTAGTGGCTCTTGGTGGACCAGGTAGTAACGCGCAGAGAAGCCATCCTTGGCCACCGCCATGTCCGTGTGAAAGGTCAGGGAGAGGATCCCCGTCGATGAACGAAGTTCAGAGGGTGTTTTGGTCCCACAGTACTTGCCAATCAGGGGGCCAACTGGACATTCAAGACAAAGAGAAGTCAGTGGAAATCAAAATGTCAAACTTGGTTTTCACTCCGTTTTCCCTTCCCCTCATTGCATTTCATTCAGTGGAGCACACTTTGTACATCTTGCCATAAAAACCAAAGATATGTTTCAAGAACAATGGCTAATATTTTTCCTGCACATCAAAAAGCACTTTCACTTTTTCATTAAAAAGGTACAGGCCACTTTCACTGGCTTCATTCTGTTCTCAGTGGCCTGGAAGATGAGCTGGAAAGGTATCATTACAATGTCTGTTCTACAGAGGAAGAAACTGAAGTTTGGAGAGCGCATGTGATTTCTTTATTCTTACTGCTAGGAAATAGCAGAGCTGGGCCTACAACCCAAGTTTTCTGACTAAGTCTTGTGATTTACCCAGGAAATGAAATTGCTCTTTTTGCTTAGTCATCAAGTCTCCTTTATATTAGAAAAAACTTACAATGACTACAAAAGTGAAAGATTTGTTCCTCTCCAATACTAATTAGACCCAAGATCCATGTTGGTCTTCACCTGCGAAGTACTGGTGGCTGTTAGCCTTGGGTGATGTACCTTTTCAATATTTATGACTATATTAATGACAATTTTAAAATTATAGTAATAATGATGATGATAGCAGCTAACTTAACACAGATAAGGCACAGATAGGGTAAGGGATTTGTCTAAGGTTGCACAGCTGGGGAGTAGCAGAGCCGGGAGTTAAGCCCGGCCAGTCTGGCTCTGGAGTCCTTCTGTTTTGTCACAGGGGTTAGCCACTGAGCCACCTTCTATCCTGACAATTTGGAGTAGAAATGAACACTTTAAGTTTTCTCATCCTTTCCAAGTATCTATTTAGTCTCCTATCCTTTTCTAAAGAAATATTTCCAAGAAAGTAGACAGCCTTCCTGTAATTTCTCTCAAGCTATCCTTAGTGAAGGGGAAGAAGAGAAAGTCACCATGGGTCATATAAGAACTCATAGGAGCTTTGAAGTCTTTGTTCTTCCTCTTTATCATCACTAAAGCAATTAACAGGCAAAGGCCAAGCTACTGAGGAATGCCTCATGACATCACTCACCATGTGGAATGCCATCCCAGATGTCCAGCCAATCGTACTTGCAGTCCCCCTCTCCCACCTGCAAAGGGTCATGCTCCAGGTCAAAGATCAGGAACTGCAGGATGATCTCCATCTTGGGTTTGGCCAGGATGGTAAAGGTGCAGTCCAAGTTGTGTGGATACTTCTCAGGAAACCCAGGAGATTCGATGGTCCCGTTGGGGCTTGTGAAGTTTTTTGAGCAATCTTCAGAGCCTGTATGTAAAAGAGAACTGTAGCACTAAGAAGAAGATGCCTTTCTTTGTGGCCTCTGTCACATGGGTTATTTAAATGTTTGGCCCCAAATCCCCCTGCTCTTGAGGTTTTTGTTGCTACTGGAGTGGCCCTTGAAGCAACATACTCTTCACATGCACGTTTCAAGCCCTCATAAATTAGGGAGGCACAGCTGGCTTGCTCTACATAATTATTAGAGTGAGAGCAGCAATTGAGGAATTGGGGAGTGGGGTGGAGGTACAGAGAAGTGTGTGTGTGTGTGTGTGTGTGTGTGTGTGTGTGTGTGTATGAGAGAGAGAGAGAGAGAGAGAGAGGGATTCTCTTGAAAAGAGGAACAGAGTCTTCTTTCTCAATTACTCAGCTGCTCACTCCAGAAATGTAAGTTATTTCAATCCTTAAGGAAGCCTTGCTGATTGCCAGCAGGGAAAACAATGTTACCCCTTATTTGTTGCTGACCTCAACACTAGCCCCTATTGTACCACAGCCAACGAAGTGCCCCCTTCTCCCTCCAAGATCCAAGGTGCCTCAGGGGAGGGGCAAAGGGGAGCTTGGGTCTCATTCATGTCATGACTATATTAAAACGAGCTGCTCTGTAGTGGTCGGACAATTAACAATCGATGTTTTTAGCTGGTGGATCACAGCAGGCCGTTGGGGATGTTAAAGGCCGCTCCGGCAACAAGTTTGGAAAAATGCAGCAGTGCATTGACATTTGGAAGGCTTCTGGCTCCTTTGTGGTGTGGATGGCCTTGTTTCTCTCCTGAGCTCTTGCGTCTGCTTTCTTGGGACGCATGGAGGCATCCTGATTAAATGCGGCACACATTCGCATCCTGGTGCGAGCTTGGATGGCAGCAGGAGCAGGAACAGGAGCTCATAAGAGGATTACAGCCACCCTATCTCTTAATGCCTCTAGGTGGAGTCATATTAAAAGGGTCCTTGTGCTTTAACCAGCCACCATTTGCCAGGGCAGCACCACAGATGGGTCCCGGGAGCACTGCAACCCAGACCCATGGACCCACGAAGCACGAGCTCATGCACATTCACGCAATGAATGAAAGTGCTGGACAATTAGAATTGATTTCACTCGTTATGTTCAGATTTTAAAAGAAGAAAAGGAAGCAGGATTTTTGAGGAGGATAATAGACACTCTAAGCATAAAAAACACAACCAACCAGAAATACTCGATAAACTGGGTGTTTACTGTCAGGAAGTGTCCTCTGGGGCTCACACTGAAATATAACTAGGTGATGTCAATACACTGATCTGAGCCTGCAGCGATGCCTTTATCCGCAGCTCCTGTAGGGGGCCTCTCATTGAGTCTCTTTATTGATGACAGCATTCTGGAAAGAGGCAAATGTCTGATTTGGAAGAAGTGCCATGCAAATAAATGCGGATGGAGGAGTTGCAACTTTCTTCAGCACCAGACAGAAAATTCCAGTATCTCCTACCTATCCATCCATCACTTCCTACTTTCCACCTTGTGCTGTGCTTTGGCAGGGTAGGGACTAGGAACACACGAGGGCAAGGGCTAACCTTTGCATGGGTTCTGTGGAGGCTCTAAGCAGCGAATCTCAGAGGCTCTGCACCCCATCATTCATATGCATGGCAGCAGCAGGTCAGGCCGAGTTTTCAATGGGCAGCTAGTCCTGGAGGGATGAGCTGGGGCTGCCTCCCCCAGCTTTGTTTATGATTGGGCTTCGGACTCCTGAGGGCCTCCTCAATGGCCCGGGATGAGGCAATTCAGCAAAGCCAAGCCAGCTGGCGGGTCTTCAGGGGGCCAAGAGGAATTTTGAAAAGGTTAGAGTTTATGGCTGCTGTGCAGCATTCTTCATGCGGGCCACTCAGCTGAGCCTCACACATGGTTGTGAGGAAATTAACTCTCTATTCACTTCTTGCTTGAGAGCTAGAAAGAGCATCCTGACATGCCCTCTTAGAGCTTGCTCTATTGTCATTCCCTTAGAAGGCAAGGGGAATGTCCACCCCCCTGGGAGTGGGGAATTTTCTGGCGGAATCTTTCTTTGGTTCCTGTCATTGGTAGGGCACAAGTGCTTCCACGATGGACATCTAGTGAGTCTAAGAGAGGCTTGGAGAATGTGAAATTTGAAAGTATCCATAGTTCCCAGGGTCCTGAGCTCCTGCATTTGACTGAAAAGAAACTTCAACCTTAGGTACTTAAGGCAAAAAAAAAAAAAAAAAAAAAGAAAGAAAAAAGCATTTCTGATATATGGCTATAAATGGGTATATCCTTTGGCTTATTTTGAAGGCGGTGGAAAAACTTTTGTCCAGTTTTATCTATTTTTATGCAGAAAAATAAAACCTGTCTGTTAACATCATGCATTCATCTCTAATCGTACCATCTCACTGTTTGCAGCATCACAAAAGCAGCTGAATAGCAGATGCCAGGAAGAGATCTCAGAAAAGGAGGCAGAAGCTGGCTGGCTCTTGCAGACATCTGCCTTATCCAAGATCCTTTTCTGAGATGTGTTAGAAGGTTTAAAGGTTAAACGAAGAACTCAAGTCAACAAATACTCAAGCCCACTCAAGGCTAAGATTGTCTACAGAAGCTGGGGGATTTGGGTTGCAGCGAATGATTTCATAGGAAAAGACTCTGCTATGAAAAATGTCCACTCTGTTTTTCCGCTGTGAATTTTACAATAACTCTGCAAGTAGAAGAATCTATAGGTATCAAGACATTTAAAACACAGTGGATTTACCCAAAGCTGAGTTTGCCTTCCCCGCAGAAGGTGAATTCAGTTCCTGAATTCAGGAAGTGGAGGCAGTAGGCACTCCGAGTTTTCTCTACCTCTGTGAATGACCCCAAAAATGTCAGTTTCTGAAGTGTCACAGGCAAACAGGAAAGAAAACCTAATCTTGAACTTATGGTTAAAGGAGCTTCTGGAAAAAACCAAACACACACACACACACATTTTCCACTGATTTTGTTTTCAATGTGACATTTTACGTTTAAAAATTCCTTTTTTTTTTTTTTGTTTCTGTTCTGCTCATGGTATCTTGATTTGAGATCTTTTAAGTATGTAAGTTGTTCTGGCTTACCCTTTTAAATGTAGACAGTCTGGTAACATATAGAATCTTTTATACACCACTTCACTTAGGGCAGACATGAACCTTCCACGCCAGCCACATGCCCTGGTCTGCACTCACACTGTGGGTCCTACAGCAGAGCCTCACCAGGGTAATGTACCATCGAAGGCTTCTAGAGCCCTCTGTATGGCTATTTGCGTATCTGTGTTTACAGTTTCCCCCGCTTCTTCCTCTCTATGAATCCGACTAGCAAACATAGCTGTGTTTGTTTGGATTTCTTCAGCATGTCCACCCATTTCTTTCATGTTCTGTGGATGACGTAAACTTTGTATATTTTCTCTCCTGACTCCAACAATGGAAATGTGGGTATAGGACAAGGCACCTGCATGAATGCTCATTTTTCTAAACTTCTCTGTTTTGAATTTTGCTCCCTTGCACATTTCTGCACTTTATACAAGGTTGACTTTTTTTTTTTTTTGAGATGGAATTTCGCTCTTGTCGTCCAGGCTGGAGTGCAATGGCATGATCTCGGCTCACTGCCACCTCCTCCTTCTGGGTTCAAGTGATTCTCCTGCCTCAGCCTCCCAAGTAGCTGGGATTACAGGCACGTGCCACCATGCCCGGCTAAGTTTTGTATTTTCAGTAGAGACCAGGTTTCGCCATGTTGGCCAGGCTGGTGTCAAACTCCTGACCTCAGGTGATCCGCCTGCCACAACCTCCCAAAGTGCTGGGATTACAGGTGTGAGCCACTGCGCCCGGCATATATAAGACTGACTGTCATGCGGACAGTTGCTCTTCCAGCAGCAGGTGGGTATGACGGCAGGTACGAGTGGCCCTGAGAAGTCTATGGGCTCTCATCTGCTCTCTTACATTGCCAGGAGTGTGGCTGTTGTTGGCAGGGCTTTCTCTTACAATCTCTTCACTAGGCAACCCCAATCCTTAAAGCAGGCCACCCCATTTCTCCAAGCTGAAGCCACCTAGCTCCGTTGGCTGGCACCATTGTTTCTAGGCAGTTCACAGACTTGTTGCTTCATTTGAAATCCTGCTTCAGCATGTCCTCAAGACAGCGATATTGAATTATGATACCCTCTTACATGTTTTATCTTTTAATATCCTCCTTTCAAATTTGCATGATGGATAGAGTGAACATTGACTTTTCCTGTGGCTTTCTGGAGAATGTAGCATGATGCCTTGTGAAATACTAAGTTGGGTGGTGTGAGACCAAGGCTGAGTTTTCATGGCCCTGCTCACCCTTGTTCTGACTTCCCTTGGCCAGCTTCCTGGAAGATCTTGCTTGGAGCTGTTTTCCTTTCATGGCCAGCACAGTGCAGCCGAGTGGCAGCATTAGCACTAGGGACCTTGCTATTGAATAGATTCTCTGGAGCCCCTCGATTGCTAAGCCACTTGACTGCTCCCCCATTTTCATAACCACCACATGTCAATTGTACCTTTACTTTGCACTTATTCATTCTGCCTCATATCATAGTTTTCCTTTCAATTTACATACATACTCATCCAATAACATCACCTGCGAATCTGTTACGTGCAAAGGGTTTGCACACCTGCCTCTCCAACCCGAAGAGAGCAAGCATCCCCTTTTATTTCTTTCTCTTTTATTCTCCCCACTGCTCGGCAGCAGAGGATGCTCCACTGGTGCTGGTGGCATTGATCTGAATTTTGCACAAGACTCAGGGGAATATGGATCAAGCTATTCAGGGGCCTCACAACAGCTTGAGCCACTGGACACACAGATTGTCAGCCCCTGTGACCTCATCATAGTCAGGAGCATGAAAACCCAAGGCAGAGAAACCTTCTTGGGACCTGTGCCCTGCAGCAGCCTGGGCTGCCACTCTTGCATGACACAGTCCCCTTGCCCCACCCCTTCATTTGATTCCACGTTCTTGTTCTCGGGCAGACAAATCCGACAAATATTTAGACAGAGTGGATATAAAAAGTGCTTTCAGCAGCTACCACTTCCTTTCAAGAGCTGTTTAGTGAAAAAGAAAATATATATGAATAGTTCCCCTCACACTGAACTCAACAGGCGCCGGTCTTGGGCCTCTTGATGACAAGGCTGACAACCTCCCCTCGAACCAGACTCCATCCACGAGTTGTAAAACTTGGGCTGCTGGGGGGAGAGGGGAGACACACACATAGATGGAAGGGGAGCCTCTGAGGAAGGGAGTGGGTGGTGGGTGGGGAGGACTGGAGGACATGCTTCCCTTAGCCTCGAGATAACAAGCTCCACACATCACAGAAGAGGACACACCACTGGGAGAGCTTGAGTGTAGCTGATGAAGCGGGGTCTTGTGAATAAAAGTCTGCTGTATTTAGTTTTGGAAATGAGCACTGGCCCATATTCTCAGGCCCTAAAGTAATCTAAGGGGGACCTGATGGAAATCAAGCAGTCAACTTAAAGCAAGTGCAGTGCCCTCTGACTCTTTTTCTGCTATTTTTTGATTGCTTTTCAGGGAGTCAAGTTCATTGGCATTTAGAGAGTAGGGGTTCAATGGACAGAGGTGGTAACATGGACTGCCAAGGGGAATTTCTAGGAACCTTATTTTAATTTAAAAGCTATGGTGTGACCCCATTTGGGAGGTCATGGCAAGATCTTTAGAGACTCCAAACAATGAAAAGATTATGTCCTCAGCCCCATGTAGTTCCAAATAAAGACATCATTAGACCATGAAGTAATCGTGAGAAAGTCATCAGAGTTTTGCTTTTTCCCATGAAGATTATTTTGATTTTAAAAAACATACAAAAATCCAATTCTTTCAAGAAGTGTTTTTCTGTTTGTCTAATACCACAAACAATGGCTGTTTTGACCCCACCCCCACCCCCCCGCCCACAGCCCGCCCCCTTAAGCTGGTGGATAATCTGAGCTGGCTCTTCTTCTCATGATGTTTGTGGGTTCACCTTGAACCTCTCACCATGCTCAAGCTGGATGACACTGTCACCCTTACCCAGTGCCTCAGCCCACTGGGTGCTGTCCCTCCTTCTTCTCTAAGACGCCCATCTCCCGGCCCCTACGTGTGACCACACTGACCTGTCTTGAAGATCTCGTAGCGCAGAGAGAAGCCTGCCCCCTGCCGGGCGTAGTCGGAGGTGAACTTGATGTAGAGCATGGAGCCCGAGGAGATGATGGTGGGCGGGGCGATGTTCCCACAGTGTTTGCCCAGGAGGTCTGCGGATTCACTGTCCCCATCCCGAATCTCGATAAAGTCATACCTGGGTGGGGATGGCACAGACAAGAAAAGATCACTCGAAGGACATGAGAAGGACCACTGTGTCGCTCCCACTTATGTCTCTCTATTCATTTGCAGAAGTTAAGGTGTTTCAGATGGATAAGCGAAGGGCACTTATGTCTGCTTGTACAGACTGGCAAACAGAGATACTGCAGGTCGTTGTGCTTTGTGAAAGCCACAGAGTGAATAAACACATGGCTGGAAGGCCTTATCTCTTGCCCACGTAAGAGCAGGAGCATCGTTCTATCAAATATCACAAAACACATTTTTTTCTTCCTTCAATAGCACCATTTTTATTTCCATTATGCTCTCTCAGAATCTTAGTCTCTCCTTCTTAGCTCTGTGACATTGCAAGCTGCTGAACCCCTTTGAGCATCAATTTCTTCATCTGTAAGATGAGGATAAAAATATCCACTCCACAAGGCTGGGGAGAAGATAGAATGAAAAAAAATATATATGTAAGGGGCTAGGCACTGTGCCAGGCACACGGGGGATGTTTCAGAGACATTTGTTTATTTTCCCATCTCCCTCCAGCCCCCTGTTTCAATTTTCCCCTGGGCCATCCCTTCTTTAATTGTTAGTGACAAAGACTCCCCACCCGTGGGCCACCGCCTCCCTAAGATGACTCTGCGAGGTTCCCATCAGCAGTGTCTAGTCAACATGTGTTCTTAAAAGGAATCAGCCTCATGTTAGATAAGGCGATAAAAACCTTTCTCCAAAAGCAGGGGTGAGTCTCCAGGGGCCCACTGTCTACGTGCACACAACTATTAGCCTCAGTGAGAGGCAGGGCAGGCTGCCCTCCTGAAGTGGAGGCCTGTGCTCATTTGAAGCAGAGTCAAACTGGCCAGGGCTGGGAAGCAGGCACCTCAAAGATACCCTTGGCTCCGTTCATGGGAAGGTGCAAACATAATGCACCATTTTATCTTGACAGACACACATTTTCCAGCCCCGGTATGTGCTCTGGCAGTCCTCACTGTGCTGCGTTTGTGCTGCTTTTGGGCTCCCAGTTAATACTCCTGTCACAACTGCTTAGGTGGGAAACTTCCTCCCACCAGCTCCCTTCCAACTGCTGGCCGCTGCACCATTATTTACTGAAAACCATCCATCTCCCTCTCCCTCCCTTTCTGTTTATTTATTTTGCATCAACCTGTTAAAGCAACACTTAAGAAATCTCTTCCTTGCGGGTAAGGAGAGGGCTGGGAATGCACCCTTCTGTGGGATGTGCCTGCCAAAGGATCCTGTCACATACAAGGATCTGGGGTTGCCGGCTGCCGGAAGGAGTGGCTGGTGTGAGCTGGGGAGGCCTGAGGCCTCACTTCAGCCCCCAGGAGCTATGTTACTTAGCCACTTTCAAATAATAGGCCTGTAAAGGAAGTCTAAGGAGTGGGCCAGGATTAATTCATTCTTAGACCCCACAGGGCTGGACTCCCACAGTCCAAAAAGAACCGCTGAAGCTCCTTAGAGTCTGGAGAAGTCAAAATGGCAGTTTCAACCCCCAGGGAGAAATGGAGAGATGGTCACAGATTGAGAAGACCGTGAGGTTGGGGAATCTGTTTAGGTCTGTGGTTTCAGTGTGGGAGATGGTGCTGACTTTGAAAACATGCTTCCTCATTTCCAAAACAAAAGTAAAAAGACGCTTCATTTGTTCTCAGGGGAAACTCCCAAACCTTCCAGAAAACCCCTCCGTGCTATTTTCACACTAAGGCAAGCACTGCTGGACAGACACATTCCTGTGAGCAATGGTGATGCCCTGGCAATGTGCACAAAGGTTGAGAGGCTCTGCTACCCATGTTCATTAATCAGACAACTCATCTGGACTAAGAAATGCATGGCCCAGAGCGCAAGAGTCCCAATCCCAGAAGCAGACAGAGCTGGGCTTGCACCCCAGCTTGGCCACTTTTTAGCTGGGTGACCTCAGGCAAGTTACTGAACCTTTCTGAGCCTCAGAAATGGGGAGAAAAAGAGTAAAGTAGGGATATTACAGTCTTCTCCTAGGGTTGATGTGGGACTTAAATGACAAAATCTAATCTATCTAAAGTGTTAGTCCATAGTCTGGCACTCAGTGAGTGCTAAGTAAATGTGAACTGTGATTTGTTGTATTTTCACACCCATTTCACAGGCAAGGAGGCTGAGCCACAGAGCAGAAGCGACCCTGTTTTCAGAAATGGAACAAATGAGCAGAGGTGTAGTATCAGCGGGAATGGAAATCTGTTCAAACATTCTGAAAGGCATTTTGGTGAAATGTGACAGAAGTTAATATGTACATAGCCTTTAATCCAGCAATCCTACTGCTAGGAATTTTTCCTAAGAAAATAATCAGACAATTGTGCAAAGATGCATATGCATCTTTGTGCATATATTTTGAAAAAATATAAAAAGTGGGAGGATATTTTGCTTATAAATGGTTTCAAAGCCCAACCGTAGAGGGAGGGTGAATCCATCTGGGATATTTATAAAATGGAATACTCTCCTGCTACAATCAATAGTCTGCAGGTCTAGAATTTTTTGTTTTTATGGAAAAATGTTCACGCTATACTGTTAACTTTTTAAAAAGGAGATTTTTTAAAAGTATGTTTTAAAAGGTATACATACATTTCCTCACATAAACATACAGAGGAAGTCTGAAAGACTACTAAAATATGAACAATGGCGACAGACATGGGTGGTAGGATAATTGGTAATTTTTTCTCTCTTCTTTGTAAAAGAATCCAGCTGTCATGATTTAGCAGATGTAGAAGGAAGTTCATCATCATCACCATCATCATCCATGTCACAGAACTGGAGTGAGGAATAAATGAGACACAGTAGGTCGGGACATCTGGAACAGTGCCAAGGACATGACCCACATTCAATAAATAATTTTTTAAACTTTTTTTTTAAAGCTTCACCAGATAGTTCCAGTCTTTGTGTTGCCAATTTCTCTAGGAAGGACAAAGAGAGGCCCTGCCATCCCACTGGCTTGTTCATCAGAAGTGAGAGGGTTTTATCTGGTTGCCTAATCACCCATGGAGTCATTTAGGGGATTAACAGAATCAGCAATGAAGCAGGGCTGCCCAACAAATGCCACTGTTACAAGCTTGCCTCAATTTACTCAACGGATACAGACCACCCCAAATCCCTTCTTGTAATGCTGCCTGCAACAAATACATCCTTATGTATCTAACACACATATAGAGAAGGGATGCATTTTTGAAAAAGCTTCATATAATTCAATCATACTATAAATTTTTTCTCTGAGCTTGTTAGTTAAAGGACCCCTCTGCTGAATCCTTTTGTGAAGCAAATAATCAACAAACCTTACTTGAACTTCTTAGAAAAACTAGATTTTTCTATAAGGTTTGCTTGAGGGGAAGTGACACAGAGTTACAGTTCGGCAGCTGAAATCCCCCCAACTTCCAGTCTTCTGGTTCTGCCCTGTGGACAAGCCCCACTTAACCACATGGTCTTCTGGCTGGGCCTTTTATATAAAGGGCACACTCCAAATGACATGCTGACTTCATACAGAATGTCTCATTTACCTCCTGTGTGACTGACTCATTTGGGGAAATTTTTTATTATGAGGGATTTGCTACAGCTGGAGTAAATCTCCTTAGAAATTTCAGTGTTGTCAGGTTCATTTGTGAAGAGTTAGGCAGAGGCTTAGGAAGTTTCTGGCTTTGGAATAAATACGGCTTTGCATCTAGTGTCTAATATCCAGTGTTTGGTAAAGGAATCCGGGGTACAGACTCAGAGCTCACCCCAACGATAGTCAAGTAGGATAACTTGAAAAGCTGCTCCTCTTAGAACGTATCACTCGTTTTCCAGAAGGCAACATAAACCAGCTAACAGACATATTAACTAGAGTGTTTGCATTTCATTATCCATAATCTCTCCTAAACGAAAAATTCCTTTCAAAGCTTTAACACTACCTTGTATTGTTTTATTTATTTTTTTCCTGAGCTGAAGTAGCCATCTCTACTCCCAGTTCTTTATTTTCTCTCTAAAACGGTTCCCCGAGTGCCTTTTTATTTGTCTCCTCACAGATTCTGAAGTCTGCATGGTGAGCATTTGTCTAGAGAATGCTTTCTCTACTTTCTTTCTCAACTTCAAAGTCTTACATTTCTCTCCCCAAACCTACATTTGGGCCATGGGAAATTTTGACAGTGAAGTTAATTTTAAGAGTCCACGGGAGAGATATGAAAAAGCAACAATCTCATCTCTTCCTCTCATCACTAGGCAAACATGAAAAAGGGCTTTCTAGTTTCCATAACTGTCTCCACGCTTGACACTTCCCAGCAGGGCACCAAAGGCTGGGTTAGTCAACGGAGCCTGTGCTGGAAGATTCACCAAGCTTAGGTCCTTCTCTCAGGGCACCGAAATGTCTGGCCCTTGTCAGAATCCAGCTTTAGGGATGCCACACAGAACCACTTGGAAGGGGATTTCTGTATCGAAGATAGAGTACTTAGGTCTTCGGAGGAAGAATACTCTGCCCCTTCTTTTGGGTCTACGTATCAGAACATCTCTGCCCAAGTCCTGACATCATAACCTTTGCCAACCAAGCAAGGCCTCCTTTCACACTGCTCATCATAAGATCATAAGATGTTGAAGACATTTTGTATATGGTGAGCTCTTTCCAACCCCAGGGCCTTTGCAAGCGCTCTTTCCTCTGCCTGCAGTACTCCTCATTGGTGCTTTCCAGGGCTGGTTGTTGCTCATCCTTCAGGCTTAAGGACAAATGTTACCTCCACAGAGAAGCCTGCTGTCACCACCCTATTTCAGATGGCATGCCCTTATTCTCTATCTCACCATCATCTTACTTCTTTCATAGCTATGATTATAATCTGGAAAGGTCTTGTCAATATACCTATTTGTTTATGATCTGTCTCCTGCACCAGACAATAAGCACCATGAAGGCAAGGACCTTGCCTCTTCACTGCTGAATTTACGACACTTCCCTGGTGCCTGGCATGTAGGAGGTCTCATTCACTTTTTGTTGAGTAAATAAATGTAAATGAATAAGGGACTTCAGGCTGGTGTTCCATGTTGAGAAGAATGCGTGCTACGATGATGCTTTCCGTGGAGTTTGATCCATTTTATACTCTCTGTCTTTGTGCCCCAACACATTTACTGAGCTATTCTGGTTGTATCTGAAAACCAAAATGTTGCCTTGTGACTCAAAAACATGAAATATAACATTTTGAGTGGAAGAAACATCTCAAATCATGCTGACAGCATTTTCACTATTAGCGGCAAACAAATCAACTATAATTAAAATGCTGTCAAAGTGATTTGAGATTTTTCTCACACTTTCAAAGTTCCATATTTCATGAGTAGATTATCCAGGCCAGAGAATTTATCACCTCCTGGAGTGCCTTTCTTCCAGGAGGCTCAAAGACATCTACAAACACTGTCTTATTAATCCTTACATTAAAACCTGTGAGGAAATTAGGAGGAAAAAAAACAGCACTGTCACATACAACTTCCCAACAAAGAAGCTGCACGATGTCTAAAAAGGCTGCAAGGCAGATCTGCACAATGCTGAGGTCTCTGGTCGGTTCAGGCCTGAAGCCAGGCCACCTGCTCCTTAGGCTCAGTACAGTCACCTAGCCTTTATGGAGAAGTCAGCTCACTGTCAGGTCAGACTTTTTAAAGTAAATTTCATTTCCTTGAATTTCTGCCTTGCATCTGTACCACCCATTTACTAAAAAGCTGGTATATCTGCAAACTGTTCACATTTTATTGAGCATTTACTATGGGCCAGGCCATTGATTCAGATATTATTTCATTTAATCCTCATTTCATCCAAACCAGGCCCTGTTACAATTACCATCCATTTGCAGATGCAGACATCGAGGCTCAGAGCAGTTAAGTGACCTGCCCAAGGTTACATGAGGAGGAAAGGTCAGAGACAGGCATTGAACCCAAGTAGTCAAACTCCAGGGCACAGAGACCTTCCCTTCCTCCCTTTGTCTCCTTGTGGGAGGAAGATCTGAGGGCAATGAAAATACCGGATTGCCATAGCACAATAGCATTAGCAGGTACCAGGTGTAAAGAATCCTTAGGGCCTCAGTTAGGTTTCCACAAAATGGGTGTAAGATATGTAAGAGACTTAACAGAATCTTGCTCTTTTGAGTTGTTCTGTTTAAACAAGGCTGAAGGACTTACCAAAATTAATAGACAAATCACCAACAGGAAAAGTGAGCGGATTTGGAATCCATGATTTCAAGACTCACCCAGCAGAAATCTAGCTTGTAAGAGTTCAGATGGGATAACATATTAATTTTTGTAAGTGGAGTATTTTTATAAGCACATATATATCCATATGTGAACATATGGCCCATGGAGTGAGAAAGCAGCATCCCATATATTTATAAGCTCTTAAGTTATCATCTAGAGCACATATTCTTAAATGCGGGGATTTCTCCTAGGGCCTACACACAAGTGTAAGTGGGTTGGGGAAGCTCTATCTTTGTTTGCCGAAATTTTGTGTTTGTGAGTAGGCACATTTTTCTAGGGAAAAGGTCTGTGACAAAAGAAACGTTAAATTACTGTTAACGGAAACATACCTAAGAGGGTGTTGTGTAACCTGGGAAGTGTAGCATGTGGGCTTTGTGGACAGACCCAGTTACTTTCTGGCACTTGCTCATGGTGTGATTACAGACAAGGTATTTAACCTCTCTGAGTTTCAGTTTCATCATCTACAAAATGGACATAATAACAGTCTCCACCTTTGCGGGTGGTGGCAGGATTGCGAAGGTACATGCAGGCCCAGCACAGTGCCAGATGCCTTAAGGAAGCACCTGAGAGCCCCTGGCTATTTTTATTATTACCAGCATAAAACAAAACAGGATGGTGGATGTGGAGAAGAGAAGAGTTACACACACATGACACCTTGGGAGCCAGACAGGAGAAGATGAAACGAAAAGCACAGTTAGAGGCAGTCTCAATACCCTGCTTCTTGGGGCTGGGTTTCTAAAAAATCATCCCCCTGCACAAATCCATCAACAGTGTTTCAGACACTTGAGTTTTCGAGATTTTATTTCAAACTTGTGTTTCTGAGCCCAGGCTATGTTCAAAACCACCCGTCCTCCATCTGCTGTCTTAGATAGCAAGGTGCTCAAGCTCCCAAGAGGCTGGTGAGTTAATGCATATCAATGGGTCAGCACAGTGTATGGCACACAGTACATGCTCCATGAATAGCCATTTGTTGTTACTGCTGCTGTTATTCTTGTTTGCTATTTAACGCCAAGGGCTCAAACAGTTACCAAACTCTGTATTTGTTTGGGTATCTGCATCAGTACCAAGCGCCTTTTTAATAGTGGCTGTTTGCAGTTGTATTTTCTTCCTTCATTTCTTCCCACCACAAATCGCTGATATTTTGAGCTTCTTATCCACAATCCCCTCACAACCAGGGTCACCATGGCTCTTCAGAAAGGAGGAAGTCTGACCACCCACCAAAGGAAGTACACGGAGAGAATAACCCAAAACAAACTGAAGGAATTATTCCAAAAAACCTTGAAGGCAAGAAAATGGAAACGACAAATAACATCTATTTATAATTGCTGGCTCTTTTTCCGCAAAGGCCCTGCGATGATGGTGAGGGCCCCGCCAATCTCATTGTTCCTCATGGAGCAGGCTGCCAAGAATGCCTCCTGACGTGAGGAAGGAGGCCACTCCAGACAACGCATCTGATAAGTCTCTCTGAAGGTGAACTTTCAGAGAATTAAGGGCACGCAACAAAGCCTCCCCAACTTCTGCACTGGTCCTTTGGGTGAATACCATTTCCCTCGCTGACCTGGCTGGCCAGCAAGGCGCATTCCTGAGGCCGTGTGGTCACGGGTCTGCTCTGCTTCTGGACCAGCACACACACTGGAGGCCACTTGGATGAAACATGTTTGCTTATGTAAGGAATGGTTTTCTAGGCAACCGGTGCCAATGTGAAGTTTAAGGCTTTGGGGGCAGGCTGCTTTCAGCATGAGTGTTGGGTCTTTCGTTGGTCTGCTCTGTGTCTATAAAATCCTCACCCTCTGCAGTCAACTTAAAGGGCCCCTTGGTAGCATTCTGGAATGATACCAGAGTGCAAAGGAAGAGTAGTCCACAATTTCTTTCCATTTCTGTTTTTCTCAGCGGCAGCAGCAGCACTAGCAGGTGTAAAGGTGAATCCCAGCAGGGCCAGGACTTACTAAATTTTCCTACGCTGGCCTGGATCAATCATGCTTGTGTGCCTCAGTTGGCCTCATTTGACAAAAGGGAACAGGAATCATGCCTTTGTGCCCGGTGGGGCTGCCTGCATGGGTGGTCACTGAAGGGCAATCAGAGCACAGCGTCTGGGGCCCCTGGTGTGCTGGCAGTGCCCCTTTACTCGGCAGGGTGAACAGTTCCCTCCGGAATAGGTGTTCACACTAATTCTGGCTCCCAGGGGATCCAATTGTGAGGGCAAATCATAACTTCCCCGTCTGTCCAAAAAACGGGAGCCTGCTGGGAACGGAAGTGTACTGGGCACCAGGGAATCCACCACAGCAACAGAAAAGTCCTTTTTGTTTTTCCAGGGATTTAGGCTCCATATCATTTTTCTATTCCTCTTTGCTGGCATCCAGCCTCCCTAACAAAACTTGGAAGATGCAAAACTCATCTGAAAAACGTGCCATGCAGAAATCCAAGTAGGGGACAGTTTGGGAGTAGGTGGCAGGTGTGATGGGCCTCCCTTTTAGAGTTCATTTACTTGGAGCTTCAGATTACAGAGCTTGGAGCTTCTCCTGGCTCCAGGGGCAAACTTGTCACTACTGTGCAAAAAACACCATGGTGTGGAAATGATGGGCCTGCACTAATGTCCAAGCAGGAAAGGGCTGCTGCCACGCCAGGGCGGAGATTCTGAATCTAGCACTCAGGGGCCAGTCAGCTGGAACCGCTTCCGTTTGTGACTATGCTTTCGACAGCTGCATTCTGAAGCATCATGCTGCACAGGCAGCCCGGGCCATGTGAGGCATGTTAAAGCATTCACCTTCTCTCCCCATCCCAGAAATGCCCTTTCCATTCTGAGAGAACAGGTTGGGGTTTGTTGGGGGTGGAAGAAGCAAGCATTTAGGAATGTTGGGTGCTCCTGGCTAGAGCCTCATAAGACCATGAAGAAAGATGTTTAGAAAGGACATGAGCTTCTACAAGAAAGGGAACCAGATTACAGGAAGTCTCTAAGCAGGATGGGAGCTGTGTGAGTCAGACCTTGAAGGATCTTTATTCATCTCACAGCCAGAAGCAGGCTGTTTGTTTTGCGCACAGAGCTTCTGGCTGGTTGGCCACAATATTGTAGCGACCAGTGGAGGCCCTGGCAGTGTGGGAGGAGGCATCAGTGCCGGGGATGAGCTTCAAGAGCCACGTGTGTATAAAGGCCCAGGCAGTGAAGAGTACAGCAGAAAAGGCCCCCAAGAAGATAACTCAGTACCCCACCATTTAACCCAGCAGCCTGCCCTGAGGCTTGGACTAAATCTTGTATCTGCTTGGACCTCAGTTTCCCAGCAGATGACCCCCCAAAATAATAGTTTCTTACCCTCCTACCACTCTCAAAAGATGACACATAGATAAATCGCTTTGAACTTTTAGATGAAAGGTGCTGTATAAACCTGAGGTCTCATCAACTGTAATTGTTACAGTAATTATTTTAATGATAATAATGATGATAATGGGAGAGGGGGGTCGGGTGGGGACGAAACCTCCTACTTTGAGACAAAGAAAATCTCTTCCATTAAAACCTGCATCACGAATCCTTCTGCTCCAAGCTCTCAACCATCTCTTTCAAACTGCCAGTTCCTGGGCTGAAATATTATTTATTCCTTTCCTTTCCAATAAAACAATTATTTGTTCCACCATTTCCCCCCTCGTTCACTCTCCGGTGTGTCTGGCTTCGTCCTGACAGCTCGGCCACGGACTGTTTACATGTCTCGCTCACCCTCCAAGACTCTGGTTCAGCTCCATTGACACTAAAGGCAGGCGAATTCTCTCGGTGTGAGGAATCAATTACTTCCGCTGACACTCTATTACTGGCCCTCACATCTTTGGACTCCAGATGGAGAGTGAAGGTGGTGGTGAGGATGGCAGGGAATTTGAAGAGGATGGTGAGCGGGGCTGTGGGGGGATTGGGGGAGTAGGAGGTAGGTGACAGGGAGGCAGAGAGAGACGATGGACTGAGAGGCCTCTGGCTTGTATTTAAAGACACAGAAAGAGATCTCTCTCCTTGACTGCCCCGCTGGCATCCGGAGGTGACTGCATGGCAGGAAGAGGCAAAGAAAAGGAATAAAAAGAGAAAAGGAAAAGAAAAGGCTTGTCAAGGATATCTAAAGAAATCAGAGAGGCCCCAAATACCTAAGCACTGGGACAGCAGATGACAGCTCCAAGCAGATTGACACAGGTATACAAAGGCAGCTTTGGGCTGCCTGGCTTCAAACCCAGCCCCACGATTACTATCTGTGTGATCTCTCAGGGCCTCAGTATCTACATCTGTTAAATGGGATAATAGTAGTACCAGTACCAGCTGTGGCGGTTAAACATAGAAAACTTAGGGTAGGACCTGATGTCTGGCAAGAGTTCAATAAATGTTTGCTATTGTTGTCTAATTTTGAGAGTTCCTCCACGTGACCCACAAACATACAGTTGAGTCCCCAGTGGGAAAAAGTAGAAAAATATTAGAGACTGCCAAGATGCTTGGCTACAAAGCTCGAAAAGAGGCATAAAAAAAGTCATGCTTTTCTGCTGCCCTCCCAAACCTAAGCCCAACTCACATTTCTTTCTCCTTTTCCTTTTCCTTCTTCTTTTTAGAAAATTTTATTTTGACCCAGCTAACATTTTTCAGGGATTCTCCTTCTAGGAAAAAAATTTTGATTATGTAAATTAAATACAACCATCTACTCTGCAATCAACTGAGATGAGTTGTGAGGCACGATGTCCCATAATGAAGGACGATTACAGAAGCTCTTTTCTGGAAGGAAAGACAAGGGCAGCTGATATCTTTTTTTTTTTTTTCTGGAATTATTTATCCAGGCAGAAGTATAAGAATGGAATTAAATTATCTTTTGAGTTTCTCTTAATCCAAAGGCTTAAATCCCTTGCCAGTAAAAAGGACAAAACAAAAAGAATATAAATTTTTTTCTATAGGACTCATGACTCCAGGAAAATACACAAATCCCTTTTTAGAAAAATCTGATGTTTTCACTTGGTATATTTCCATCTCTTCTTTATCCCCTCCACACCTGGAGCTCCCACTGAATTTCTTAAGACAGACTCTCAGCCGGTGTAATTAGATGGGAGAATTACATGGAGTTACATGGGGTGAGATGCTGGCCCTCTGGGATCTCTGGGTTCGGAGAAGGTGCCAGGGTGGAGAGGCAGAACAAGTGGGATTGTGCATGATAACATCTCAAGTGATTTTCTCAGTCAGAAGATAAAGCATATTGTTAAGAAGGGCATCTACAGCGAAGCTTGCATTGAGACAGTTACAATTGCAACACTCATTTTTAAAAACAAACTGCCCAAAGTAATTCCAGCTGCGTTTTAACCTTGGTAAGAGGAGAACAGTCTGTGAGTTGTTTTTCCCCCTGATCCATGGGTGAGGTGGAGTTGCTGGGTGGACCCTGTGGTCAAGGTTGGTAAGTGTGGGGCCAGCAGCCAGCTGCTCCCATTCGTCCACCACGTACCTGGAGGTGGATCTGTTTCTGTCATTAGGAGGATTGTTGCAATACAGAAAATTATTACTGCTCACTGGCTCCTTAGGGGAATCAGAATATTTCTGTGGTTGGGCAGGCAGTAAATAATAACGTCAGTAATAGTGTCGTGAGTGATCAAGCCAACGGCCTCTCCTCAACAAGCACAAGGCACCCTCTTGAACCACACAGAATTCTCACTATGCTTTGTTGGCTTTTCAGACTTCAACGGAGACCAGCTGAAGCCACACCTCCAACTGGGCAATCTGGCCTCCCGCCCTCTATTCATAGGAAAGAGACTTGGATTCAGAAAGTCTTGTGTAGCAGGAAATTGACAAGAGGAGCTTAATCTGAAGTGTTACCTGGACTTTCCCAGGCCAAACCCCACTTTCAGGCATTCCACTGGCGGCGGGGTGGGGGAGGTCGCTGGACATAGGGTATGAGGCTGCAGAGACCCTACAATGGACAGGGAAGGTGGGGACAGCAGAGAGTCCCCATCATCTTAGTCTTTCCTGCTTCCTGACCACCCTGTCTCCTAAGGAGATGGTGGAAGTTGTCTGGCCAGGAAATACAATTAAATAGTATTGCTCAGGCACCTCTTCACCGGGAAAAGGGTTTGTGTCAGCAAGTCACAAGGACAGCCCCTTTTAGTCTACCCTTACAATGCTCACTGGTTAAGAAATTGGGTTCAGGCATGTTCAATTATTTTGGTTCCTGAAGGCATCAAACCCTCCCTCCTTCTTGTCTTTGGGCATGCTGCTGTCTGCCTATGACACCAGCCAAACACACTCCCTGCTGCCTGGCCAAATTCTTTAGAATTCGTATAGGCGTCACCTCCTCCAGGGAGCCTTCCTTGATCTTCCCAGCTTAGGCTGGACCTGGATGCTGTGGGCCCACGTAACAGGTCCATATCATGTCCCCTGCCAAATGCATGATGCCGGGGAGGCAGACAGCACAAGAGTAAAGCAGAGATTGAAAACTAGGGTATCTGGCTTCAAAACCCTTCTCTGCCACTTATGGGAGTAGAACCTTGGGCCAGTTGCTTAACTTCTTTGAGCCCAAGTTTCTTCATCTGTAAAATGGAAAGAGTAACAGTGACTTTAGGGAAAAGAATATGATTTATTCATCACTGTATTCCCAATAATACCAACGTGCTTAGCACATAGTAGGTGTTTAATAGCTATTTCCTGATGAATGAATGAATGGTCTATTACCATTTTGTTGGTGAGAGACTCATGTCCCAAATCAGTTAGTGACATTCTTGGCCTGTGTCCTACCCCCTAAGATTATGTCATATTCCCAGAGGGACAAATAGGGAACACAGATCTGTCTGCCTTCCAACACAGATTCAGCTCATGCTGACCTATTGCCTGGCATTTCCAATGTAAAAAATATCACGAAATCACCTGCACACACCTGCCTAGCACCCTCCTAGACTAGGCGCCATGGGAGTTTAGATATGAAGTACATGCTTTGTGCCCTTGTAGAATTTACTTGCTGAGAACTCAAGATGACCACATATGAACAAAAAGCAAGGGACTCAGGCAACATCAAGTGCTCTGGGAGTTCAGAGGAAAGGGTGATAAAAGGGAACTGCAGGAAGCAAGGAAACTCAGGGGAGGAAGATGGGAGCTTGCAGCTGGACACTGTGGAGGGAGGGAAAGGAGGGCTGGAGCCCTGGGAACTCAGGGGGCTCATGCAGATGCAAGACTATGCTTGGTTGTTTGCAGGGAATCGAGGGTGTTTACTGAGCACAGGGAAACACTGCTGGCTGAATGGGGAGGGGCCAGATGACTAAGGTCTGGTCTGATCTCTCTGTTTACTATGATCAGGTTATCAACTGGGAAACTGCTACCTTTCTAAGATATCATCTCTTACTTTGGGAGAAACAGACATATCTTCTAAGATATAGAGGGCCCCTCTGGCTGTAAATAAACACAAGAGCACCTTGTTTATCTAGGACACTTAGAGGCAAATATCCAAAACCTTAAATATGCAGAATATAACGGTGTGGGGGAGTTCAGAAAAAAAGATTGTGAGCAGCTACACTGATGTTGAGAACTCCATCCTCTGTTGCTCTTACGCTTTGTCACTTGGGGATCACTCCCCAGTCCTAACTCTGCTGCAAGCTTGGCTGGCTGAAGCCAACTGGAAATGCTGGCCTTGGGATTGCACTGGCTTGAGCAAAGCTTAGGTCCCAGAACTCAAACTTCCCAAGAGACAGCAAGGGCTCCTGAAGCAAAATTGATAACCCCATAAAAAAGCAAAAACAAGTCAGAATGGGAAGGCTACAGGAGACAGGCATACTCGTAACAGGATGTGTGAAAGCAGGAGGATTGATAGAAAATAGTCCCAAACTGTCCCCTGACAAAGTCCAATGATGCTAACACAGTTGCTAACTTATTGGGCATCTACATAAAAAGGCAGAGCAATCTTGCAAGATATTTATTATTATGACAGCTTTGCAGATGAGGAAACTGAGGCCTGGGAAGTTTAAAAGGTCAATAAAAATTCAAATCTTAATCTGCCTGTTCCAATTATGGCAATACTGGCTGCTGTCACAAAAGTGAAGCTTAGAATTAAAAGCCTGAATCATTGAGAAAAAGTTGACTCCTCTCAATGTAGGTTTTAAAAAGACAGGGAAGTGCAGCACATGATTTAGAATGTTCTTTATCAGAAATCCTTTAAAAAAGAACTCTTGGAACTCTTTAAAGTTCTCTTTTAAGAACTTTAAAGGTGGATATTTCAGTATCTGGACACTTCACCTAAATGGAATGTCATTCTTCAATGATACGTGGTATATGAGATATTGCTGGGCTGAACATAGCACATACAATCATTTATGTAGACTTCCTTGAGGATTTTAGCCTAAGAAATGTTCTTTCATTTCTTGCTAGTGGGTTTTGCTCTTTCTGAGACCCATCAAGGTACCCATCTAGAAATTACCAATTCTTTTTTTTTTTTTTTTGAGACAGAGTCTCACTCTTTCACCCAGGCCGGAGTGCAGTGGCACAATCTCAGCTCACTGCAGCCTCTGCCTCCCAGGTTCAAGTGATTCTCCTGCCTCAGCCTCCAGAGTAGCTGAGATTACAGGCACGCACCACCAAGCTTGGCTAATTTTTTTTGTATTTTTAGTAGAGACGGGGTTTCACCATGTTGACCAGGCTGGTCTCGAACTCCTGACCTCAGGTGACCTGCCTGCCTCGGCCTCCCAAAGGGCTGGAATTACAGGTAGAAATTACCAGTGCTTAAAAGGACCCAGCCTCCTGGTTTTGGTTTTATTTGGTTGAGCCTCTGGGATGGGGTGGGTGCTGGGGCTGTTTGAGAACTCCTGAACAAGCTGTGTATTACATGCAGGTGGGTGTTTTAAAAATACATACATTTTAAATTTTAGAAATGGAAAAAACCACTCAACTTTGTGTATGGGTTTCTAAAACCATAACATTCAGTCTGTTGGCTGATGACTCAAGCGAAAGGCCTCTGTCTGCCGGAGCAGCAACATCCTAGCATCCTCCACTCCACAGGGAATAAAGTGGCTTCTCTCTGTTTGCCCAGACGGCCCGTAGTCTCGCCCTTTTGTCCTTTGGCTGCAGGAGTCCAGCAGTACCACAGTGGCCTCTGGTTTCTGCCCACAGCTTCTATACAGGCCCCCAAACAGCCTGTGGGTGCCCAGGATTTGCATTTCTGCAAGTGGCTGGAGGGAGGAGTCAAGGGAAGTTCACCAGAGATGGTGGCCTTGGATTGCACTGAGTCAGGCAAAGCTGCGGCTTGTGAGTGAAATTTTCCAAGCAGACAGCAAGCTTCAATGGAACAAAGTTAATAAGCAACGGTTAGGGGAAAAGGTCTATCTGGGGTTTACTCAGCAACCGTCTCAACCTTTGGGATGTAGAGTTCAAGGTATACAGGGAGCCAAGGGCCCAGGGGCCACAGCCCAGGATAAATTCTTTCATATCAGGGCCCTGTTTCCAGGCTTTGGGGCAATCTTTGCAGTTAACCCTGCACGTAGGAAGAACCCGGGCAAACACGAGGTTGGGTGTGCTGACCACTGCTCTGTCTCCACAGCTGAGTTGGCTGCTTCTCCTGACTTTCTTGCTCAGTTCCCCTTTTTGCTGGGGCATTGCTGCTGTGCTCTGTGATCGGAAGACCAGCCCAGGCAGTTTTCTTTTGGGAAGTATCCACCTTATGGGCCTGCAGAGCCAAATCCAATTTGAAGCATGCACCCAAAATAAAAGGAGAAAGCAGGCTAATTTCCTTGGAGAGTGAGTGCTTTCCAAACCCAGGAGCTCCCTTGGAACGAAAATGCAGTATGGAAGAGAGAGGGAGAGCCGGAACAAGACAGAACTTCCAGGACTTCAATTAGATTAATTGTTCCTTTCACAAGAAAGTAAAACAAGGCAGTGGGGAGGGGAAGCCCATTTATGGCAAATGCAAATGGCCAGGGGAAATGTCAAAAATACCTTGAAGAGTGAGAGGCTGAGAAAACCAGATGAGTCTTTCTAAATACAAAAATTAATGAGAGAGAGAAAGAGAGAGAAATGGGGAGTGGGGGAGAAATGGGGGGAGGAACAGAGAATTAATGACAAGGTTAAGTGGATGAGGCTTAATCCCAACAGAGCCTCTCTGACAGTTTGGCACTGGGAGAAACAGACCCCAGAAAGATTTTTTTCTGACCTCCTTCACTTTTTAGGTTCAAACCAGACACATGAGGTCATGGAATGGGGAGAAAAACAGGAAGTGATTTAGCGAGGATGATAAGCCAGAAGATAACCCTGTAAATTGCTGGCTTCCCCTACTCCACCTCCAGCAAGGGGCAATGCCTTCTTCTTCCCCTTGTCAGAGTCTCTGGCAACCTTCAGTTCTCCCCATCTCTGGGACTGAGTCCTGTCCATGGAAGGGGTACCCTGCAACCCAAAGCAGGGCCTTTCTGGCCTTTCGTCCTTCCCAACATGTTTTAAGCCATGCTTACTAGCTCCTAAGTTTTTCCTTCCAAAAGCCATGCTTTCTCCCTCTGCCACTATGAATACAACATAGGATGACCTCTTGGCAATTTCCTTGGGAGATTTGCTGTCATAAGCATAACAGAATTTGGCCCTTAGTAGAGAAAGGTGCTTAGTCAAATTTCTCTGAGCTTAGACCCAGGCTCTCTCTGTACATTATGCTTCCATTTGTGCCAACCTTCTGCAGTCCAGCCAGAGGAATCAGAGCCCAAAACACCTTATAAAGAAGCTCTTCTAACAGAAATCTTTGATAAAGTTCACTGTCAGGGAATCAGAAGCCTTGGGATGCTGAGCAAATGTATCCAGGGTACTCATGTAACTTAGACAAAGAGGAACTGATGAGTTTCCCTATGTCATCCGTTGAGTCAAGAGTGGATCTGGGATTAGAAACTTCATCTTATGACTCTTCGTCACATGAGGCATTCATCCGGGAAACCCTTTGGTTTTCAACAAAGGCTACCTCTTGTTAGGAGAAAACCATTATGTAGGTGCAAATTAGCCCTAGGGGGATAATAATGACATCAATTCACTGAGCCTCACAGTCTAGCACTAGTTAAAGAGGGGCCTTGTTTCCTCCATGAGGAAGTGCTGGCCCAGACCTGGCCTGTAGGAGTTTTGCCTTCTCCTTGGTACCTGTCCTGCCAGCTGGCCCCCTTATTAATTTTTCAGTATTTGCAATTCCTTGCTTAATAGCAAGGAATGCTTAGACAATTTATGAATCACATGGGAGCACTGAATACTTATCAGAGTAACAGCATTCCGTAGGCGCTCATTTGGGGCAGAATATGACTGTTGGCACATTCTTTTCTGCACAAAAACTCTCACTTTATTTCCAATGAGAAAAGACTTTAAGATGGAGCTCAGTAGACAGCTTAAAGCACATCTGCATTCTAGACATGCTGCCTGCTTCCCAACCTTAACTTTTAGGGACCTCGGTAGTAACATGGCATTTCTAAAGTACTCCCAAGTGTCTAAATGTCCACTTGGGAGTTCCTAAGCCACACATTTCCAGGGTGGCAGAACCAATGTTGTAAGACCAGCTGAGTCACCTTGGGTGACTGACCTAACCTCTCTGTGCTTCGGTTTTCTCTCTTTTGCAAAATGGAGATCATAATGGCACTAACTTCCCAGGGCCCACTGTGCAAAGTAAATGGATTAATATTTGTAATGCAATTAGAAGAGTGTTTGTTAAATAAATCCATGACACTGACTTTGAGACTCTACTTGTGTAGCACAGCTATCAAGAACCAATGTGAATCTTAGAACTACTTAGATTTTTTTTTTTTTTACCCTTTTTTTTTTCTATAAGAAAACCAGTTACCGCTATATAAGGTAACAGGCTGATCCTGCGTGGCTGGATGCGAGGGAAGTCTCCACTTGGGGATACAGCTACTATCTTATTAAGGAAGTGGGTGGGGTTTATACATGTAGCAGCTGTGGAAATGGGGAGATCTCCAAGTGCAAGGTAACCCAAAGTCAAGAGTAGAGTTTTGTAGTCCAGCCCCTGCCACCACATGGAAATTCTCCTCCACTACCGGCCTTTGGAGGTAGGTTAATATTCTCTACTTTTCACTCAAGAAGGCTCTTTCCACCATACTGTGGGATCAGCCACACCTTTATTTCCCTGGAAAGGGAATGCCCCTTGAGGTTTTCCTCTGGGGCCAGGATCCACCACTGGTTAGCAGCAGGTCTTGGGGTGAGGGGTGATAGAAGTGACAAGAGCAGGGGTGGGGGCAGGGCGTGTGCATCTCATGGATGGGATACACAGTGGGACAGGACGGTGCTTACTTGCAGTCGTGCTTCTCGATTTCAAAGTGAGGGTTGAAGTTGAGGACAATCTTCTGGTTGGGTTCGGGGGCGTAAACAATCCACTCGCAGTTCTGGTGGGAGGGGTAGTCCTGGGGGTAACCGGGAGAGGTGATATAGCCAGCATCTTTGGAATTCAAACGACCTCCGCACGGTGGGTCTGAAAGAGAAATCAACGACCCAAAGAACTTCAAATATGTTACAACTTTCTTCCCCCCACACTCCCTCCTTCTCTTCTGTACCAGTGTCTGATTAAAACTATTTTACAGACCTTTTATGGCAGTCCAGAAGACTAACCTACTTACTCATTCGGTGGAAGAGATTATTCCGGCTCATCCCTCCCCCTACCCACCCAACTACACACACACACACACACACACACACACACACAGATGAAAGTATTCCAGAACATGGCCATAAATATTCTCAATTACATGGTCTGTGATTAAAAAAACAAGAGGACTGCAAACTCAACATGCCTCCCTGCCTTTCCTGCCTCCCCTCCTTGGCCCATCTTCCTCTCCTCATTCAACCTCCTATCTCTATCTTTATCTCATAAATCCTTCATTTTATTCGGTGTCTCCCAGCCCAGCCCAGGCAGCCAGCAGTCAGGGCTCTGGGAACTGACAATGGTGGTTTTGTGGTGCCGACCCACAAGCGAGCCTGGTAACAATTACATGTGGTGCAGAGGAAGCACTTTCAGCTTTGGGCCAGAACAGGCCCTGGAGGGTGATTGCAGCCTTTTTAAATTTTTTTTTAAGAAAAAAAATGCAAACCCCCCAAACATTTAATTCCATATATACCACAAATTTGATTTATTATTTCATTATACACCGAATGGAAAAATCTGTATTAGAGAATCTACTGGCTCTAGCCTTGGAATTTCGACAAAGGTGCTTTGTGTTGAATGAACATCTGTTTCTTCTGCGCTGTCTGCCCACTGTCCCTCCTGCCTGGTCACCACCACCAGAGTGTGCTGCTGCTTTGTCCAGCCATAACTGGCCGTTTGCAGGAAGGGCTGGCTCCCTGTACCTGCAGTGCCTGGCTGGAGGCAGACAGCTTCATGTGGCCTGGGAGGGAAGGGAGCCACCTTCAAAGGCTCCAAAGGTGGGTGATGACATTTGAGGAATCTCATCTATTCGGGAGTAAAGTTCTGCAATCCCCAGCAGGGATTCTTGGGAAATAGGGAGTTTTGCTTAAATACCACAGTAGAACAGAAGCTGGGAAGGCACATGAGACATGGAAATATTCAGAAGCCTCTCGGAGACCTTCCTGAGATGTGTGTGTCTCTTAGCATCAATCACGATTTAATATCGCCATCTGCATGGAGCAGCATGGGCCCGTGAATTATGTATTACGACTCAGCAGCCGCCCTCCAGGATGGGTCTTTCTCCTGTGTTCACTCTTTGAGGGAACAGGTCATGCATTTTTTAACTCTACAGGTGCACTTTACTATTCCCCATGTCTGTTGGCATTACTATCTCCCAGACCTCTGCTTTAGACTACCGGCCTGACAGGCTTTAAATGCATAAAAGATGGGCACGCTGCACACGGGTGGTTGGGACACAAATCCACACAAGTAGCCTTTTCGGCATCAAGCCTCCACGAGCTCAAACTGTGCCGTATTGAACTGCCCAGAATGGAATGAATTCAGGTCCATTTCCTACTGGGTGGAAAACAAAAGCAGCCGTTTCCTCAGGCTGGTACACAGCACATCATCTTCTTACCTAATGACCCTGCACCCACCCCAGCCCATGAAGACAATGAGCTCATCCCTCCCACCCAGACCACATGAGGCCAGCCATGAGGCCCAGCTCCTCTGCAGCCAATACCCATAGGCTTTCCAGGTGCCCACACCACTCACCCATGCTGGGAACCTAATGTCATCTAGCCAGCCAAATTGAGGCCCGTTGGTCCTGGCTTATGCACATGAAATAGGGTGGAGTGGTCCTCTGAGAAGGCAGAGGTGTGAGGACATAGATCACCAGCTGCTCTTACTCAACTAGCAGAAGGGGGAATTTTCTACCGGGTCCAGCTCCTCTGCCAGATATTTTGCAGAAAACTGCAGCCCTGCCACCAACTCACCCCAAACCACACTTTTTTGCCTTGGAATTCGTCAGAGGAAACCTGAGCTGAGCTCCTGTTTAGTAACTGTTATGGTTTCCACATACTCTCCACTCTCCCTACCCACACTCTCTCCCTCCTTTCCCCATCCCTTCCTCTACTTCTCTCCAATTACTCTTGAAAGGGGAACTTTTCTCCCTCAATTCCCCACACCCCAGGTTTAAACTTTTAGTAATTAGACCAGGCACACAGATCAGCAATAAAGACAGGAAACTTCTTCGCAGGAAGGTTTAATTTCTCATCTACAGCAGAAGTGATCATTTCTTCACCACCACCACACAAAAAAATTAAACTATATATATATCCCATAGCTGATAGTCTGTACTGTCTGCTGTTAAACCAAAAGAAAAAGGAGTCATCCATTGCTTTTTTTCTATCCTTTCTTTACCTGGAGAAAATCAGGGCAGTTATTGAAGTATCAGAGAACTCATTAGAACATCTGCTTCAGTTGTGTGTTGGTAACCTTTTCAATACTTACAAATTTATAAATTCACATTCTTGTTTGGCTTGCATTCACACCCAGAAACACACACAAACATAGATATTGAACATACTTCAAGTACATATACATATCAGTAATTCACACTTTAGTCCTATACATACGTTCACACCTTCTCATAAAATATCACACATCATTTGCACAAACATATATCCACAAAGATAAATACTAGAATTTCTGTTTTTATTTTTCTTGGAGAGAACAGAATTCTTGAAACATATCAGTAAAAATTGTAAAGAAAACACACTTAATCATTCTACTTCTCCTCTTGATAACTGATCTTTCCTTTCTAGGGTTGGGGACACATCATTTCCTAAATACAAACATGTCCCAATAGAAATTAGCTAAAATTTCTTCTGAAGAGCTATACCATCCATTACTTTGTAGGTCTTTATTGTGTTCCACAATGAACTTTATACATGGTTGCTGTTCTGTTTCAGAGGAGTCAAGCTAAGCCAAAGGAGAGTTGAACTCAAGGGCAAAACCCTTAAGGCCAATCTCCATGTACAGAGGGGAAATTGACCCTGTTTGAGCTACTGAGCCCGCTGGGTGAGTTGACAAAAGACTTCATTCTGCAACTATTTTGTGAATACCTTTCACCTGGGGCAAATTCATCACCCGAAGAGAGATAGCAAAATCCAGGCTTGGACTGTTAGAGCATTTTCTCCTATACCTGGGAGGGAAGGCTGAGGGATGAGCCAGGTCAGGTCTGAGAAAGGCCCAAGGCTGAAAGGAATAAAGTGACAGCTCC
Organism: Homo sapiens; assembly: GCF_000001405.40. Taxonomy (NCBI): domain Eukaryota; kingdom Metazoa; phylum Chordata; class Mammalia; order Primates; family Hominidae; genus Homo; species Homo sapiens. The sequence goes on along the minus strand of NC_000002.12, from coordinate 205,694,329 downwards.
AGATGTAATTGGAAATAAAGAGAACACTAAGTTCTGAAGTCACCAAGTTCTGATTTTCCTCTTATAAGTACTACTTAGGTGTTTTTATTTGAAATGTAAAATATCAGATTGTTTTAAACTCTTTCTGTCTTGCTCTTTTTCTCCTTCTTAAGTATTGTTGTTTTGCTGGTAGTCTAAGTACCATCTGCCTCTGCCTAGGGGTAACATAGCCCTGAAAAGGCAAAGGGATGTTGTACCCCTTCACTTAGGAACTCACCTTCCTACAGAACCCAATCACTTTCCTTGCGAATATTTAATTTTTAAGAAGTATTAAGAATGGGAAAAGAAGATCTTTTAAAAATCTGGTCTGCCTTCTAGAAAAATGTAGTTGGCATTGTTTTAAAGGAACACTGGATAACCTGAACTTGACAATAATATTTGCTAAATACTGAAGCCTGACTGTAGCAGATAATCTGATTACTATAGCTTACTTCACGACAGCTTGGTAAAAGACCAATCAGATCCCTCGCTTTAGTTGAACTGAAGGAAAAAGTCCTTGGCGAAACCAGGGAAACTTGGCCATTGGCTGAATGTGGGATTAGAGGGCCCAGTTGTTGTAAAAGGTGAGTCTGGGGTGATGGGACTGGGTTACCAGGAAAGGGAGGGATCGACATTAGCAGAAAGATGGGAGATGGCACCCAACTCTTAACTCACTCAATTTGACCTTTCTGGGGCTCAGCTTCACAAACTGTAATTCAAAGAATGGACTGAATTAGGTGTGTAGCTTTCAAATTTATTTGCTTTTTTTGAAGTACTTTTTTTTTTTCTTGAACAAAACTCTACCTAGACCTCCCATGTACAAAGAACATAAAAGGGAGCTCTTCTTGGATGCTGGGAGGGAGGTAGCCAGAAGCATTGTAGTGTCCAGGCCTCCTAGTTCCTGCCCTCAGCTCAGAAGGGCTTCTCTGCAAGTCCACTGGGGCTTCCTGGAACATGGTTTGAAACCCTCTAAATGGGGCATCTCCATTCCCTGTTACTTTAAAATGCTATGGAAAAGAGAAAGAGCAGATGACTAGGAGACATCTATTTCCTATGTATACCTGAGGGCACTTAGTGGAGAAAAGCAATCGGTCTCATTTCCTCTGAAAATAATATACTTTATCTACTTTATAATTTATTTCTTATCTACAGCATAATCCCACTTTGTCCCTATTTCCACAGCATTGTTTTCATTTAATTATTGGTAGCAAGGCAAAGAAGAAACTCTTTCTTCTACTTAAAAAGAAAGGAGGTTGTCACCTTGCCACTTACTCCACCAGGAAGTTTATTAGAAATAGCATTGGAGCAGGATTTAAAAGCCTAGTAATCAAGTCTAGTCTCACCACTAGCAAGCTGTGTGACCTTGGGTAAGCTAGTAGACAACTCTGAGCCTTTGTTTTCTCATCTATAGAATGAGAGGGGTGATTCTAAAGGTCAGTTCCAGTGCTAAAATCCAAAGCCCATGTAGTGAGGTGGGGAATAGATCTTATAACCCACAGATTGAGCCAAGAATTCAAAAGATTCTCTACCCTCCTAGACAATAAGACATTTACTCAAGGTGCTACCCCTGTTCTATCTGCTTGGTAAGCCTGAAACCAAACTCCAGGATTCTTCAGAAAACATGTCTGTCTTGCATTACGGAGAGTTCAAATGTCTCCTTTAATCACATCAGGTCTACTAACACGAGTTTCTTTTTGTAACTGAGTCTGTGGCTGCATATTTATAAATATTATGGATACACAGTTCTGTGTGTGAGCATGTCAACAACAGTGATGCATGAAAAGAAAAACCAAAAGGAGTTTCTTCAAATCCCTCACCCAGATCATCTAAGTCGTTGGCTCAGGGTTTTAACCAAATTTTGCTCACCAACCCGGGATAAGCTGCGTTTTAAGAATTATTTCTGTGAGCTGAGGCTGGATTTTGTTTTATTCAAAGCAACTTCAGCCTGTCACAAGACAGTCTCATAAAATCTGTATCTTGGCTTAAGCTGGGAAGAAATGAGCCAATCCATCAGCCCAGGAATGTGGCTGTTTGACCACTTCCTAAGGCAACTGGGAAGGGATGCAATCTACTCAATTTATGGAGACTGGTGGCAGTGAATGATGCACTCCTGAAGGCACAGCAAATGGAAATCCTTCTGAACTTTTGAAATGATAAAGTTCAAAATCTGAATAAAAGGGCCATCTAGGAGGGAAGGAGAGAGGGAAGCAGAGAGCAGGAGAGGAAGCCAGCATATGAGTTTGGAAATGAATAAAGAATGAAGCAAATTCCCTCTCTTAAAACACCTCCAATGAATTCACTTAGGAGAGAACTGGAAATTGGGTCTGGAAATGGGGCCTTTTGAACATCTCTCCCCTCAATCTAGATTCTAAAAATGAAGCCTCATTTAATCGGTAAAATGTAAGTTTGATGCGATTACCTCTCCTGACCTCGAATCATGCCACCTGTGTTAACCTTATTATTTGTCATCTTATATCATAAACAAATGCAATTCCAATAGGGCAGCCGATATAATGTCATTAGTTTATATTTATGTCCTCTCTTTTCCAGCCCTCATTGCAAATGCAATTTTGATGCCATTGATGAGAGATCTGGGATTACAATTCCTGACCATTTTAGGAGACATTTGGGGAAGGAAACAGAAGAATAATTTTGAGGTCTCTCCAAAAACCAAAGGAGAAAAAAAAGTAATATAATATTGTCTTCATTTATTTTGATTAACTGAAGCTTATGTTGAAACATTAATGGCTCCCCATTGGTTAGCAAGTGAAACCCAAACCTCTTTGCCTAGCAATTTGGGCCTTGAATTGAGCCCAAGCTATTATTTATAATCTTGTTTGCAATTATTTCCCACCATACATTCTAAACTGCAGCTTCTGAGTGTTCCCCAAACCAACCCAGCATCCATTTCTCTACTCACACCTTCCCCTTCCCCTGGTATGCCCTTCCCTGCTCTAAATCCCACCTACTCTCTCACTCCAGGCTGCCTCTGCCCTTTCTCCTCTCCCATACTGGGAGTGGTCTTTCTCCTCTGTGCATCTGAGAGGCTGAAGCTCTTTAGCATCTTCTGAGATGTGTGAGAGTTCTGGAGGGCCTCATCCAGTCTACTGAGCCACCAGCAACTTGAGGTCATGACTCCTTGCTGATCCATCTTTGGCAAGTCTTACAGGATCAAACCAGAACCTTTCCCAAAAGTCAGACTCATCAAGATTTGGTGAATTAACCAATTAAGAAGTGACCAAAGGAACATCAAAGGTATCACTAGATAGGACAGACTCTGAGAGTTCTATCAGAAATTATTCTGCGGCCACAGCTACTGCGCTTCCCTCCCCACCCCCAGCTGTTATTAAGTGCAAATGTTTCTTAGTGGTGAATTGAGAGTTTGAATAACTTGTCTGGGATAATAATACCTAGTCACAAGTAGGTCAAGGTAGAGTTAGTGCGAACTATGTCTCCTAGAACACCCTAAAGCAGATAATAATGATAAATTTCAAAGCACATTCACATTTTATTTTATTTTATTTTATTTTTTGAGACAGAGTCTCACTCTGTCACCCAGGCTAGAGTGCAGTGGCACAATCTCGGCCCACTGCAACCTCCGCCTCCCAAGTTTAAGCGATTTTCCTGCCTTAGCCTCCCAAGTAGCTGGGATTATAGGCGCCCACCACCATACCCAGCTATTGTGTGTGTGTGTGTGTGTGTGTGTGTGTGTGTGTGTGTGTGTGTGTGTGTATTTTTAGCAGGGATGGGGTCTTGCTATGTTGGCCAGGCTGGTCTCGAACTCCTGACCTCAGGTGATCTGCCCACCTCCTCCTCCCAAAGTGCTGGGATTACAGGCATGAGCCACCATGCTCGGCCATTTTATTTTTAATACTAGTAAAATTAATTTATCTCAGGGGTTTTGTCCCCTTCACTCCAACCCCCACACTTCCAAAGGCAACTTTAAATATTGGTTATCTGTACCACCAGGAAGATGCTGACTATTACTTCATCACTAAGCCATTTGTTGGTATTGGATTTTCTTGTGCTTGGTTTCAGCAAACCTCTCTTTACTCAACCCCCTCCTCATTTTCCTTTCTGTAGCCCCTAGAATGCCTTTGGGGAACATCTGTTTTATTTTTTCTCCTGTATCCAAACAATTATTATTAGCATTCGGTCTAGTAATTTGCAATTCCCATTATCTTCTCTGCTGAAAGACTCGCCAGAACTGGTTACTGGTTATCGCAGGATTTGTGGAGGCGGGAGCAGGGTACCACGGCCACGTGCACTCAGCTGGCCGGCAGCCTCGTGCACTCTGTGCTACCGAGAGCTTCTCTTTTGTTATTCCCAGCCCCTCCTTTTTTTCTGGATTAGATAATGACTCCTTTATGAAGACCCAGAGGGAAATGGGATTATTAAGACCCTTGCTGGGTAAAAGCTATTTTGTCTTTATGATGACTTTTTTGAGTTCAGCTGCTGAAGGGCCTTAGTGCCAGAGTAGAAGTTATTACACATTCGGGAGAGCGCCTTAAACACGGTGTTCCCTGCTGAGCACACTCTCAGTGTTGAAGGATGGAAGGGGAGGAAAAGGAAAGGAAATGAGAGATTAAAAAGAAAATAGGAGGTAAGAATACTGAAAACAGAGGAAGAAGGAGGGAAAAAATGCAAGGGAGACATAAATCTAAGATAAGAACTCAGCAGAGAATATTCTCTGAAGAAGAGCATGGCGAGAGATAATATGGTGCTTACAAAACACAGAGGTTTGGTGGTGGAAGAACTGAGAATAAGAATTATTTTTTAAATCTCATAAAAATCAACTTACCACAATGGTTATAGTGTGCTTTCTACGATCACGAGATTCCACTAACCCCACTGAAACAGTTTTAAAGATTCAGTGACTTCAGAATGGGCTTCATATGTGCCAAACAGTATTCTACATAATCTGACATAGCCCAACAACCCTATGAAGTAGGTATTGTTACCAAACACATTTACAGACAAGGAAACCGAGGCACATAGACTAAGTATCTGATCACACAGGATACTGGGATCACAGAGCCAGCAAGTGGCTGAGCTAGATTCTAAACCCAGGCAGTCTAGTTCCCATGTTTCAGAAGCTGGGAAGGCCAGGGATGATCCCCACAAAACTTCTCAGTGGCAAACCTACTTGGTAGCATTTAGGGAAAGACAAATATTTTGCCTGTTTGAAAACCCCCTTTTCTCTGCCTGTGCCAGTACTCTGTCTGTGTGAACAATGAGAGATGTGTTTGAGGCTGGGGTGTGAGTGGGCTGGAAGCACTTAACACCTTCTCCACTCCCTGTACACACAGGCACTCAGCTCCTTGTCATCCTGGCCCTCTTTCCTGTGTTCTGGAAACCCTAGGCATGGGGCCGGGGAGGGCGGGTGATGGATAGGAAGTTCAGGTCTGAAACCATGTATCACAACATCGAAGGGTTTTTTTGTTTTTTTTGTTTTGTTTTGTTTTTTTGTTTTTTGCCAACTCCTATTTCTCTCCTTTCTTCTCAATCCTACTCTTCTCTATCCTAAATGCCACATTGTTATTGTTCTACTGGATAGGAGTAGCATTTTCAGAAATGGGGGATTTATTTTTATAGCACAGCTGGTCTGCCAAAGGTCACATAATTTGGCAATGTTCCCAGTGGTTAAAAATTAATTTCTCCTTATTAATACAACCAAGGTCCCAGAGGATCGGAGCTCAGCCTTATCTAAACTTGACAGCTTCCTAAACCTTTAGAAGATGCTTTCTCCTGGAGGGCCAGCCATGATACAAGGCCACTGTGTCCTGGAATCCTACTCCACTGAATCCTGTTAGGCAATGAAACCATTAAGCCTCTGACCATTTCTCATCAAGGCAGATAAAGCTTTGAAAAATACTGTAGCTCTCCAGGACAAACTTCTGCAGCATCTTCCAGAAATGGGTTAATTAAAAAACAAAAATCAGCAAACAGCCAAGTCCTTACCTGGAAGGAACAGTACAAAGACTAACTTCTGGTGATCAATATACTTATCTGCCACTCAAGGAAGGTATCTCAAAGATTATCCAGTTGCAAGTGATGGTCAGATAATAAAATACCTCAAATATGTTAATAACACTACAAGCCATTGCCCAGATGACACTTTTCAAGTCCTTTCTTGTCAGTTCAAGAAATTAAAAAGATATTCTTCTTTTGCTCTATCTTTTAAGAAAGGAAGATCTCAGCTCAAGTTCCTAAAGTCTTTCCAAACTGGACCTTTGGAGAATATATTTGGAAACCTCTTTACCTGGCTCTTGAATTCTGTCAACTCAGAATTGTCTTACACTCAGGTCATCCTGAGTCAGTTCATTTTCCTGATTGCTTTAGGGAAGACTTGAGTGAAATGAAAAACACCAGGGTCCCCAGAATCATCTGGTCCCTGGTGTCTCTCCTCACTGACCCCAGACCCCTCCCTCACTGTCATTTGTATTCGTGCCTCACTGCATATGAATTGGCATTTGGATTCCTAGCTTTTTCTATGCCTGGAAGATAGGAACTGGCCTTTCTGCTGCAGAACGTGGACTTGATACATTCAACAGCAGGGGATCAGAGCCATTTGGTAGACAGCAGGAGTCCTGTCTGGGTAGCCTGGGTTCCAGTCACTGCAGCCTTCCAATCTTTCATTTTGCCAGTTGAGTGCTCCGTAGCTTAATGTCTGAGGGCTCTATGGGATGACATAAAACTCCAAACCTGATGTGCACTGGCGCATTCACAATTCCACCAGGCACCGCTTGGACGAGTAGGGGCCTGCCCGGGGCCCTTTGGGGAGTGCTCCTCTTGCCACTGTCTTGCACTGTGTGCTCTGCTGGCAACTGGCCACAGCTTCCCTACCTCCAGGAGCTGATCACGGGGGAAAAATGTTTACTGGGTACCCATTTAATGTGGGCATGAGACCAATCCCTAGAGCCCAGAGCAGGCCGTCTGCGTAAAATCTAGGAGTTTACAGTTTACTTGCAAATTATTATGCTCGCCAATGGCCATCTCACATTTTGGGGAGACAGGCTAAAAGAAACACTTCAAACCCTTATCCGGCGCCTAGACCGTCATTGCTTCTCTTTCAGGATTTGTCTGAACCCAGACCTGTCTCCCACAGCCAATTTACACCTCTTATCTGATCATCCAGTCCAGACGGAAGGGTGAATTGACCGAGAATCTGCGCGTGTCCATGGCAATGGCGTTAAAACCCAAGCATAGATCAAAGCTCTCCAGACGAGGAGGGGAGGGGTAGATGGTTATGGGGTCTGGGTTCTTTTGGCCCCAAGCGATGTGTCCCGGAGGTGGGGACATTAGGCCTGGGAGTTGCCACCATTTGAAGAAACCCATTGTCAGGACTTGAATGATTTTCTGAGCAAAACCCAGTCCCCCCGCAGATCATGATTAACTCTAGCAAAGGGGACGTTCGTAGTGGGCGCTGATCGGGAATGGCTAGCGCCAGGGGGCTCTCCTCTCTGTCTGAAACCGAAAGAACAGGAAGTGGAGGGAGGGGAGCCGAGCAGGGAGCACACGCCAATAAACCTGAGCGTGGATCTCCTATCTTTTAGAAGAAATTCAGCCGGAGCCGCAGAAGCCGCAACGCATATGGGCAAGATCCCCTAAAACTTGGTCTGGAAAGCTGATTCCCGAAGGTTCCCCAACCCAGATGATTCCCAGAGGGGCGACAAGTCTATTCCAAATCCCTCCCCCACCTCCAAACACTAGGGCTACCGGCGCCCGCCACCCAGCCGCTGGACGCCTGCGACCCGGTGGGAAAGACCCCCGGCACAGCCAGCCCGAGTCGAAGGGCGGGGGCAGCCCTTCAATCAGAGCGCGCCTTGCCTCCATTAACTTGTGTTGATATTAAAAAGAAATCAATCAGTGAAAATGAAGCATCGGCCGTGAACATTTCTTTTTCTCACGTGGAAAAGCAAAGAGCGAGGCGGCTGGGGAGGGGAGGCGGGAACTCGCCGGCGGCTGCAGGCAGAGGCTTCTCCAGAGACCAGCGCTGCAGCCGAGACCTAACTTTCCGGCATAGGGCAGCGTTGAAGAAATGCCGCAGGCTTTTCCCTGGGGGTGTCCTTAGGAGGAGGAGGAGGAGGAGGGCACAAGCATGGAGTAGTTGGAGGCGGCCAACTTCGCGGAGGCTTCAGCCTCGGTTTTGCTTTCGCTGGGAATATTTTTGCTTAATAGAATGTTTATGGATCGCTGGGCTCTGTTTCTGCTGCGTAGCCCAAACAAATCGATGCGGCGTTAGAGAAGGCGCTGGGGGGCGGGGAAGGGGAGGGAGGGCTAGGAGGAGAGCTGAGGGGCTATCACGTCCCCACCACGTGGATGGCCGCACGCCGCGTGCTCTTCACCTGTTCCTGCGCACCGGCGGGCGCTGGGCGCGCGGCGCTTCTAGAGGCTGTGCAAGTTGCGCGCATTCCTGGGGCTCAAGCTGGTTCCTTCCCGCCTCTCTCCGCCCTCCTCTCCGAAATCCCACCCCAGTTTCCTCTCACCTAGTTGGGCCAGCGCTTGGATTCCCAAGCCAGCCGGCCTCGGCCTCCCGCCACTCAAAGCCGTCTCTCTAGGGGTCGCGGCGAGCCTGCCGCGCAGAGCGGAGCGCAGGGGACTGGCGGGGGCGCCCGGGGCAGGGAGGGAGGCAGGCTAGCGGCTGCACTGCGGTCTGGCGAGGCGGCGCAGTGAGGAGAGGGGCAGCCTGGTGCGCGTCGCCCATGCGGCCTCCCAGCCACGCGCCAGCCCAAGGTGCCGCGCGCCGCGACCGCCGTGTTATTTGCTCAGTTGCTCCCCCGCGCGCACCTTCTGCCCCATCTTGCTCCTTCCCAGAATTGGTTCTCGTCGCCGGCGGCGGCGGCTGAACCAGGCCCCCTTCCCGGCCGGCGCACACCGGGTGAGTCAGAGGTATGTGGCTTGGCCTCGCCCTGGCCACCCGCTGCCGGCTCCCAGGGTGCCAGTGCTTTGCTCCGCCTGAAAGCCTGAGCAGCTCACGGCTTGAGATCGCATTTTGGGGAGCTGGAGGTCCCTGGCAGGTCCCAGCTTCGAATCCCACCCTGAGATCCCACCCCGGGTCCGAGGTTGCCCCGAACTCCGCGCCTCTGGGCTTCTCTGGAAGTGACGCAGCACTGCTGGGGATTGGGATGGGAGGGGGTTCTGCAGAGAGCGCGGCAGGCAGGTGGCAGAGCGGGAGTGGGTCCAAGCGGGTGTCGCGCACACACGTACACACACTCCAAGCAGCGCTCGGGGACAGATGTGCGAACATCTGGGGTAGGAGATGGCCCCTGAGTCTTCACGACCCCTCCCGCTCCGCACAGCACACGGAACCTGAAGTTGCATGTGTGTGCGCGCCAGTGTGAGTGCCAGTGTGTGCGCGCTCGCGCGCTGGGGCCTACTGGAGTCCGTGTCTGAATACATAATATACTGTGGGCATCCTCACGGCGCGCGCGCGTGTGCACACACACACAGCGAATCACACAAACATACATAATTTACGCAGCATCCAGGTCTGTGAGTGGTAATTTAATTCCGCTTCAAGCTGGGAATTTAGAAATAAGGCAAGGGGGAACGGCGGAGGCCCAGAAAATCTCCCCAAGTGGGACCCCCACCCATCCCTTTGGCAGGATTTGCAGCTGCCCTGAAGACCACTTATGGCAAAGAAAGAGCTGCAAACGTGCGGATCTGGGTGGCAAAGGCATTCCTGAATTTTCTTCCCCCCTCAAATAAATGCCCAAGCTTAAAGTGGTGTGTGTGCTGGTGGGGGGCGTGAGGAGAAGGAAGGGTGACAGTACCAGATGCAAGGCTAGGATCCACTAGCTGATGTTCTGGGGATGCCAAGGAGGCTGCAGAGTTAGCTCTACCACTGCCGCCATCGCCTTGCAAGTGCCTTGGGTGAGGGCACTTCAGGAAGGCTTTTTCGCCTTTCTTTCACCCATTTCCTCCATAGATGGTTTCTCCATCTCCAATCACCTGTAGCAGCTGCTAAGAGTTTTGTTGTTAGATTCCAGACACTGTTCTCAGAGGGGTAGGGAGGCTCACTCTAGAGAGTGGTCCGAGAAGGAAGCACAAACCCCACTGCATTCCCCATGGATTCCCCTTTCCAGAGCATACCCCTTGCCGCTCCCCACAAATGCGGTCCCCAGACTGTTCTGGGCCTCGAAATGCTTATCTCCACAGCAGCCTGTCCACACACCCTTTTTGGCAGTGGTTGAGAACAAATTCCACTCAAAAGTTTCTAACCACTTCACAAGAGTGAGAGACCTTCGAGGGCCTGCAATTTGTTTTAGCTAATAATAATTTCTAAAAGAACGTACGATTTACTTTCCCAGACAACACATGGATGAAGAGAGAAGAGACCAACCGTCTTGGTTGCCAGCAGCACCCAACCCCAAGCCCCTATCTCAGCCACAAGCCAACTTGCTCCACCAGCCTGAGCCTTATGATTCTGAAGCATAACCAGTCATTCTCCAAAGAATCTACAGCATCTGAAAACCAAAACTAAACTCTTGTCTTTCCCAAGCCCTTCAGTTAACATTGCTCAATGTAGCTAAGTGGAGGGAATGCAAATGATTTATATTTCACTGGCTAGTTGGAGAAACTCAAGGGAGATGTGTTCTGCTTCAAGACAGGGAAAAAAAATTCCCAAAAACTGTAATGCAAAGGCTTTGTAGTATTTTTAAACCTTTGATTCAGTCCATATGTGACATATGAACACCGCCAAATTCTGTTTCAAAACACACTCACACACACACACACACACACACACACACACTCCTAGCAGGAGAGGAAAGTTGGGTTTTAGCAGCCGTGGTGGTGTAGGAAGGGCCGGCTGGGATCTCTCTTTAAATTATTGAGTACTGAGGGAGCCTTCTTCTGTGCCGTTCTGCGTGGCCTTCCTGCTTTAGCGGTCACTTTTAAAGGGGAAACCATGTTGCAATAAATAGAAAAACTTTCAGTGGCTTACCTGGTTGGCCTCTCACTTGGTGTCTTGAAAAGTAGAGGGCTAAGAAAACCCAGGTGAGAGGAAACATATCCATTTTGGAGAAGGTGGCTCTTTCCAGAGCTGGGTTCGTAGGTTTCTTGTTTAAATCTTTGTGTTTTTCTCTCTTTTATTTTCCTCCTTACAACGTCTTATGCAGAGGTTTCTAATGGTCAGCGTTTCCCTCCTGAGTCCTGGTGGCTTGTCTTCACCTCTATTCTTGCTGGAATTTCCACCTCACCAGGAGGAGAGTAGCTCCTGAAATCAGCAAAGAGGGAACAAGCCGGGAAGAGAACACGGTTTTCCTCTTAAAAACAAAACGCATATATGTTCTCTCCAGTTCCTCAAAGTGTCATTTCCTTTATCCTACAAATATCACGAGTATTTCCCGAAAGCCAAGCGTAACAATAATGATAATAATAATAATTAAAACCAAGACTTGCCTTGGGCATCACACGGCCCCCAGGCAGCTGTGTGATCTCAGAGGCGTAAACTGACACACATCCCGCGGCACCCTTGACGGACACACGGGCGGAGGCAGCCGCCGCCGGACAGCCCGAGTGGAAGGCGGCCGCCCTGCTCTTGTCCTCGCCGGGTTCCCCCGGCGGGAGCCTCCCCCAACGGCTACACCCGCTTGGCCAGCCTCTCGAGGGGAGTCTGAGGAAGGAAGCTGCTGCTGCTGTTGCTGCTGCTGGTGCGGCGGCGGTGGCGGCTGGGATCGCCTGGGAGTGAGCGAGCCCCTCTCCGAGTTCGCTGGCGCCCGCCCTCACCTCCACCTCGCCGAGTGTCTGTGCGGCTGAGGATGTGCTGGGGGCCGGCTGCAGGCTGGTGCCTCGCTCGCGATCTCTGCCTCCCCTCCGGCTCCCCACTGCCTTTTCAGGCCGAGCAGCATGTGGATGTCAGAGCCGCGGCAGAGCTATCCGATTACGCGCCGGCTCAGGGCCCGCCCCTTCTGTGTTCCTGATTAAAGAGGCAGCCGCGGAGACGCGCGGCGCAGAGCAGAGTGCCGCGGCACCCAGCTCGGGCGGGGCGGCGACGGCTTCTCTCGGGCCGCCGCAGGATCGAAGTTAAGGCGGCGCCCATCCCACCACCCCTCGCCCGCCCCGCATCTCCCGATCGCCCCCGCGCACCTCCGCGCCGGGCCGCCGGTGCGTAACGCCCTGGGGAAGAAGCGCCCCCGGGCACCCCCAGGGCGCGCCGCCTTGGCCGTGTCGCCCCCACCCAAGGGAGACCCCGGGGGGACGGGGGGAAAAGCCTTGTTCCCCCTAAATTCCACGACTCCGATGCCACACACGCAGAACCCAACACAATGCCACGCGCGATGGCGTTACAAGAGGAGTTGGGTGGCGTACGGTGTTTGGGGTAGCGAGCCGGTCGGCAGCTCAGCCATGCGTTCGAACAGGCAGCGGTGCGTGGCGGCGACACACACCGTCAGCCCGGTCTGAATAAAACCCCAAACACTCGCTGCGTTTACTACTCAGATCCTTTGTTATGTCCCAAACATGCTCTGCTCCTCTCTGGGTTAGGATTTCGTTACCCCTGCGCCTTTAACTGTAACTACCCTAAAAAGAGGAAAGACTTTCTTCAGCAAATAATTTCTTCAGGTAATTAAATTGGATTCCATCAAGTTCCCCCGAAAAAGTATAGGTGCTTGAAGGCGTCTCATCCAAATGCTACTGTAACTACGTCTATTCACATTTTCCCCCATGGAAACGTGGTCACAAAGCCTAGAGAAAGAAAACATCATTATGCCAACTATTTTTAAATGGAGGCGTGAAAACTGTTTAGAGGGAACTGCAAGCTAACAGTTGGGGAAACACTTGTATCTTTGTTTCTGAGGATGGCTTTGTGGATTCCAAACTGTCTTGCTTCACCAGACACCTATTACTACATTATCATAAAGACTGCAACAGAAACAGCCTAAATTACACCCTGCACATGTACACCTTTTCTGCCACAAAAGAGGTATATGAAAAATAAGAAAATTCAGAAAAATATTTACAGATTAAGATTTTTTTTAAATTAAGAAAGTAAAATTTTCTGTAGATTAAGAAAAATACAGTTTCGGTGACGAGAAACACACACCTGACTACCCATTTTCTTCTTGGCTTGTACTTGTGGATTCTTCTGGGTGGTTTCCCTCCTTATCTGGACTTGCCCATTAGCTTTATCACTTTTAGTGTTTGAAAAATCTGTAACTCCCACTTAACTGTTATTTACACTGAGATAACCAAAACAAAATTGAATCAGAAGTGATTTGCAAATAGTTGAGCCAAGCTGTGTTGGGGGGTGGCGCGGGATTTTAGAGTGGAAATCCACAGGCTGAGTATCACACTGTTAATCTCAGATGCCTGGTTGGGAAAGGCACAGCACAGAGGCCTCTGAGTTCTTCCAGGGAGCATGTCTCTTGGCTAGCCTAAATGCTACCTTTCATTCCCTCTTTGCCTCCCTCCTTCCTCTTCCTCCCTCCTTTCCTTCCTTCTTCCTTCCTTTCTAGGCTTGAGAGCACATCCACATTATTAAAAACTCCAGATTTACATTTCTCCTCTTTAAAGCTCAATTGTAAAGAATGACTCCAAGCCTTAAATATTTAACAAAGTAAAAGAGCAGTTTGGATTATTAACCTTAAGCAGAGATCCCGGTTTATGTCATTGCCAAGATGCTAATCTAAGGACAAAGAACGCTATCTGTAGTGACAGTCCCTGAATAGAGAGGGCCATTTAATATCACCTCTCCCCACCACTCACCAGGCATGCCAAACCATTTTTGCCAGTGCCCAATGTGGGAGACTCCTGTTTGTGAGAATAATGTAGCCAGGGTTTAGGTGAAGGGCACTGTGAAAGGGGGAAAGAAGAGAGAAAAGGTAAACCTAAGCCCACTGGAGAACCATAAGAATGACAACCCTGGACTTCTGGTCTTGGGGTCTCAGGGATGAAGGTCCCCATCAGGCTGCTTCCAGAGTAGAGAAAAGTAAGAATCAGTTTTGTTCCTGGCCTGGTTGCCTACACTGTAACTTTTCATTTTTCAGCGGTGTCCTACAGGGGACGCTCACTTACTTCCTGGGAGTCCTCTGTACCAGGGCTGCAAGACTTCCCACTCCCCTTGAGTGAAGGCCTCATTTCCTGCAGTTGGACAGAGAGTGAGTCTCAGGTTTCCATCCCTGGGGACTCAAGCGGCCAGACCATTTTTCAATCCTCTAGGGGGCAGCACTCAATAAATAATGGTAACACCACCCAGGGTCACACTTCTGGTGGTGCTTTTAATTCCAAGGAGTTCAAAGTGCTTTATCAGACCAGGGAAGATTCAGAGTGAGGCCGATCTCTCCCCAGCCTACTCTGAACAAGACCCCACCGGCCCAGAGAGGGCTTAGAATTGTTTTAACCTAAGACTTCCAAGGACTCTTGGGAACTAAACACAAATCTCACATGTGCCACATGGAAAACAAATCTTTAGGGAAATTCTTCACACTGGGACTGGCTCAGACCTGCCAGTCTTGTTTCCCTCTAGACTGGGATCTCAGGGTTTGACTGCAGTTGGTCTGGTTTCCACCAGAGGTATAGTGGTAAAGAGCTAGGTAGGCACCGTGCTTTTCAGTATTTTGTGAGTCCACATCCCTGGCCCATAGGGAAGCCTGCCTACCTAAAGGCCAGTGTCAAAAATCGGGTTTGTGATCAAAAACACTGAGCTGACTAGATAACAGCTAATTAGCGAAGCTGAGATTCCTGGCCACATCACTGACTCACCTAGGATGTTTCATGTCATTATCCTTAGTTGTAAAATAATACTAGATAATCCACTCCACATTCCATTCCTTTGACGGGAAGGGATGTGGGGGAACATGAAACAGGTTGGTAAATGATGCTAAGAGAAAGCTGTTACCAAGCCACACCCCTGTGGAAAGTTAAGTGTTCCCAGCTAGACAGTCCCAAACCTTAGGGTATATCAGCATCACCTGGAGGAAGTGTTAAAAATTCTGATTCCTGGGAACCATTTTCCTGCAGGTGAAATTCCTTGGGTCTGGAGTGGTCTTTGGGAATCTGTATTTTTAACACACATCTTAGGTGATTCTGATGCAAAGCCTCCACAGACCAGTAGTTGGGAACTTCTGATCTGATGTGTTCTATTTACACACAGCCTTCCATAAATGCTCTTCCGTTGAAGGAAACCTGGACAAGCATTCCTTCACATTTCCTCTCTGGGTACTTTTCAATATGGGGCAGATGTTTCAGGTTTCTTGGAAAAACCACCAAGAACAAGTTCTCGAAAATGCTGCAGTGGTGGAATTCCCAGATTTACCTGTGACCTTTAGCAGCAACTGCAGAGAGCCAATTTGAAAACACCAAAAGCCTCGCCTCATGCAGGCAGGAGCTTTGCAGGGACATGTTCAAAGTAGCGGCTGATGGGTTTATGAGCTGGAGCCAGACCTTTCATCACCAGCCCACTCAACCATTGGTGGTTACTAGAGGTTCGTTTCAGGTATGCTTTTCCATCTGTGTTCATCCCACTGTACTTACGAAATGTTCATGGATGCATGACTATGCCAGAGGTATGCGAGCAAGACAGAGATTTAGGTCTTGCCTCTCGGGAACACAGGATCTAAAAGCTCCAGAAGTTTCATGCTTCCACAATAGATATCACGTGTCACATGGTGCTTCCCCTTATCGGAGCCCTAACATCAATAAGCTCTCACCCTGAAAAGGAAAGATCTAAGGCATAATTGCATCTTAATCTGTAATTTAACACACTGCCCTAGTTAAGGTTTAGCTACATCTGTCTCAGAAGCAAAGCTTCAGTTAAAATGGAATAGGTCCTAATTTATTATTCTCTCTTTTGTTTGATGTCAAAGTCCAGGTTTCTGGTCACTAAGGGTTTTTTTTTTTTTCTTACTCGCCTTTTAAACAATCAACTTTTTTTTTTTCCAGCACACTTGAATATTGCCCAGTAGTTTCTATTTGACATTTCTATTCTAAATTGATATTTCTAGTATATTCTATTTGGTGGGTTTCTGGAATCCTTACAGATTTCCATAAAGTATTGAAATCTCCTTCACTCCATACTGGGTGTATATCTCATTTCTTCCTCAGACACAAACACTGGATCTGGTAGGAGGGGCCCTTATGAAACAAAATTTAAAAAGCAGCAGCAAAATGTGCAAAATTCATTCAGACCTCCCTGGAATCCTTGGAAAAAGAACCTAAAGAAGCCCTATTGCTTCTTCCAGTCTGCCTGGCTTTAGCATGAGTCTGATCTTCCTATGCTACATTAATTTTTCTACCTTTGAGGCAATAAGCGTATCAAAAAGACCCAGTCAACCCTCTCCCTTAAAACAGCACTCTCCATTAAATCTTCTGCAAGGACGGTGGTCTCTGTGCTGTTCACATGGCTACTGCGCACTGGAAATGTGGCTAGTGTGAGTGAGTCACTGAACTGTAGGTTGTATTTAATTTTATTCATTTAAATGTAAATTGCCGCATGTGCTTACCAGCTACCATGTTGGACAACTCAGCCTCAGAATCAAAAGACCAGAGCTGAATAATTCCCATAGAAACCCATAGAAATTCACACCCTTATCAATCTCTGTGGTTACCATACTTGTTTGCCAAGAAAGGAACCCCAGTATCAGCAGAAGTTCTGATTACCAAGGCAGCATTTGAAAATGCTCACTGTCTGTTTGGTTAAGGAAGAGAAGAGCTAGCTTATATTCATATTATTGTCTATCATCCCATGTTCTTTCTACGCTCTCTTGGATGACTTTCCCAGAGCACTCACCAGGAGTCAGGGTCTTTATGATGCTCTCCCAGCTTCGGGCCTCAACTCCACTCGTCAGTGGAGACCACCGCGGAGAAGCAGGTGGGGGCAGCAGAAGCCTTGAGGACAGGGCAGCTGGACCTTCAGTCTCTACTTGGGTGTCCTTGAAAATTCTGTTAACCAATTTGGAACCACTTTTCTCACCTACAGAATGATGGGTTGACTTGAATGATTTTTAACCTTATCTGGTTTTGAGTTTTGGCTATGACTCTTTCCTGATCGCATTCTCACTCGTGGATTTAAAACAGGCTTTAGTCTGAATTCTGTAGGCCAACCTAAGCAAGTTGAAATTAATGCTCTTTTATCCTTAAACTGTTAATGCATGGATGGGGCTTCAATGGATATTCCATCATCATAGTATTTGCATTGGGTACTTTTCCCAAACAGCGAGTGCTAATGAGTATGTCAGGCATCTTGGCAGGGCTTTTTGAGGAGATATTTTTCAACAAGGCTTTTTCTAGCCTATCATAAAAAATACAGATTCCACTTGGCAATCACAACCAAAGGCCAAGAATGTATTTGTAACGTCATAGCACTTATAGGTTATGCAATTGGATATTTTAGGGCTACGATATGAAATTTTTAATCATTCAGAAATATTTTGAAGAGAAAATTCCCATTCTCTTACTAAATTCATAGATGAATTTTCTTGGAAACTTGAATCTTCCACCCACTAGTGCACATTACCTTGCCTTCATTCACATGCATATGTACCCTATCAAATCCCCCACAGATTTGTAAGGGATTTTTTTATTGTTGCTATTGCTGTTTTCAAATTTGTAACCTGTGACTTATGGTGCCTTAATTAGACATCTACATGTCAGGTGATTGTTACATTATGATGGCAATAGCTGCTAATTTGAGCGTGAAAGTCTTGATGGAAAGGCAGTAGTCAGGGAGCTGACCTTTTGCTATTGAGGAGACTCCAGGGTGGGTTAATTCACACCCACCATAGTCATTAGTTCCCACTCTCCTCCGTCATATTTACTCCTACATAGTTTACTGAGCTGCCAATCAACCCTTAGTATCTGGATGAGCACACTGATGGGGAGGGGGCTGGCATGGCGCTTGCTTTCCTGCTGCAACCAAGAAATCATTTATAGAGGCAGTCTCTTTTTCAGTCTCCAGACTCAGATACTATTTATTTATTTCAAAATTAAATAAAAAAGAAAATAAGTAGTACACATCTTTTAAAAATTCAAATTACACGAAAAAGTATCCTGTACAAACTTCACACCTGTCCCTTAGTTTTCCAGTTCACTTCTTCCCCATTGATGCAGGTTTTGCATATTCTTCCAGAGATATTGAGACGATATGGCAAAGTTAAAAGCAAAGACACATTTTATGTTTCTCTCTAACTTTCCTTCTCTAGCTCTTTGCCTCCCTCTTTCCTCTAGTCCAAAGCAGTAATGATCTTGAAAACCATTAGGGGGCAGCTGTGACCAGAAAAGGAAACAACAAGCAGAAACGAGGAACTAAAATCCTAGAGGAAGAGAGATGCAAAAGGAAATGAAAGGAATGCTAAGCAGAGAGACCAGCCAAAGAGAAAAATGGAAAAAAGAGGAAGACGAAGAAAGAAAGAAACACAAGCATTATAAAACAAAAGGAAATGGAGAGCGAGGTGATGATATTAAAAAGCTAAAGGCAGCGTGTGTGTTAGGGGAGGGATAGCTTATGAAGGCCAGGGATTATCTGAGGTTTTGTTTTGTTTTGGTTTGATTTGTTTTTTTTTAAAGCAAACCTGTGGAACCCGATTGACTCAATGTTAGCAGAAAGTAGGAAGTTATCTTTTTCAGAACTGGAAGGCATTTATTGTGCTGGACTTTACATTCTTAGGACATGCTTCAAACTGAAGGGTTCTGAGCACCCTCTGTCCATTTGGGCTTGCGACGTGGCGGGCAGGATGGAGAGGAACAGCCCGCTTCCCTTACATCTTCAGAGTGCTTAGAAATGCTTTCAGGCCTCAGCAAGACAGCAAAATTAACCTGAATATAAAGGTGTAATTCTATTTCTCAGGGCAGCAGAGCTAAAAAACGAAGGAAGGGGCTTCTTTTGAAGCCGATGCGATAATCAAAGTGCTTTCAGGTGTACTTCGGGCATACCTCCCCTGGTTTCAGCAGGCTAACTTCATTAAAGCGCCTAGCTACTGCTTTAATGTTTTCTAGGCTTTCCCCCAGGGTACATTAAGCAGAAACAAGCTCTCATGGGAGCTTGTTCCCTGATGTTTTGCATTGTGGATGGAATGCAGGGGCAACATTTATGCTGGAATAATATTAAATGGGAAATCGTTTCTAGAGCACAATAAATATGATCACTTTCAGCTAGTAACCTCTTCTCTCTTTCTAATCCAAACTTTCCCTCCCCACCTTTAAAAAAGTGACAACAATTTTAGGAAACTCTGGTCTAGAGTCACCAGATAAAGCATGGACCATATGCCTCCATTTATTATTTGCTGAATCTGATTCAGAAGGTAGAATACTCCCCAAGCTGCCCCAAACTCTATGCCCAATGCTACTCATCAAAATTCAGTGAAAACTTTTATTTTAGGATCAAAGGCACCAGCTCTTGGTCACATTTGTTAGACTCATATATTTACTGAAGATCCAAGATGGGTAGAGTCTACTTTGGGTATGCTGGGGTTATAAAGAAAAAGCCTGGGGTGCACCTGCCCTAAGGAACCCTTAAGTCCTGGGCCAGATCAAACTGGGGCTTTCTCCAGTGGCCATTAGAGTTTTGATGAATTACGGTAAATTGCAATTTGACCTATTTTGAACAGTGGTCATTTTCCAGAATGTGAGGTTTCTCCTGTAGCTTAAAGTGAGAAGCTGTCTCTAATCCCACCTCTCTCTCTCTCATTCCCTTTTTCTGTGACATGGATTCCCAGAGTTGAGTTTCTAAACTGTTTTAAAATTCATACTGGAAACTTGTCCAAACAAAAATCTCTGACCAGAAGCAATTTGCTTCCCTTTAAAAAGTACCCTAAAGTTAAATTACATATTTACTTGACTTTGTGTTTCTTTGCTAGAATTTGGCAAGGATCTAGGATGTGAAAACATTTCCCATTTGATTTCTCATTTCATTTGATTATAACTTAGAAGGAATAAATGTAATTTTTGACCTTTCAACACACCTGGAAGTATGTGTTCCTCTTGCTGTATTTGACTGACAGTATTCTCATAAATAGTGTGGCTTCTCCAACACTGAGCTCCCTTACTCCTTAGAAAATGGAAGAGTTGGCTAGGCGCCATGGCTCATGCCTGTAATCCCAGCACTTTGGGAGGCTGAGGTGGCAGATCACTTGAGGTCAGGAGTTTGAGACCAGCCTGGTCAAGATGGCGAAACCCCAACTCTACTAAAAATACAAAAATTAGCCAGGCGTGGTGGCAGGTGCCTGTAATCCCAGCTACTGAGGAGGCTGAGACAGGAGAATCACTTGAACCCAGGAGGCGGAGGTTGCAGTAAGCCGAGATCGTGCCACTGTACTCCAGCCTGGGTGACACAGCAAGACTCTATCTCAAAAAAAAAAAAAAAGAAAAAAGAAAATGAAAGAGTTACACTTTAGGGGAGAGGAGTATTCTGGGGCAAGTCAACTTAATAATATTATTAGACTAAAAATATAAGACAACATATCATAGGGAACTCATGGCCCTCAACAGGGGTCAAGAGACCTAGACTCCGGTTCTGGCTTTTGTGTTGATGCTGTGTGCGCCTTGGCTACATCGTTTCATCTTCTTTTTCCTCCCTCATAAAAGGCAGGTTGTTATTCCACAGCAATGACCCTACCAAACTATTCAATCGAATCTACACTTGATAGAAAGCAGGGTCGAATCTACAGCCCTCCTTGTTAAAAAAAAAAAAATGTATGGAACATATGCTATATGCCAAGCTCTGCATGAGTGGAATAACAGCCAGTACATCTGTGAAGGTGGCTGTTCTCAGGAGCTTCACTTCCTTAAGGGAGAGACAGATAACACTCAGGACAGCAATGAGCAGGATCATTTCAGATGGTGATAATGAGTTCTAAGAAGAAAATAAGATAATGTGATAGACCAGGAAACCAGCAGTCAGGAAATCTGGTTTAGCCCTTCCACTAACCAAGGCTCTAATGTAAGCAAGTAACCTGGCTCAGGCTCAATCTCATCTTTAAGATAAGGGGTCATGCTGTTGTGTCACATTAGTGTTTTTCAGAGTTCAGACTGCCATTCGTTAATGGGTTATAAAACCAATTTAGAGAATTGTGATCAGCATTTTTAATGTAATAAATCAGAATAAGAGTATGTATTGTTTCATGAAACTGGTTTGTACATACATATATATATCCATACATATATAATATGTATATAAAAGGATATATATATGTAAAATATACATATAAACATACACAACTGTTCTGGGTCCCATGTAAAATATACTTTTGTGTGTATGAGTTGTCATAGATTAGATGACCTCTAAAATATTTTTAAGCTTTCCAACTCTGATTCTATTAAATTTTTATAGCAAGGGCCTAATGTAGCATAGTTTTTATTTGATTTTACTTATCATTAAATAAATGGTAGTATTGCTCTCATCAGAGAATTGCCGTGTTTAACTCAGTTTCAGGTACATGATTGGTGCTTGATAAATGTTTTTTGAATTAATGGAAATGAGATTTATACACTAGGTCTTAAAATAAATACAGCAACCTGATACGAATCACCAAAAAACTTACCAGTCAATGCATCAGAATAATTTACTATATCTTCCTAAATGCCAGCCATATAAACCAAATTCAAAACTTTATTGCCCTTTCTTTTTGTGATACTAGGAAAAGCCTTTCCTTAGAATTCTCAGAAACTCTGTTAATATTAAAAGAAAAAAAATAAGAGCTTAAAATATTCTTCCCCAAGAAAGGCAAACTGCTTTTTTCTTACTTATAACTGTAATTCAATAAACCTCTAGACTGTTTAAAGAAATAAAAGAATTAGTGCAGAAATTTTTCTATTTCTTTTCCTTGAGGACCCAGATAATTCTGCCTCCCTAAAAATTCCCCTGACCTTGCGAGTTTTAATTTCTTAAGCCACCTTTTTTTAGCATGCCAGTAATTTTACTTTAATGCAGACTTGTTCCTTAGTTACGGCTTAAGTAGTAGGCTTCTCAGTCTCAAAATTATTTTTTTAATTATACATTTGATTAGAGAATAGATGACCCAAGTCTTCCATCCTTCCTTTCCAGGAAGCCTTGTTGACATCCATTGGGATGGGAGAACCAGACCAAGGAGATCCCACTGAGGAATCAATGATACATCATCCTTAAGAAAGAAATGAGTAAATGGACCGTGCTCAGTGCCCAATGCACATTCCTATGAGTTAACTTTCAAGTGTATTTCCTTAATTGCCTGAAAACACATGGTCAGGCAAATTGACTTAGAGTTTAGCAGCGCTATACCCAATCTTCTAAATCCATTCCCTCCCACCTTCCCCAATGGGGCAGACACATGTATACGAAGAAGCAGCATCAGTAAACCGGCACCCTAGATGAAAGGCAACTGCTCATCCAGAAGGCACCAATAACACAGTCATGTTTCCATTAAGGGGCACCTTGGCTTATGCAAAACTGTACTTTTGAGATATGACATAGAAAATCACATTTTTGTGAATCAAAATGTAAATAATCTAAAAAAGGCACTATTTGAAGGGAGCCCAAATTTTTAACATGACTAAGGGCTCCAGAACTGATCAACCCTGTAAGTTTAGTTTGACATGGAATTAAGTATATTTGCTTGAAATTGGTTCTGAAACTATTATTTAGACAAAAACGTGTAAAAATCTTTGAAAGGCCTTTGTATCATTCTATGGTCTTTATTTGTATTGTCGTTATTATTACTCCTGTTATTAGTGATGAATTTGCCCAGGTCAGGGAAATTCAATGTATTTATGCTTTTCTTCACCTTGCCAACTGTAAGTCATATCAAATGCAAATCCATCCCATCCATTTCCCCAAGTAATTCCGATTTTTGTACATTTTTTTTCTTGCAGAATCTCTCATAGAATCATTTTAACAATTATACTCTGGTGAAGATATGCTAAGATTGGTAATTTTTTTTTGGTAGCTGAAGTTAACAGCAC